>NC_000004.12:2054545-2361042 GCF_000001405.40 Homo sapiens
CATGTCTGAGGTTATTTTTTATTTTTATTTTATTTTTTCAGACAGAGTCTTGCTCTGTCACCAGGCTGGAGTGCAGTGGCACGATCTCAGCTCACTGCAATCTCCGCCTCCTGGGTTCAAGCGATTCTCCTGCCTCAGCCTCCTGGGTAGCTGGGACTACAGGCGCCCGCCACCATGCCCAGCTAATTTTTGTATTTTTAGTAGAGACGGGGTTTCACCACGTTGGCCAGGATGGTCTCGATCTCTTGACCTCGTGATCCGCCTGCCTCGGCCTCCCAAAGTGCTGGAATTACAGGCATGAGCCACCGCGCCCGGCCACAACATGTCTGAGGTTATTTTTAAGTCAGTTAAAATACTGAAACAATCATTAAACACAATTTTAAATTGATATACGTTGGCATTGTATTTTTATATGGTATAGAAAAGTTAAAAATATTTAGATCTGTTAATAAGCAAAAAATTGAGGAAACATCTTCCTAAAAAATTATTAAATGGGCCGGGTGCGGTGGCTCACTCCTGTAATCCCAGCACTTTGGGAGGCTGAGTTGGGCAGATCACGAGGTCAGGAGATCGAGACCATCCTGCCTAACACAGTGAAACCCCATCTCTACTAAAAATACAAAAAAATTAGCTGGGCGTGGTGGTGGGAGCCTGTAGTCCCAGCTACTCGGGAGGCTGAGGCAAGAGAATGGCATGAACATGGGAGGCGGAGCTTGCACTGAGCCAAGATCACACCACTGCACTCCAGCCTGGGCGACAGAGCAAGACTCTAAAAAAAAAAAAAAAAAAAAAAAAAGAAATGGTTTCCATCTAAAAATGCTGATATAAAACAGTTCAAAATTCCTTCCTAGGTTTTTCACTAAACTTGAAGTTACTGACTTACAATTGTAGTTAATGCACTTTGGGAGACCAAGGCAGACAGATCACTTGAATCCAGGAGTTGGAGACCAGCCTGTGCAACGTGGCAAAACCCTGTCTCTACACAAAATACAAAAATTAGCCAGGCGTGGTGGTGCAGGTCTGTAGTGCCATCTACTTGGGAGGCTGAGGCAGGAGGATTGTTTGAGCTCAGGAGGCAGAGGCTGCAGTGAGCCAAGATCACACCGTTGCACTCCAGCCTGAGCAAGAACAGGGAGACCCTGTCTCAAAAAACACTGTAGTTTATATATATAATTAAAACTACTAGATGTAAAAGAAACAATTCTGAATACAGAGCATGTAAGAAAAATAGGTTATGTCTTTGGTAAAGATTATAAAGAAGGCATGAAAATGTGGTTTTTGTTATGGGAAGAGTAAATTTGTCTAGAGGTTTTTAAAGGTTTAGTTGAAGGGATAAAAACGAATGATAGATAAGAGTGGATATAGAAAGCTGTGGAAAGAAAGAGAATGGGGTAAACTGTGAGACGTTATAAAAGATTTATTGGGCTGGGCGCGGTGGCTCATGCCTATAATCCCAGCACTTTGGGAGGCTGAGGCGGGCGGATCGCCTGAGGTTGGGAGTTTGAGATCAGCCTGACCAACATGGAGAAACCCTGTCTCTACTAAAAATACAAAATTAGCCGGGCATGGTGGCACATGCCTGTAATCCCAGCTACTCGGGAGGCTGAGGCAGAAGAACTGCTTGAACCCAGGAGGTGGAGGTTGTGGTGAGCAGAGGTGGTGCCATTGCACTCCAGCCTGGGCAACAAGAGCGAAAATCCATCTCAAAAAAAAAAAAAAAAAAGGATTTATTGGCCAGGCATGGTGCCTCATGCCTGTAATCCCAGCACTTTTGGAGGCTGAGGTGGGAGGGTCGCTTGAGCCCAGGAGTTCCAGACCAGCCTGGACAACATGGAGAAACCTTGTCTCTCTCTGAAAAAAAGAAAAAAGAAAAAAGAAAAAAGATTGATTGACATCTTACCTTGCATAGTGAAAGCTGGTTGGGATTGGAGGGATTGGCATTCCCATTGTGCTTGCAGCCCTCCTCCATCTTCCAGACTGTGGAACGCACAGGTGGGATAATAGAAAACCCATCTGCAATGCTGAAACCAGCTTCTAACACTCCCTGGCCTAAGGTGTTTCCACTGTGGTGCTGAACTGGGGTTCTGCCCTGTTTGGAAAACATCAGCTTTCTCTCTTTGAAATAATACCAGGAAGGCCCTGTGCCTGGATGAAGGAGCCTCCAAACCAGCTCCCCTTAAAGGCGATATTCTTCATTATTGCCGAGACCCTATAGAGCTTCTCACTGCACATTCTAAATTAATTAAGGATTCTGTTAACGGCGAGTTCTCAGGAGATGAAGACATGAAAGTTCAAGGTCTCCAACCTGGAGATTTCATGAGAAAAGCATCAAATATAGGACTTCCTCCAACCACAATAGATGGGACCACACCAGGCAGCCTCGCCAGAGAGGTCGTTTCCATCACTGGAGAACTTCAACATCTTGTTCTTCAGGCCAGGACCAGAAGGAGACAAAATAGGTATCTGGTTACCTTCAAAAATAGAAGCACTCTTCAGTTCTAGATTTCAAATTGTTAATAGTTGCCCTTATTTGTGTCATTTTTTCTTTTTCTTTTCTTGTTTTTGAGGCAGAATCTCAGTCTGTTGCCAGGCTGGAGTACAGTGGCACGATCTCAGCTCACTGCAACCTCCGCCTCCCGAGTTCAAGTGATTCTCCTGCTTCAGCCTCCCAAGTAGCTGGGATTACAGGCGCCTGCCACCACACCCGGCTAATTTTTGTATTTTTAGTAGAGGCGCAGTTTCACCATGTTGCCCAGACTGGTCTCAAACTCCTGACCTCACGTGATCCACACGCCTCGGCCTCCCAAAGTGCTGGGATTACAGGCATGAGCCACCACGCCCGGCCCATATTTTTCATTCTTAAATTGATTAGGCTTTGTGTTTCTAGATGTCCAAAGTCAACCAAAAAACCCCGAGGATGCTAGCTAGATGCTCAGAAGCCATCCGGTATGCGTGGCTCCTTCATAGCAGACGGCCTGACAGACCCCGTGCCAATCAACCTTGGCCTTGAGGCCTCACGAAGTTCTTAAGCGCCCACCGCACCTGTCCTCTTTCCCCCCATGCGGGGTGAGATGGCCCGGGAATGAGCCTTCCCAGCAGAAAAACTTACATCTAGAATGTCGATCATCACTGCTTTGAGAAGAGAAAATTTTTGATCAAACACGAGAAATGAGAAAAGAAAAATAGCCGGAGCTATGTGGGATTCTCAAAGATTATCTGGCCCAGAGACACCTGAGTACAGGGCCTCAGTCCCGCCTCCCCACTCACGCCCGGGGCAACTGCTGGAAGGCATTTTGTTCTTTCTTTTCTTTCCTATAGTGTCCGCCTGGCCGCCTCAGCGTCATCTTCATGTTCCTGGAATTTGTGACAAATAATGTACACCAATCAATAGCTTATGCCATTTTAATGCAAATTCTTGGTGAATTTAGGAGCTGCGTCTTCATTTTTCCTTTAAAAACGCACTTGCAACTGCTGCGAATGAGAGCGCGTGCATTCAGACCAACCTGAGTCTGTCCTTCCACGCTGCAGTCCTCAAACTTGGCCCCAACAAACTATTTCTATTCGTTTTGCCTGTTTTCTCCTTTAGGTTGAAAAGCTGACAGCGGGCCCCAGACACTGAGGGGGCGCCTTCCCAGCTTGGCTTCCCCTCCCCCCCACGCCCCCACCCCGTCCCCTGCCCCTCTCCAGGGCCCGTTCTCTGGCGGACGGGGCTGTGGACCAGTTCAGCCGCCCCTCCCCACCCCACCAGGGCGCTGCGGCCTCACTCCCACGTCCACGGGCAGGCCCAGCCCCTCCTGGCCTTCAGGTGACCTCAGCTGCCCGGCTGGCCCCAACTCCACCGCACAACGCAGACTGCGGGTCCCCAGGCCTGGACCCCTGGCCCCGTCCCGCCCGCGCATGTCGGGGAAGCTCTGCTCCGGCAGCCCTCGGGGTGGTGCTGGGAGGTCGCGCAGAACTGAAGGGGGCTAGGTTCGAGAAGCGCCGAGGATGGGGTCTGCGACCGCCTCCCCGCACCTGAGCTTCTCCGCCCCAGCCTGCGGCGTCTGCAGGTCCTACAAGGCGCAGAGCCCCCGCTGCACCTGCACCGAGGCCACGGGGCGCATGCGCGGCCGCGGGGGGCGGGGGCCGGGCCGGGAGGGGTCCTGCGGGCCCCGCATCCCCGTGCCCACTGCGGGGCTCGGACAGGGGGGCGCCGCGCCAGGCCGCAGACCCCGCCCTTCCGCGTCCCCACTCCGGCTGCCCGTGCGGCTCCGGACGAGGCTTCCCGGGGGCTCCGGGCCGGGGCAGCCGCGGCGCCCTCTCCCCAGGTCCACCGCGGGCGCTGCTTTCAAACAAAGGCAGGAGACGGAGCGGGAGACGCTGCCGTGACTGCTCCGGGCGGCCGCGGAGGAGGAGGAGGAGGACGTGGCGCCGCGATCGCCAGCGGTCGGGCCCGGGGTCGGGGCGCTCCCAGGCGCGCGGCGTGGGAGCGGGGGGCGGGGCGGGCGGCGCCCATCACGCGCTCCGCGGCCGGGTCCCGAGCCCCGCCGGACGCCCCCGGGCCAGGAGCCCCCGCCCGCGCCGCCGCCCCCGCCCGTGCCGGGCCCCTCGCGCTGCCCGGCCGCCCCGTCGCGCCCAGCGAGCCACCCGGCGAGGCGGGGGCGGCGTCTCCCCCACCCCCGCGATCACATGGTGACCCCCGGCAGCCAATGCAGTGGACGCTAGGACCCTGCGGGCCGCGGGCGCCGCGACTGCACCGGCGCCGCCGCATTATAAATACTTCTCCAAAATGCGGCGCAGCTCCCTGCGCGCGCCCCGGCCGCCCGCCGCCTCCGCCCCGCGCCCCTGAGCTGCCGCCGCCGCCGCCGCCGCTGCCGCCGCCGCCGCCGCCGCCGCGGGTCCGAGGGCGCCGCGCCCTTGCCCTGGGCCCGGCCGTGCCCGCCGCCGCCCGGCCGCGTCCCCGCTGCCGCGCCGCCCGGCCGGGTGCATGCATTGTGGGCCTCCCGACATGGTCTGCGAGACGAAGATCGTGGCCGCCGAGGACCATGAGGCGCTGCCGGGGGCCAAGAAGGACGCGCTGCTCGCCGCCGCCGGCGCCATGTGGCCCCCGCTGCCCGCCGCGCCCGGGCCGGCCGCCGCGCCCCCCGCGCCCCCACCTGCCCCGGTGGCTCAGCCTCACGGCGGGGCGGGGGGCGCGGGGCCGCCGGGGGGGCGCGGCGTGTGCATCCGCGAGTTCCGTGCGGCCGAGCAGGAGGCGGCGCGCCGCATCTTCTACGACGGCATCATGGAGCGCATCCCTAACACGGCCTTCCGCGGCCTGCGGCAGCACCCGCGCGCGCAGCTGCTCTACGCCCTGCTGGCGGGTCAGTGCGCCGGGCCCCCGGCTGCCGCAGTCCCTCGGGCCGGCGCGGAGCTCCCCCGCCCCGGCGTCCACGCGGACCCCGCGCCCGGCTCCCGGGGACCAGCCTGGGAAGCCCCCCGCTTTCTGCCGCGCCGGGCCCCGCGCAGGGCTGGCTATGGGCGTGGGGATGGGCGCAGGGCCCCGAGCGGGCCGGAGCCGGGGAGGGTCCGGGGTCCGCACCTGCGTCCCCGCCGCGCAGCCCCCCACCCCCACCGCCTCCCCTGTCCCCTCCCGGGCATCCTGGGTGGGGGCGGGTGCCAGGGCAGGTAGCGCCCGCCGCGGCTGGGCCCCGGCGAGTGCCTAAATATAATCTGCGGGCGGGGGAGGCCGCCTCCCGCTCGGTGCTAATTTATGAGGGGAAGACAGCCGGCGCCGCGGGGGGTGCGCGCGCCTGGCACAGCCGGGGCGGTCGCAGAGGGCGGCCCCTTCAGCGTCTTTGGGTGCCCTTCCCCTCAGAGCTTCCTGCCGGGGTGAGGGGGTTCGCTCCCATTTTACAGATGAGGCGCTTGAGGCCGCGTAGGGAGGACGCGACTCCCCCAAGGTCACGGCAGCCGAAATGCGGCTGGAAGCGGTGTGGGGCCTCCCTGCCCTGTCCCTGCCCTCAGAGCTCCCGGACGCTGGCCAGGAAGGGCTCTTGCTGGGGCCCTGGGAAGAGGGGGTCCTGGAGCCCGAGGCTGGAACGTGGGACACCCCCCTTCCTCCTCCCCCCTCCCCCCTCCCCCGCGCGGGGCCTGGTCTGCGGGGCAGCTCCCTGCCAGGATCTGCCCACCTTGGCTTCAGTAGGCCAGCGTGGGCAGAGTCCTTCCCGGCCCGGCCATCCCGAGGGTGTCCTGCCGTGTTTGGAAGCTCAGAGACCCGCCGAGGCTCATTCCAGGCGGTGGGGGTGGGTGGGGTGGCTGTCTTCACCGCAGGAAGCTTGGAAATAGGGAGAAGTAGAAAGCACCCGAGATGACCCCGGCTCCTCCACCAGGAGCGCGGCCGGGCGCGGCGTCCCTAGCGGGCTTCGCCGGGGTGGCGTCTCTGGGGCCTGGGGACCCCCGCCGCGCCGCTGACCCGCGCCCTCTGCCCCCAGCGCTGTGCTTCGCCGTGAGCCGCTCGCTGCTGCTGACGTGCCTGGTGCCGGCCGCGCTGCTGGGCCTGCGCTACTACTACAGCCGCAAGGTGATCCGCGCCTACCTGGAGTGCGCGCTGCACACGGACATGGCGGACATCGAGCAGTACTACATGAAGCCGCCCGGTGAGTCCCGCTCCCGCCGCTCCCCGACCTCCGCCCCAGACAGCCCTCGGGGGCACGCACTCCAGCGACCTCAGGGCAGGCCTGGGCGAGGGCCGGCGTGGGTGGGCCTGAGCCGGGGCCCCTGTGACCTGAGCCTTCTGGGTGACCGAGGCCTCCGGTGTCAGCGGGGCTGGGGGAGGCACGGCCGGTTCCTCCCGCTGAGTGACCTGAGCTGGCCCTGCGACGCAGTGGCTCCACCGTTCCCTGCTGTGGATGCGTCTCCCTGGCGCCTGCTGCGGTGGGGCAAGGGCCGCTGGGCTCTGTGGGTCCCATCTGGTGTGCCTTGCGGGGATGGGGTTGCCTGCAGTGCCAGGGTCCTGGGGGGAGAGGGCTTGTGTGGCAGGGGCCGGGGACCCTATTGGGGCACAGAGGATGGGGTGGGGGCAGGGGACCTGACCTTGAGCCTTGGCCTTCACTTCTGGCCTGATCGCTGGGCCGCTTAGCTGAAGGGTTTTGTCCCAGCCTCTGTGGCCTTCTATAGCTGGAGGAGCTGGGTCTGGGCTCTAGGGGGGGTGGGGGTTGTTCTCCACCCTCGGGCTGGCCCCCAGCCGCTGAGCCACACCGGTTCCCCCATGCCGGATGCCGCAGGGGTGAAGACTCTGCTCTCTGGGGTGGGAGGCTCTCTGCGATCCTGGAGCGTCTGTAGGCCAACGAGAGGGACAGAGTGTGGCCCAAAGGGTTGGGCAGGGTCTGTCAGGAGCCCGGTCAGTGTCAGGGGAGGGGCAGTGTCTGGCACCGCTGGCTGCCATGCTCCACCCCCGCGCCACGGCCTTGGTGCCTGCTGCTCTCCCTGACCCTTTCCTAAACCCAAACAGAGCATCTGAGCAGCCCCTGAGCCCTGGCCAGCCTCTGCTTGGGAGGGGAAACGGGCCATGAGGAAGCACAGGCCACAGCAACACAGGGGGCTCCGGTGGGCACACGGGGCATGGCCCTGCTCCCTCTGGGCCGTGGCCTCCCTGGTGTGAGGGAGTGGAGGGGTAGCTGGCAGGGCTGCAGGAACACCCCACGAGGGCAGAGGCTGGATAGCTGCTGATGGCCCGTGGTGGATTCTGGGAGCTGCTTGTGCACATGGGGAAACCGAGTCTTGGGAGGAGTGAGGTGTGCCCAGGGCCACATGGTGCTGGGGGTTGCTACTTCTGGGATGGCCCTGATCTCTCGTCTTGCCTGGGTAGGTAGAGGCAGAACCCCTGGGTGGTGGGCAGGCCAGCTGGTGGGAGGGATACTGGTCCAGGATCCCCTCCTTGGAGGTAGAGATGCTGTGTGGGTAGGGAGATGGGGGGTTGGGTGTGGGAGACCCCAGGGGCTCCAGGACAGGGGGCCGAGGAGGGGCAGCCCTCCTGGGAACCCTGGAGCTGCACAAAGCTTGGAGGGCCCAGCTGCTCGTGTCTGTGGCGATGGCAGCGGTGCCCAGTGGCTCCCCCCCACGCTGCTTCTCCTTGAAGGGCCTTCAGTACCCCTTTAGCTGCCTGCCAGGCCTCAGTGTCCAGCAGTGAAGGAGACAGAGGTCCCCTTCATGGAGCCAGCAGGCTGGTGGCTGTGCAGAGGGGCAATGGGGAGGGATGGGAGGGCTTCCCGGGGCTCGGGGCAGGTGCAGAGCCTCCTTGAGTAGGAGGCTGGATGGGCCACAGGCAGGCTGTGTGGCCCTCCACTGGCCAAACCCTTGGTCTTCAGAGAGGTCTCTGGGTGCCACCTCTGCCTTTGGCTGCTGGAGGTGGCTGGGCTTCCCCTGTGGCCAGTGCCTGCAGGTTCCCTCCCACAACCGCCCCAACCTGCCCCTGCACCTCTCCTCCTCCCCTGCCGGTTCCCCTCCCCCACGACCGCCACCTCCTGGCTTCGTGCCTGACTCGAGGTGAGAATTGGGCCGTGCTGTGGATGGGGTGATGGCCTGGCCACTTGGCCTACTGCCAGGAGAGGCCGGGGCCAGAGGGGCCATCCCCTGTCCCCCACTTGGATTTATAGGAAAGCTCCTCCTGGGCTGCAGGGAGCCTTCTGGACGCACTTTGCTGACCCCTGCCCTTTGCGGCCCTCTGCTGTGGGTGCTGGAGTTTGCCGTGATGGCCCGGGTGACCCTGGGTGGCCAGAAGCCACAGCAGTTTGGCTGCACCATGGCCTGTTCAGGGTGGCCCGGGCCATCAAGGCATTTGGTCTGGGAGTAGCTGGGCAGAGGGCAGCGGCCTGACTGGGCAAAGCCTGCCCCAGCTCTTGGTCTCAGAGGAGGGACTCGGGCCTTTGACCACTACTCTGAGCAGCGCAGCCTCCAGGCTTGAGTGGGTCCTGGCTGTTGGCCTGTTGGGTAACAGGTGTTGGGCTGGCTTTCTCTGCTTAAGGAGCTCTGGAGGGGGGCTCTACCTGCTTGTCCTGAATAGTGGCTGCCCCCTCCCTTGGCTCCAGCAGAGCTGGTAGCTAGGCCCCGGGGGCTGCCGGGATTGGGTGTCCCACTGCCCTGGCTTGGTGTCCAGCTGGAGGGGGCAGTGCCAAGGGCCCTGTCTCACCCCAGAGGTGGAGGGGTCTCCCCAGCCTTCCTCACCGGGTGTCCCTGACCGCCCTATCCCCTGCAGGCTCCTGCTTCTGGGTGGCCGTGCTGGATGGCAACGTGGTGGGCATTGTGGCTGCACGGGCCCACGAGGAGGACAACACGGTGGAGCTGCTGCGGATGTCTGTGGACTCACGTTTCCGAGGCAAGGGCATCGCCAAGGCGCTGGGCCGGAAGGTGCTGGAGTTCGCCGTGGTGCACAACTACTCCGCGGTGGTGCTGGGCACGACGGCCGTCAAGGTGGCCGCCCACAAGCTCTACGAGTCGCTGGGCTTCAGACACATGGGCGCCAGTGACCACTACGTGCTGCCGGGCATGACCCTCTCGCTGGCTGAGCGCCTCTTCTTCCAGGTCCGCTACCACCGCTACCGCCTGCAGCTGCGCGAGGAGTGACCGCCGCCGCTCGCCCGCCCGCCCCCCCGGCCGCCCTGTCCGCCTTTGCCCGCCTGCCCGCCGCCCGGCGCGGCCTGCTTTCAGACGCTCAATTGGCGTTTGTGTTGGGTTTCCCCTTTTCAACATCCTGCGGTTGTCTGGCTGGTTCCGGGGGGTGCGGGGCTGTTGTTCTTCGGCGACACTTTGGTGGGGGTGGGTTGTTTGTCGCCATAGCCCCTCGCCCTTCCCCACCTGCCTGGGCGGCTTGCCACCTGAAGAGTGGCATCTTGGACCACCGCGGCTGTCCATGACGCTGCCCTGCCCGCCGCCACTGGGGAAGGCCCAGCCTTGCTCACCAAGCACAGAACCTCTGCAGCAGATCCCGGGGCCAGGCTCCGGCCCCGCCTGCGGCCCCAGCGCCACTGCCTGTGGAGGCCCCAGCTGGCCACGGCGCTGCTTTGCTCCGCGCATGCCGAGGGTGTGGCCCGGCTGAGCATGCCGCATGCACACAGCCCCGCCCTGCCGCCCTGCCCAGACTGGACCCGGAGACCCGGGCTGGTGAGCGCCCCTGTCCCCAGCCCCCAGCTGGCTGTGGGAGGGCCTGCCCCTGCCCCCACCTCCTGGAGGGCCTGGTCTGCCCCGCGCCGCCCGGCTCTGTCCACACCTGCTTTGCTCTGACGCCCTCCATTTCTCTGGCTCCGGCCCCTCCCCTGCCTGGGCTGTGCTGACTGGTGTCATCACCCAGGTGACTCCCATGGCGTCCGTGGCACAGCCAGGGTGGGGGTCCATGGGACCCCTCTCCCCAGTGCCCACTGGATCGTGCTGGCCTCTCCCAGATGTCCCCGGGGACCTCCTGCCTCTGGCTGACGGTCCACCCTGTGAATCTTATCAGCCCAGGCTGCTGCCAACAGCGCCCAGCCCACAGCTTCTCCCAGCCTGAAACCAACACATTTTCTAATAAGTTATTTAGACAGAATAGCACTCTGCATGACTTTAATTCTTGGGACAAAACGGTAGTTTGTACCCTAAGACACAGTTTCTGGCCCAGTGTGATGGGGGTGGGTGGCCGGGTGGGTGGAGCGTTTTGCTGTTGGAAACCTGGAGGGAAACCCTGATTGGATGTCATTTCCTGCCATGGAGCACGCCTCCCAGCCCTGGCCTGCAGTGTGGGCAGGGTGGGGGGCAAGGGAGTCCGCAGCCTCCGGGAGGAGGGGCAGGGCGCTGCCTTGGGCTGGGTGGGAAGAGGGGTGGCCGCCTCGGCTTCCGCTGGCCATGCTCCTGGTCTCTCCTTCCTGAGGTCACAGGCAGGGGCTGCCCTGGACGGGGGGCGGGGGGGGTGGCCTGGAAGGGGAGACAGAGGTGGAGGGTGGCACAGGCTGCACATTCAGCTTAGAAGTGGACCTGGCTTTGGTGGCAGGAGAAGAATAAACACTTGCCCAGACCCCTTTGTGTGGGGGAATTGGGGAGGGGTCGTGGCAGGCAGGGTGGGCCACGGAACTGGGTCCCAGGCATCAAGGCCACGTGCAGGGCCATGGAGGGATGCTTCTCACGAGGCGCTTCAGAAGCGAGCGAAGGGACAGAGAAGCCCTGCGTCCAAGGGCCTTTTGTCCTGTTAGCAATTGAGGTGTGCAGAGCACTGTACAGACCCCACTCCCCTGTACATTCCTCCCTGGAGGTGCCCGGTCCCCGCTTGGGGATGGGAGTTTTGTAGACTGTACAGAAATCGGCACCCTATTTTCTTGCAGCTCAGATTTTGTTAATCTGGAATATACAGACAGACGTAAAGTGTTTTAGCAAAATGGAAACAAACAGTTGTGCCTTTTTCCTCTTTTGGTTTGGTTTGGGTTTGGCCTGGGGCTGGTCCCAGTTGGTGCGGGGCATGCTGGGGGCAGGAGGGGCAGGGCGGGCCAGGTGGAGTCAGGTCTTGGGGGTGTCATGTCGGGGTGCTGCCAGCGTCCCTTGGTCCTGTGCCTTTGGAGCCTCGGGCTCCTGGGGTGCAGGGTGCTTGGGGGTGGCTGTTGGAGCCCACCGACGCCAGGGCAGGGCCTGGAGGCCCAGGGACTGCCAGTGTCTCCTTGATATTGATCCTAGCAGATCCCCCTCCTGGGGGTTCTGAGAGTCCTGGGCAGTGTGGCCTTCTCTCATTCTGGTGGCATCTGCGCCCGTGAGTGACCTCTTCCTTGGCTGCACTGCCCTGTGGGTGGTGAGACGCTTGGCCTTTTTTGTTGCTGCCAGGACTTGGTAGAGATGGCAGGAAGGGTGTGCGGGGTGGTTGTGTGCAGAACCCTGCCGCCCCTGAGGTGAGCAGAGGCACTGGTGTGCCTGCCAGGCTGGGGCGGAGCTGCCCGGAACCCTTGCCAGGCCAATGTGTAGCTTGGTGGCGCCCTTGAAGGCCACTGGGGGGTAGGTGTGTCCTCCCCCGGGGCTGGAGGCCGGGTGCCTGGTGGGTGGGCCTGACCTGGCCCACCTCATCCCTCCAGCCTGGGATCTCACTGCTCTGCACATGTGCACTGACGTGAATTTTATACGTTTGTAGAAACTCTGATGTAACTTCTTCTACCTCTGAAGCGCCCTCCTGGGCCCTGCTGTCACGTGGCTGGTGCGGCTTCCCCGAGTGCTGGCCCCCTGCCCGCTCCCCATGGGCACCCACCACTCAAACTCTGCGTGGTGAGGCCCGGGGAAAGCCAGGCCGGGCCCTAGCACTGCTCAGGGGCCTGGGGCTCCTGGGATTTCTGTGTGTTTGGAAGCCTCTGTTTTTGGAGTGGGGGGCGTGGAAGGCGGGAGGGGCTGACAGTGCCTGGGGCCAGAGCTGGGCGAAGGAGGACATCCTCACTGGACGAGCACTGCAGGCCTGACGAGAGGCTCCGGGCAGCTGAGGGCTGAAGCGCCTCGGGATGCCCCACACTGCCCAGAGCCACGGGTCTTGCTGTGCTGGGGGTGGGGTGGCCCCAGGCAGCTGCCACTGCCCAGGTGTGAGTCGCTGCAGACCTGGTCCCTGAGGGTGGGAGGCCTGCTTGTGCTGAAGCTGCCATGTGGTCTGGCCCCCAGAAGGGCTCCTGAGCGTAGGGAGTTGAGCCCCGCAGCCGTGGCGGCATCTCCTCCTCCTTCCTCCGCCCCATGCCCAGCCTTGCTTCCGGCTGGTGGCATGCCTTGGGGCCGGGCAGCAGGTGAGAAGCTGCCCCCGGAGGGAGGGGCCAAGGGCTGGGTCAGTCTGGCCTGAGGGGTGGATGGCTGGCCCTGGGGGAAGGCTGGGCCTGGGAGGCCCTGTGGACAGCAGGCCTGAGGCCACGAGGTCCTGGGGCCACCCCTCTCCTGCTCTGGGTGTCCTTCTCAGAGAAGATGGCAGAAGGCTGCAGGCCCTAGAGGGGACGACGGGCTGGGGACGCCCTGAGCTTCCTGGCTGTGTGGCAGGTGCTGGGGAAGCTCTCTGGGCCATAGGGACCTGGCTCCCCTCTGAGAGGCCCGCCTGCCCTGGGGCACCCAGGGCTGTGCTGGTGGCCTGAGGCTGGGAACTTGGGTTCCTGGGCTCTGCTGGCGCCTGGGCTTTGTGGGGGCCGAAGGTGGTTGCCCCGCCGGGCAGGGGGCTGTGTGGGCCCTCGTGGGGCCACCTTCCTGTCAGTGCCCGAGGGACGGTGGGACAGTTGCCCCTGCGCCAAGGGAGCCCACTGCCATCCCCCGTGGGCTGGCGCTGCAGTCGCGCACCCTGTGTTGCCTGCTGACTTGCTTATGTCTGTTTGGAAGCTGCTTCTGTTTGGCCACAGGCCTGTGTTCCTGGGCTGATGGCCACAGAGCTGACACTTGGGGTTTGAGTTCCAGACTTGCAGACCCTGGGATCCGCTTACTCCTCCGCGCCACGGCTGCTGTGCTTCCAGAGGTGGCGTGATGCCTCCCGGGGCCATGGTGGGGTGAAGGATGGCGAGCCGGACATACCATTGTTGGATGTATTTTTTTTAAAACAGCAATAATTAGCCATTTTAAAGGAGGGATGTACCTGTGTGTGTGCATGTGCACGTGTTTGAGCGTGTGTGTGTGTGCAAGTGGGTTCTTGGATATGTGTAGTGTGAGCATGTGTGCATGTGTGAGCCTGTGCACGTGCATGTTGTAGGTGCATAAGCATGTACACGCGTGAGCATGCATGTGTGTGTACACGTGTATAGGTGTACATGTGCATGAGTTGTGTACATGCGTGAGCACGTGTATAGATGTACGTGTGTGTGCGCATGTGTGCGTGTACATGTGTTTGTGTCTTGGGTATGCATAAGCATGCACGTGTGTATGAATGTGCGTGTGTATGCATGAGCACGTATGCATGTGTGATGCGCATGTTCTTGTGTACTTCTCTGAGGGGGCACATATGTATGAGTGTATGAGTGCATACATATGCATATGGTGTACGTGTGTGTACTTTGTGTGTGGGCATGTATGCGTATGAGTACTTGTGTGTGGCTGGTGTATGGGTGAGCATGCACATGTGTATGGATGCATATGTGAGCTGTACATGTAGAGTGTACATGTGTGTTGCATGAGCATGCATGCGTGCGAGTGCCTGTGTGTGTACTTGCATATATGTGGCTGTGCAGGTACCCGGCGGTGGTGGGCTGGCAGTGCCCGGGGAAGCAGGTCCTGCTCACGGCTTCCCTGCTGGGCCCCAGGCCCCGGGCTGAGCCTCCCTGGCCCCTCTTGCCCCTCAGTGGAGCAGGGCCTGGGTGGAGGGCCTGGGCAGCTCCAGGGCAGGTCCGGGGAGGCCAGGCTTGGGGAGCACAGGGGGTGGGGTTCACCTGCTGCTGTTTGTTCCCGAAACTGTACTGTGAGCCCACGGCGGGGGCAGATTGTTCTGAGGCCCCAGATGTGCCAAAACAGCCCCCAGGGTGGGGGCGAGCGAGTTCTGAGGAGAGGGGCTGCGGGGGCCGGGGGTGGGTGTGTGCCCCTCCCCTGAATGGCCCCCAATGCTGCTGTTTTTCAATAAAACCAGAGTTGAAGGCACCTGGCTCCCGTGCTCTCTTGAGGCGCTTCCTGCCCACTGTGTGGCAGGGCTGGCTTTCAGGGATGTGGCCCCACCCTTGGTTGCCCAGTTTGGCCCCCGCCGCCTCCCCCTTCTCCCCTGGCCACCCCCTTTCCCCACCTCGGCTCCCCTACACCTGGCCAGGCTGCCCTGCAGCCAGCACTGCCCCCTGGAGGGAGTGTAATCCAGGAGGTGGGGCAGGGGGGCTTGGTGGCCCCATGGGCTGAGGCCCCTCCCCCAGCAGGCACCCAGCCGGGTGGGCTTTGCCCATTCACTCTCAGGCCTGGGATCCCCCTGAGCAGCTCCTGGGCCCTGCCCTCCCCCAGCTCTGTGCTTGGTCCTGGGTACTCTAACTCCTGGCAGACAGCTTGTCCCCCAGCCCTTGCCCCCGCCCCATTTTTGCCACCCCAGTGGGACAAGGCCCCGCTGCCCTGTCCTCCTGGGTCTGGGGTTCCCAGTTCCTGTGGTTATGTCGACCCTTGCCCTGGCAGCCCCGGCGCCTGCCTGCCTGGCCCCTCGGAGGAACAGCGGTGCTGAGGGAGGGTGTGAGGTGAGCGGGCATTAGAGCCCACCAGGATGGGGGTGGACCCCCAGTGTCTGTGAGGGAGGATGCCAGGGCTGGGGTCCAGGCCGAGGGTGCTGCAGCTCAGGGCTGTGGGGTGGGGAGCTTGGTGTCGGGAGTCTCACAGACAGACATGGGGTGGACACAGACCCCTGCCCTGGCAGGTCCCCGTCAGGATGCCAGTCTTGTTGGCAGAGGAACTCCTGGAGTCTGGGGGTCCCCCAGCTCCACAGCCGGTCCCCTGGGCCACTTTCCTGGTAGGGGTTTCCTTGGCCCGGCTTCTGCCTTTCCCACCCTCCCAACCCGTGCCGCCAGGCCCTCCAGCCAGGACCCTGAAGGAACCCCAGGCTGCGAGTATCTTTCCAAGGGCAGGGGCAGGGGCAGGGCTGCCCCTCAGCCTGGAGGGCTAGGCAGCCTTGGCCTGGGCTCGGGTTACGAACAGCAAAGCCCATGTGGGACATCCCACTGAAACTGCGGCAGGATGGAGGCCTGGGTGCGGCGGGTACATCAAGGCCTGGCGGGCCTGTTGGGGCTCAGAGTGCTGCCCAGGGAACGCAGGCAGGGGCAGCACCGCGCTGGTGGGAGGGCCCAGCAGTGGCTACGGGCAGCTCCCTGGATCACTGGGACGTCCCACCACAATGGGGGCAGGCCCGGCCACCCAGGACCCACACACATGGGAGGCGGTGAAAATGTTTTTGAAGCCAGGAGAAAATCAGGCTGTCTCGGCCAGAGTGGGTGTTCTCTTCCTGGGGAGAAACCAAATGCTTCCTTGAGCCACAGGATGGGCACCTGGCTCCCCCAGGGGGCAGGAAGCACCAAGAGGGGCGAGGCTGGTGTGGCATAGCAGCAGGACTGTGATCTGGACTCAGCTGTCCCTGCCTCCCCAGCACCGCACACGCTGTCAGGCAAATGCTGCGTAATTGAAGGGAAGAAGGAACGGACTTCCAGCACCCGCAGACCACAGCAGCGAGGTCCTGACCAATTCATTGTGATGACCCAGGTCACCCAGAAAAGATGACCCATGTTCAGTGGGCACAGGCAAGCCGCGTGGGTGACACAGCCGCCACTTGAAAGAGGGCAGGGTGGTACACACGGTGGTGGTGGGGAAGGCCACTGCTCAAACCCACAGCACCATCTGCACCCCATATACTCACCCCTGGCCGGCCTCCTGCAGTGGCACCAGGTGTCCCCACGAGGAGCCAGCACCTTGATGGTGAGCCTGAGTGCTGGCCGCTCTGTGGGTGGCAGCCGGAGGTGACATCCCTGAAGGGTACAGGGGGCCCTGTGCCCCACTTCAAGGGATGCTCTTGGAGCCCAGACCCAGACCTGGGTAAGGAAGTACATGGGAGGGGCTGAGATACCCGGGGGGGGGGGGGTGGCCTGAAAGCAGGACCCCGGGAGCACATTTCCAGGGGCCACCACAGAGACAGGGAACCATGGTACAGGGTGAGGATGCGGCTGAAATCCTGGCTGGCGCACTTTTGAGCCCTGTGACCTTTTGGTGCCTCAGTTTCCCCACGTGCAAAGAGGGGATCGTGTTGGTGCCTCTGTCGCAGCCTGCTGTGAGGTGGAGGTGAGTCACAGGTGTCCTGCTGGGCTGGCAGTGAGGCCACTGTGCATGAGGGAAGGCAGAGGGGCACGTGGGACGGGAAGAGTCTGGAGGAGCTGCTTGGAGCACTGGCTGTCTCAGGAGCCAGCCTGTTTGCAGCCACTGGTCACTAGCCTGCAGGAGGCTCATGGGAGAGACCTTGTGGCCTGAGAGCATGTGACCCCAGACGCCCGCGGGTCCTCGGTGGCCCCTAGGCTGCATCCATGGGGGAGGCCTGCAGTGGGTGGCCAGGTCTTCTCATAGAGGGGCTCCTCTGGTCCTCCTGACACATCAGTCGGGAACACAAGCTCTAGGGGCCTCAGTGCCTGCGGGGAGGCTGTGTTCTCTCCATCTCAGTACAGGGCTGCACGCTGGGCTGGCCTGGGAGGACGGTGCACGCCCTGGGCCATGGCTTCCTAAAGCGAAGGGAGCCAGCAGGGGGTGACACCATAGGGCGTCAGAGCTGGTGGCTTCTTGGACACCTGCCGGGGGGAGCAGCTGCTGAGCCACGAGGCAGCCCCCTCCCCTGGAATCCATGGGAGAGGGAGCTGGGAGTGCCTACCCAGTCTGGAGTGTCTGGCCCAGACCCAGCCTGGGTCACTCCCAACTGGGGGCACTCAGCCCTGCCCCGGCCAAGTGGCTGGGGGTGGTGGACGCGGCACTTCCCACTCACAGGAAGAATTCACTCAGACAAGGATGAGGAGGGCTTTGCACAGGCATTTACTCCAGGGGATGGCGGGCCACCCCAGCCCCAAAGGGTTAATGCGTCCTGGGGCGTACAGAGCTGGTGACCTTGGGGAAGGCCACACAATGGACTGCTGGAAACCAGTTCTCTCCTCCCACTGTTGCCTGGGGCTACAGACAAAATGAAGGCGAAAAATGCAGGGGTGGGGGCTGGGTGCTGGCAGGGGACCCAGGGGCAGCCAGGCTGTTGCTGGGAGACTCAGTGCGACATGGGCCTGGCGGAGGGCCCCAGGCCTCCTGCAGTGGCACCAGGTGTCCCCATGAGCGGCCGGCACTCAGGCTCACCTTGAGGGGTACCTGCAGGTGGCAGCCAGAGGTGAGCCCCACGCCTGGGCCAGCCACCCCCAGCCACCTCCCAGACCCCAAGCAGGGGGACAGGGCCTACAGCACACAGGTGCACACATCCAGATACATGATCAGACAGCCACACGCACACATGTGCATACACGTGCACACTCACCACACTCGCCCAGCAACAGGCTTATGCCACATCCACCTCCCAGTCACGACACCTCGATCTTGGCGGAGGTTCCCCCACCTGCCAGGGCCTCTGTGCCAGTGGGTAGGCTGCGGCCGGCAGACAAGGTGCCCTTGGATGGGTGGGTGTGTCCTGGGGCATCCTGTGCTTGCCCCTCAGGGTCCTGCCCCCGGGAGGATTGGTGGCTCCTAGAGGCCAGGAGAGCCCTCCCGGGGGTCCCTGACCTTGAGTGGACCAAGCCTTCACAGCTCTTGACAGGGAGGGAGGGGTCCAGCCCCGGCTGCCGTCCCTGTTCACTGAAGTGAGCAGAGTCGGGTGGGGCTTCCCGGGCTTCAGGGACGGTCCAGCCTCCACGGCTGTGCCTGCTGTGGAGTGGCCATCTCGGGGCTGGGGCTGCACCCTTTGGCCTGGCTCTTTTGCCCTGGGGGTGCTGGCCTCCCCTCACCCTGGGCTCCGGAAGACCGGGCAGGCTTAAGTGTCCCCTCACCTGAAGCTGCAGCTCCAATGCCTGCACCTGTTCCAAGGACTCCATGGTCCTCCTGACGAGAGCTAGAGTGCGGAAGAGAGAGGAGGCCCTGCTGGTCTCTTGGCCTTGGGGCCTGGGAGCCGAAGATAAGAGAACTTTCAGGCCCGAGTCCTGCCCCGGCCCCTGAGCCCCCTTGTTTCCTGTGTCCACTCGGTCACCTGAACCAGCTGTGGGACCTTAATGCCCACAAGGAGCCCCTGAGTGCCCAGCCCCTGAGGCTGAGTCCAGCTCCCCCGGCCCCATCCACAGTCCAGGATGCCTCTCGCAGGCCCCTTGGCCCTCGCTGCAGCCCCTCCTCCTGGCCTGGCCCACCACACTGCACTGGCCCTCACCCCTACCCCTCCGGCTCAGCTCACCCCAGCTGGGGGCCATGGGGTGGGGCAGGCGTCATGCCAGCTCTGTTCCAGAGCCACTGGGGCTGGGAGGATGGGGGAGGCACAGGGAGCCCCCACCAGCCAGAGCCACCAGGCACACAAGAACCCCCCATCCCCACTACTGCCCGGTGAAGTTTGAGGCAACAGTGGCTTTGTGCCACAGGCAGGCTGACCCCGTTGTTGGGGCGTGGATCACCATGCAGCAGTGGGGCTCAGAGCCCTACGAAAGGGAAGGCCTGGGCAGGGGCCAGAGGTGGGACCCGCAAGCTCAGGCTTTCTCAGGGCTTGCTCTGAAACCTGGAGCCCCTGGATAAACATTCGTTCAGTCCTTTTGTGCTGTGTGACACTGCAATGCAAAGATGGCGGCAGGAGCCCCAAGCCGTGGTGGGCGCCACCTCACTTTCCAGCCCTGCTGGCCCCAGCAGAGCGAGGGTCTCCCTGGGGACCTGTCCCTGGTGTGTCCTGAGCAGGGCCAGCGGCCACCCAAGCTCTGTGGCCCTCAATGTCTTCTGTGCAGGAGCCGGTCACCGTCTGCAGGGAGCTGTCGGCCAGCAGGTGGGCACACGGCCCATGTGCATGGTGGGGAGCCCTGCAGAAGGACCTGGGCCCCCCTGGGGACCTTCTTATGGGGGCGAGGCTGGAGAGCCGGCCCAGGCCAAGCTGGACCATTGGCTCCTCATGCTGGCTGGGGCTACCCTGAGTATGCAGAGAACTGGTCCCTCTTCTGTGCCTGGTGGGGTGGTGCTGTTGACTGAGCGGGTGATCCCAAGCAACTGCTGCTCAGAGAGGGGCAGCAAGCGTGGGGCTGAGCTGGCACTCAGCTGGAGCGCTCCCTGTGGGGCCCTCGGGAGGGCAGGCAGGGCAGAGATGCTGGGCGCTACACACCGCCTGGGAGATATGACCTGACCCCCAGCCCTTCAGGGATGGTGCAGGCCCCGCCCGACCCCTGGTTCCCCAGGCCCTGCAGTCCCTGGCCCCGAGTGCTCCTGAGAGAGCAGAGCACAGGCTGCAGCCTGCCTCAGGAGCTGCCAGGCCAGCTGGAGGAAGCTGCTCCCGGGAACAAGGCCGTTTGGGAACGTTTTCTTTCCTTTTTTAACCTACAGCTGAGCACACGTTATACTTGTTAAATGGTCACGTAAGGTGGGTGTGTTTTCAAATGAGTGGCTGGACATACTTTTCAAGTGGCAGAGCCCTGCTTTAGGATGGAGTGGTCTGGGTGGGCCCCAGGGATGGGAGCCTCACACCCCTAAGGGTAAGGCCTGGAGAGGGTGGGGCTAGGAGGGCATGGCGACCACCACTCGAGAGTTGGTGCCTGAAGCTTCCAGCCCTGACGCCCCCGTGCCTCTTCTCCCAACACGTGAAGCTGCCCCGGCTGTTTACAGACCTGGCCTGGAGAACTGGGGGCACAGGTCCACGTGGGCACCTGCTCTCGCCTCTCCCCTGTGAGGCCAGAATGGGACCAGTGGCTGGGTGCTGTGGGGAGGCCCCGGCCCTCCCAAGGGAGAGAGAAAGAACCCCTTGGGCTGACCGCTGGGGTGATTCTGCCTGAGCTAACTCATCTATGGGCCGTGTAGCTCAGCAGAGAGGGGTGGCCTGTGGGACAGGAGGGCACCCAGGCCTGAAGTCTGTGCTGAGCCTAGGGGGCCTCAGTGACTCCAACACCCCCAACAAGAACACCTGCTGCCAGCTCCGCAGCCCCCAATCAGCCCAGGTGGCCCCAATGCCCACTCCCCATCTTTCTAGACCCCCAAGACATAGAGGCCTTGGGCCTCAGACAAAGCAGCCTTGGGTGTCTGCAGCTGCTGTCTGCAGTTCCAGTCAGCTAGAATACCTGGCGCTCTCTGAGGGGCTGGTGGCCCAGGGTGGAGCCCACTTGGGCCTTTCAAGGGTCCCCAAACCCAGGCTGGCCCCTCTGCCTGCCAGGACCCAGGTGACACAGCAGCAATGAGGTGGGGCAGGGGCCATAAAAGGGAAGACAGCTGAGGGGCTTTCCTGGGCTGTGCCCATGGGGCATGGAGCCTCCTCTTAGCTGTCTGTGATGTCCAAGCAACCCTGTGTTGCCCCAGGCTACCTGCACACTCCGGGATCTGCGGATCTTCCACTTCAAACAGCAGCTCATCATGGATCTGGGCCACCAGCCTGGCAGGGAGGGAAGGAGTCACCCTGGGAGGCCAGGACTGTGGGGCGTGGGCCACCAGCCTGGCAGGGAGGGAGGGAGTCAACCTGGGAGGCCAGGACTGTGAGGCGGGGGCTCAGGGGTGCATGCAGAGGTGGGGGCCCATCCCCAAGGTTTCTGAAAGGTGGTTCTGGCACTGAGGCCCAAGAGGATGTGGCTCCGTGAGGCATGGGCACCACTGCTTGAGGTCACCCACTGTCACCAGGACAGCTCTGGGGAGCTGGGAGAAGGGGCAATAGGGAGACAGGCTGGTTGGAAGTGACTGGTTAGCTGCGAGGAAGCAGGTGGCACAACCAGCAGGAGGGGCTGGGTGCCCCGTGTCCGCCCCACCCAGGTTGGTCCCGTCTGAAGTCTGGGCAGGGATGGAAAAACAGCCCCTTGTGAACTGTTGTGGGGGCCCTGACATGGGCCGAGCCTCGAACAACATCATGGGTTCTTGTGCCCTCAGGGCTTCTCCGAGACCTCGCTCTGGTGAGCATCCAGCCAGCCCCAGCCAGGCCCCAGCCAAGCCCCACCCTTCCCCAGCCTCCTTCATGGAGCCCCTCAGGTGCCCCTCCCAGGGCGTCAGCAGGGAGAGCAAGTGGGACCCAAGTGGAGGAGATTCAGGGGAAATGCACTGCCAGGGGCAGGTCCCTGGGGTGGGGCTCACAGATTCAAGTGCAAGCACAAGGCGGACGGGTCATGGCTCCGGGCAATCAGCTCTTAAGGGCCGGCGCCACGCTGGCCACACAGACCGCACTGGGGCTGGATTCCGCCAGGGCGCTGCGGCTCCACATGCTCCTTGGAAACGGGTGACACACACCTTGGGCAGATGATGCCTCAAATCTTGGTGATGTGAGACCTCTGCTGAGGCCTGCTGCCCCCAGACCTACTGCCAGCCTCTCCTGTGAGGTGGACACAGGCAGCTCGCCTTGTGCCCCCGGGAGGGGACGTGCGGCGTGGGTAACTCACAGGATGAGCTGCTGGGAAGGATGGGGTGTCAGGGGGTCCCACGCACTCTGTCCTCTGTGTGACCTTGGCTCTGTCTCCTGGATCGAGTCTTCAGGGGCAGGGGTCACGTCCTATCTTCGCCCCTGCTGCCCGTCCTTGGCTGGCACAGATGGGCACAGCGGGCCCAGGGCCCTAGGGAGCTGGTCTGCATGGGCGTCCTTGCCGGGCAGTAGTCACGGGCATGTGACGGAGAGCCCCAGCTGGGATAAGGGGCAGCCTTCAAGCCCCAGGGTACAGGTGGGCTGTGCTGGCACTTTCCACAGGGGATGTGGACTTTGCAACAGAGATTTCCGGTGACCTGCCCCAATCCGCCCTTCCTCTCTTTCTTCATGTTGGCCCCTTTGTTGCTGGGTGGGGTGGAGGTGGGGCTGTGTCCTCAGCTACAAAGGACATTTCCCAGGCTCTCTCTCAGGCAGGGTGGCCCAGGACTGCATTCCCTTCAACTTCCAAGGAGGCTATTTTTTTTTTCCTTAGCAGGGAGGGAGGTAAGGAGTGGGAAGGAAAAGAGACTCCAGGAAAGTCCTAAAAGGGAAGGCTCTTTAAACGGCTGACTGTAAAGGGCTGCCAGGGGCAGATGCTCTTCTGACCACTATGACTTTCTCCTTTGCCTGCAAGGTGTGAGGGCTGGAGCAGCCACCTCCATCACAGCACCAGGAGGGAATGGCCAGGGAGCCAGAGGGACTTCGGTCCTGCTGCTCTGAGCCTCTGAAACAAAGCAACCACTGTTCTCTGGACTTCTCGTGATGGGAGAAAAGTCTGCCTTCTGGAGTCTGAGCTGCTGTAGCTTGGGCCTGTGTTCCTGACGGCCAAGTGCACACCCTCCTGGGTGTACATCCACAGGACACTACGTGGGCCCAGACAGCGGTACACTGGTGCTCACACCCTCGAGCAGGCTGCCCCCAGGGAGGGGGAGGTGGGCCTGTGCTTCATGTGCAGCCTCTGGCCAGGGGCCGTGGGCACTGCCCTTCCAGAAGTCAGAGGGGCGACAGAGCCCCAGGCTGTCAGCACCAGCAAGCTTGTCTTCAACTAACTTCAAGGCCTCAGGCAGAAGTCTTTGTCTCCCAAGAGGACTTACTTTTCAAATGGGCAGAAACCTCAGAAAAGGCACTTGTAACTTTTTCCAGATTTAGCAGAAGCAGTTTTCACACTTCTTGAAATTACATTGTGAAATTCTGAGCTGCTGGTGTGGCAGGAACCTAAGAATAGGTGCAGTTGTCAGTCACTCACACATCATTCTCGCAGCCACTGAGACATGACCGCGCTTCTAACTGGGAAATGGGGCACAGGTGAAAGAAGAAGGACGTCTGTCGTCTCCGTGTGGGGTGGATGAATGCAGGGCCTTGGATCCTGTTGTGTTCCGGAAGGGAGTGGACCTCTGGTGCAACTTCTCATCCCTGTTCCTGAGAGGGGTCGGCCACAGAGCTGCTGTGTTCTGCATCTGGATGGCCTGACTGAGATCACTGCACCAGTAGGAGAATGTTCCAGAAGAGCCTCACCGTGTTGCCTGTCTGGGGCCTGCAGGGGCAGCTCCCTTGCAAGGGATGCCCCCAGCCCTGCTGAACTGCTCTGTGGACTCATCCTGAGTGTGGGCGCATGGTGGCCTCATGCAGACCCGCCTTGAGAAGGCCCAGGGGAGGGACCGTCACAGCACTGACACGTTCTGAAACCCAGGAAGGCCTTTTCATAAAGGGCCTGCACCAGAAGAGACAGACAGGACAGCCGAGCCATGGCACAGAGGCCTGTGAACGCTGGCCACCGGCCTCCTGCTCTGAGCCCAACCTCTCTGGTCTTTTTAGGATCTGGACCAAGAGGCACAAACGAATGCCATTTCCCTGTCACAGGGACTGTGGGTGGTGAATGCAGACTGTCCTGTGGCCCCAGCCCACCTGGGCAGACCCTTGGGGTGGCCAGATGAATCTTCTTCTTCTTTTTTTTTTTTTTTGTTAGACAGACTCTCGCTCTCGCCCAGGCTGGAGTGAAGTGGTGCGATCTCAGCTCACTCTAGGGGCACCGTGTGCCTCCCAGTGATCGAGTTTCATGCCTGCTGCTTCAGCGAGAGATGCCTGGCCACACTGAGCCTGCACCCGTCCCTTCCAGACGCCATCCACAGCCTTTCACATTACTCCTGGAAGAACAAATCACGTTCACAAAACACAGACCATGTGCCCAATATTCCACACGAGTCTGCTTTGCATTTTGCTATGAGAAGCATTTCCTCGTGACAGCCAATGGCTGATGACAGAAGGATGACCAGCGAGTAACTGCGTTCCTGAGTAAAAGTGTCTGTGTCCAGCTTTCAGAAGGACTCAGTCAGCAACAGAGAGAGACCTCAGCTCCTCACATGCCAACTTCCTTTATCAATTCCACAAGGGCTGAAAGTGAACCGATTTTTTCTTTTTTTGAGGCAGGTTCTTGCCCTGTTGCCCAGGCTGGAGTGCAGTGGTATGATCATGGCTCACTGCAGCCTTGAACTCCCAGGCTCAGGTGATCCTCCCACTTCAGCCTCCTGAGTAGCTGGGACTACAGGTGTGCACCACCATGGCCAGCTTTTATTTTGTAGAGACAGGTTTCATTATGTTGCCCAGGCAACACATATGTTGTTCACAAACTTCTGAGCTCAAGTGATCCACCCGACTCGGCCTCCCAAATGCTGGGATTACAGGTGTGAGCCACTGCGCCCAGCCTTGAATCAACTTTTCTAGACTTGCAGTATCTTAGAGGCAGGACCACCATTTGGCTTTCAGTTCCTGCCAAGACGGAAACTAGCACAAGCTGCTCATATCCTGGGAGAAGCTATAATTTACCTGCAGAAACTGTGGAAGTGAGCGGGATGCATGGATTTCAGGACACCATGAGAACACTGTGGGGCACTAGAGGCTGCCTGGCATCAGTGTATATGCGTATATGTGTGTGCATGGGTTGTATGCATGGGTGAACACGTGTATGGGTGCATGTGCTTGTGTGTGCGTGTGTGTGCACGTGTGTGTTGGGAATGAATGCAGATGGCAGTGAGATGGGGCAGGAGAGGACTGAGAGTGAATCTTATTTTTTTTTCTGTTAGACAGAGTCTTGCTCTCACCCAGGCTGGAGTGCAGTGGTGCGATCTTGGCACACTGCAACCTCCACCTCCTGGGTTCAAGCGATCCTCCTGCCTCAGCCTCCTGAGTAGCTGGGATTACAGGTGTGCGCCACCACACCTGGCTAATTTTTGTATTTTTAGTAGTGACGATGTTTTACCCTGTTGGCCAGGTTGGTCTCAAACTCCTGACCTCAGGTGATCCACCCGTCTCGGCCTCCCAAAGTGCTGGGATTACAGGCGTGAGCCACTGTGCCCAGCCGAGAG
Organism: Homo sapiens; assembly: GCF_000001405.40. Lineage (NCBI taxonomy): Eukaryota > Metazoa > Chordata > Mammalia > Primates > Hominidae > Homo > Homo sapiens. The sequence continues at coordinate 2,079,890 of NC_000004.12, forward strand.
TGAATCTTCTAATGCCCCACTCCTGCCTTCTGACCACTTCAGTTACTGCAGAAAGCAGCACTGAGAGCCCACAGCCCAGTGAAGCTGCAAGCAGAGTCCCTGGGGCAGTGCTTAGACCCCCACGGGACTGTCGCCAAGAGCTTGAGGGCTCTTAGGGTGGGGGTGGGAAAACGTCCATGGTGTGTCAGAGGGCGAGGGGCCCTTCGGGGACTGACACTGTGGGGGGCTGGGGCAGGTTAGCTCCCAGAAGGGGCTCCGGGACTCCTGAGGGGATCCCGCACAAGGAGAACGAGGAGAGGAGGTGTCTGGGTCACCACTTGCAGCACCCCCAGGCCTTGGCTGGCAAGGAGGAGGTGGCTGGGCGAGGGCTGCTTGTCCCCTGGCCACCCACACTCTTGAGGAATGTGCCCTGGGGGAATAACTGAGGCAGGGACAGAGGCCTGAGAGAGCTGTGGCCTGGGGGGCAGCCAGGGCGGAGCCCCCCCCCACCAAGGCACATCTGCATGTTGGCTCTGGGCTCGGGGGTGGGGGCAGAGCTGGGCGTGGGGCACACTGCCTGGCACTGGTGGCAGCAACAGGTAGGGGTGGGGGCAGAGCTGGGCGTGGGGCACACTGCCTGGCACTGGTGGCAGCAACAGGTAGGGGTGGGGGCAGAGCTGGGCGTGGGGCACACTGCCTGGCATTGGTGGCAGCAACAGGCAGGGGTGGGGGCAGTTTGGAGTCCCCAGGGTCCTGCTCAAGGGGCTGAGGGGTTCGCCTGCCTCTGGGGTGGGCAGCCTCAAGGGGTGCCCCTGTGCTGTGCAGACACCCCGAGGAGGAGGGGTCTGGGGGAGACAGCATTTCTGTCTGGAGAGGCCTCATCTGCACCCCACGCTGGTGGATGGCTGGTTGTTGTCTGCATGCCTGCTGTGAGTAGCCCCCAGGGCCTTCCATGGGCTGAGAGCCTCAGGAGGGGACGGGGGCCCGATAAGCAGAGATGGTGATCATCAGAATCACGAGCCCCGAGGGGGTCTTCCCACAGAATACTAACCCTCCCATCCAAGCCCTGGGAGACCACCACCCACTGACCTGGCCGTCAAGGTGTGGGAAGCAGCCACTGCAGTGAAGACATGGATCATGGCCAGCTTGCAGAGGTCAGCAGCGGAGCCTATGGGGCGCGTGGTACTGTCTTGAGGTCCCATGGCACACGGTTCATGGTGCACTCAGCATTCTGCACCATCGCCACAGCTCTCACGGTACCTCCACACAGAGGTGCTGGCTCTGAGCTGTCTGAGTGCCAGGGCCACAGATGACTGCAGGCAGACACTTCGTCCTTGCTCCTCCCGCCCTCTTGCTCCTGCAGGGCACCTGGGTTTTGGGTGCCTTACTCCTGGAGGCCTCACCCCTGCCAGGCATGCATGGGGAGGATGGAAGGGCCTAGGCCAAGTGCCAAGGAACTGAGCTCCAGGTCTCCTAAACCATAGAAGCCTCAGTTTCCCACCACAGAGATATGGGGAACAGTACTGCCTGGGCCCAGTTCTTGCGGGAATCATCCAATCATCCTAGCTACAAAGATGACCGTGTCCCCTCATGCCTCCTGACAGTAACTGCCAGGCAGGACATGGGTAGTGTAAGCTCCTGCAAGGAGGTTTGTGATGAGCAGGAAATACCGCAACAGTGATCGGTGGGTGCCACCCAGCCCTGCGGCTGCTAAAACCCAAGAAGCAAATGGACACAGAACTACAGGTAAGAGGCTTCTGGTACCTTGCACCACGAAGTTCACTGCCTGTCGCTCTGCTTGTGCCCGGAGTTGCTGGTCATGAGCGTGAATCCTTGGCAGGGGTCTCCTTCTGCCCATGATGGACACCACACAGCCTGAGTCACACAGAGCAAAAGTAGATGAGGGACAGAAACAGGCACCACAGCAGGTGCAGCTCCCTCGGGCCAGGTCCAGAGGCCACAGAGGGACAGCCGCACTGCAGTGCAGACTCCAAGCCTCCCCTGGGCCCTTCGGGTCTATCATGGGGGCAAGTGGGCCCTGCAGTGGGAAAGCGAGGGTCTGAGCTGGGCACTCTGCACTTTTTTTTTTTTTTTTTTTTTTTTTGAGACAGAGTGAGACTCTGTCACCCAGGCTGGAGTGCAGTGGCGAGATCTCAGCTCACTGCAGCCTCCTCCTTCTGGGTTTAAGCAATTCTCCTGCCTCAGCCTCCTGAGTAGCTGGGATTACAAGCACCTGCCACGATGCCCAGCTAATTTTTTGTATTTGTAGTAGAGATGGGGTTCCACCAAGTTGGCCAGGCTGGTCTTGAACTCCTGACCTCAGGTGATCCACCCGCCTTGGCCTCCAAAGCGCTGGTATTACAGTGGGGAGCCACTGCCCCTGGCCACACTCTGCACTCTCAGCTCTGTACTCTCCTGACTTCCAGCTGCACCTGGATCTCACACAGGACGAGGGAGGGCAGCTTTTGCAAAGCCATGTGGAGGCCTTGGGCCCAGGAGTAACTCTGGACTGTGTGGGATGGAGGAGAAAGTGGTCAGCCCACATCCTCAAGGAGGGGGATGTCTCAGTCAGGTCCAGACCCTGGACTGGGCAGATCCAATCTTGAGTGGCCTGAAGTGTATGCAATTTGGGGGCTCTTTTAAAGAAAATGAACACAAACACACTGTGTTAGCTGACTATATTCCTGACCAGTGAGGACTTCTGCTTTAACTAGGTGTGGGTGGGAAATAAATCCTCCACTTGTGACTGAGGATGAGAAGAATTTCCCACATCTATAATAATCATGAAAGTGACAAGGGATCGAGTACCTACTACATGCCAGGCAATATACAAGATTCTTAAGAAGGACTGGCAGTGAGGACACGAGAGATCTTCTGCTCTGACTTGGTCCCTTTCAGCTTCTGCTGCTTTGTCGGTCTAGTGACTTTTGGCCGGATGCTGGGCACTGTGAATTTTATGTTGTTGAATGCTGGGGTGTGCTGTCTTCCTTCTGAGGGTGTTTTGGCAGGCTTAAGTTACTTGCCAATCATCTTGACCCTTTTGAGGTTTGCTTCTAAGCTTTGTTAGAGTGGATTTGGAATAGCTGTAATCTAGGGCTAGTCTAGACCTGCCTCTAAAGTGTGACCCTTCTGAATGTCCCAGGTGTCTAACAAGGACTCTCCGCTCTGGATGGTCAGAACTCAAACATCTCCTAGTTCCATGGTAACTCTGGAATCATCCGGATTACTGCTCCCAGCAATTTTTGTGCCTAGTCCCGTAGCGTTTCACTCAATGTATGCGTATCTTAGTGTTCAAAAACAGACACAAGGGGGAACTCCTTGAAGATTTACAAGGCTCTCTCTCTCTAGCTCCCTCCTCTCTGACACTCTGGCTTACAAAATCCAGCTGCATCTGCCTCCCAAGTCTGGATCCACGTCTCCTCCACTCATCCAGACCACTCTGCAGTCTGCGTGGCTCCCCCTCCACACGTGGGCTGTGCCTCCAGACACAGGGCGTTCTTAGGACTCAACTCATTTGCCTCTTTTCTCTCAGAAACGAGCAATACGCTACCCACTGTCTAGTGTTGGAAACGGCTGCTCCAGATATTTTGCCCAGTTTTCTGGTTCTTCATGGTGGGTGCAAACTCTGAAGCCAGTGACTCCCTTGTGGCCTAAGGCAGAAGTCTCCTGACTCCATACATTTCAAACCTCATTTCTCCTCCACCCAGTGCTTCCAGTGCCAGTGCCTGCAGCTCCTGTTCATACTCGAGGTGCCTTCCGGCCCTGGCCCTTTGTGGTGATGCTCGCATGGCACCAATGCTCCTGGAAGCCACTCCTGTGCCAGGATGGCTAGCAGCACACCACACACAGAGAAAGCAGGGGACCACAGGAACACCAGCAGGAAAATCCGCATTAAATGAGTTGCCAGCTCAACCGGCTGTGGCCCCACTGATGCCACCTGGCATAGAAAGGTGTGTGATGGAGGAAGAGCGGTGGAGGCAGCAGTCCTAGCCGAATTAAGCTGAAACACTTTGTTTTTGACATGTTTACAAAATGTAGAAGGACGTGAGCACATTGCAGGGCCTCTCCCAGGACCTTGGGACGGCCAGCGTCAGAGTGAGTCTGCTCCAGCTGGGGCAGCCAAGTGCCCCGTGGAGAGCACTGACCCCTGAGGGCTGGTGGCCAGAGAGGCATCTGAGATCCCAGCTGGCTCCTGAGCTTTTGATGCTTCCTTGACATCTCTTACCTGCCATTCTCTCTCCACCCCTCCTCAGTTACTGTGTTAATGCCTGCATGCTTCTAGACTATTCTCAGGGGTGGCTTTGACTGCATCTCAAATCTCTTTCCCACATCTTGACTGGAATCATTTTGAAGGACAAAGCTCAGATTCTTTCTCCATGGAGTGTCACGTATGGTCTGGGTTTACCCAGCCCTACCTGTTCTCTGGCCCACCTGCCCATGCTGGCACTCCTCCTGGCCCTGTCTCTGCGCAGGTCGCCAGCTCCATGAGATGGAGGCTGGCACAGCTCCCTTGGGGCCTCTGCTGCGGCTCTGTTCTTCTCAGACCTGGACGCCACCTTCCTGTCCTTGTCTGGATGCTTGTGGGTTTACCATGTCCCCCAAGGACTGTAAGCTCCACGGGAGCAAGCGGCTTGTGTCTCAGGCGCTGTGGAGGCTCCCCTTCCGGGCTAGTGTGGGCTGTGGCACAGATGCTGCCCACCTGCCCGTCTGCTGTGAGACCAACAAGGAGCCTGTAGCAGGGCTGCCTGGAGCTCTCGGGGCTTGGGCATGGGCCCCAGAGTGAAAAGTCATCAACGAGTCACTGGGAGAGGCTCACGGAGAGGGTCCACGAGGCTGCCACACAGACACTGCCGGCACCCAGAGGAAACAGGCCGCAGCATCTAAGATGCTGGTCCTGCTGAGGCCAACTCTCCAGCTGATTTCCTCACTCCCAGTGAGTGCTGAGTGCTGTGAGTGCAATTCCTGTGCCTGTCATTCATCCTCCTCTTTGTTGTTGATTTCATTAATTTCTGCTCTCCCACTGATTTCTTCCTTTTTTCCCTGCTGCTCTTTTCCAGATTTCTTGTGTAGAACACAACTCATTTATGCCCACAACTTTCTCTTTCTTTAAAAAATACTCCTTTAAAATATTCCTTTACTTCTAAGTGAGGCGTCAGCTTAGCCACATCCCAGTTTCTGATGAGATACTTTTACTGTAATTTATTTCTAACATTTTTTGTCATTTTCTTAGGATTTCTTTTTTTAATCCTAAATTATTAGGAGTATCATCAACTTCCAAATAGGTAGGTGGAAGGATGGCTACACATACTCAGACATACATGTATGAAACCACCTTTTCATTGCACTGTGGTCACAGACTATGTCCTATTGGATATTCTTTGAAATTTGTTTGGGTTTCCTTCATGACCTGATTGTGGTGATATTTGTAAATATTCCAGTGCTTTTCATAAGAATCCATGTTTTCCCTTTCCAGGTGCAGGCTTGTATCTGTTTTTACCTATCTGCCCATCCACCATCTAGTCACTCAAGTTTGTTCACTGTGTTGCTTCAAGCCGCCCAGACTCTTGTCCCTTCTCGTGTGGAACCTTCAGCCTTATTTGTCCAATAAGAGCTGAGGATTCACCCAGGCCCCCAAACCAACCTCAGGACCCAGGGCCCGCCTGCACACCAACCACGCAGCTGTCCCCCCATCCTCCCACAGAGGGTTGGCAGGGAGCAGGGAGCTCTGGTTGTGGCCAACTCACCTGTCTGGTGACACTGGGCAATAGCTGCTCGGGCGAAGTCCTTGATTTTCTTGTACTTCTGCAAAAAACTCTCCAAAAACTGGGCAGCTTCCTGAATAGGAACTCCAAGGCAAGCAGCCAGCCGCTCCTTCCCTGTCAGTCAGAGAGACGCATGTCAAAGCCTCACTCACACCAGCCGTGACTGTGTGCATGGGCTCAGTGAGTCAGGTCCAGCTGGCAGCACTGGTCTTTTCTGATGGGTTGGGATGGAGTTGGCGTTGACTTTACAAGCCAGGTGCTAGGTGCCAATCAATCGGGACTGGGGCCTGTGAAACATGTATTTATTCAGTGATACTGACTCAGTGCCTGCCAGGTGTTTCAGGTGATGTGGTGATGAAGTAGACATGGTCCCTCCTCCCAGTGCGGCCAGTGGGAGATCCAATTCCAGAACTGCGGAGGTTAGAGTGGGGCACAGAGGAAAAGAGGAAGGGGAAGTTCCATGGTCAAAGTATGAGAAAATGGTGCTCAGGAGTTCAACATTTTGTTCTAGAAGATGCAGGTGTTCTTGCGACGCTGCTGGTAGAAATGTCTCTGGTTGGGGCCAGGCATGTGGTGGCTCATGTCTATAATCCCAGCACTTTAGGAGGCTGAGGCAGACGGATCACTTGAGGCCAGGAGTTCAAGATCAGCCTGGGCAACAAAGTAAGGCCTAGTTTCTATTTATTAACAAGAAAAGAAAAAAAGGACTTTGGCTGGGCAGTGGCTGAGTTCCGCAAGCATGTGAGCAGGTTCAGTGACCACAGAAGCCTGGGTCTGGGCCCTGTCCCACCAGGAGGTTCTGTGTGGCCCTGGGGATGTTGCCTGACCCACATTAAAGCCCATTTCTTCACTGTATATTAGGAACAAGAGCCCTTATCCTCAGCTGGGAGCCCCATGAGCTAAGGCATGGGAAGTTCTAAGCAGTGTGTGGTTTCTACTTGGTGCTCAATATACACTCATTCCCTCCCATTTTCCTCCAGAAGAGAATAATAATGTAAATAGAGAATGAGGAATCCATGAGAACATCATCCCTTGCTCGACAGTGGGATCCTAGGGAAAGCCTTGGCCCTGGGGAGTGCTGTATCCTTGGAAGGAACCCCAGAGAGACAAGCAGCCTGAGGACCTGCCTTCCTGGGGGAGCATGGCCGGGACCAGCAGTGGTCTTGGCTGTCCTCTGTGATAGGTAAACTCTAGGGTTGTACTAGAGGGTGCTCCAGGGACCTTTGGACAGGATGGTGCAGAAGCATGGCCCAGGGGGTGAAGGTGTGGGGTCTGTGAAGACCAGGGAAGAACCCTCTGGAGGAATGGGACCGACCAGTCTCTCTGATCCAGCCCTCCTTTCAGCCAGGCCACTCCTGGCCCTGGCCAGCTGATGGTGTAGCAGCTCTGGACAGAGAGAATATTCAAGTCTTAGGAGAGTGAAAAGGCAGGTGTTTGCTTCCATTGCTTTGTCAGCAAGAGTGGGAAGGTCTAGGGTGCCCTGTTCTCCCAAAGTTTATCCCGGCAGAAAGGGATAAAGTCATAGTCCTTCTATGCCCAGGACTGCCTGATGAACTGGCACCATTTGGCTGGAAATGAAAAATCTCCAATATCTCTCTTAGGGCTTAAGATCTATTATTGTGATATATTCACAAATAAGTTATGTGTTTTGCTACACTTTGCTGAAATAATTCATCTATGACTCTTTCTTTCTGTCAAATTCCAACCACCATCCTCACCTAGTGCCTCAGCTATGGCACTGCAATGGAAAATTCCATTGGCTCTCAGAAAGAAATCAGATGGTGGCCAGATACACAAGGCTGGCCAGATGGGACTTTCTTTGAGTATCTTCTTAGACAAGTCTTTTCTCACCTCCAATCTGCTGTTAAGCCCATCTGGTGAATTTTTTATTTTGGATATATAGTTTTCAGTTCTAGAAATTCCATTTTAGAATTTTATTTCTTGAAGTTTTCTTTTTTTCATTTATTAAGAGCATATTTTCTTTTACTTCCTTGAGCTTAGTAATTAATAGAAACTTTAAAATCCTTGTCTGTTAATTCCAACATCTGGGTCATCTCAGGATCTGTTTCCATGATTGCCTTCTCTCTTGAGTATGGTTAAGCTATTCTGTTTCTTCCTGTTTAGGAATTTGGGGTTATATATTGGATATCATGCATGATATACGTAGAGTTTTAGATCCTATTATATTCTTCTAAGGGGTGCTATTTTTTTTTTCCTTTTGAGACAGTGTCTTGCTGTGTTACCCAGGCTGGAGGGCAATGGTATGATCATAGCTCACTGCAGCTTTCAATTCCTGGGCTCAAGCAATCCTCCTGCCTCAGCCTTCTGAGTAGCTACAGATGTATGCCCACTGTGCCTGGTTAAGGAGTACTAATTTTTTGTTTACACTTTTTATATATTTATTTTGAAGTGTTTATTTAGGACAAATGGTTTTTAAAAATGTATAAAAATAATTCACATATAAATCCAACTTCTATATTTACATGGTCCCTTAAAAGATTTTCATTTTATTATCATTAAAAATGTATTTCAACAATCTCCACAGTACTCTCAAAGGTCAGGAATTTTAAGATTTTCTAATAGAAAAATTTTAGTATTTATCTACAGAAAAATAATGAAACTAGGAATTATATCGTATTTTAAAACATAATGTCTCAACTATGCTGTGCCACATAAGAATAATCTTCACACTAAACTATAATAATTCCAAGTGCTGGCATTTTCGTTTATGAACAAAGCACAAAAATATCTCATAGAAAAAAATATTTCATCATAAAAAACATAGAAAGTTGAATGCTTCAAACAAAAATATCTGAGGTCTGATTTCACAACATCCAGTTTCCATATCCACTTTGTAAACATATACTCAGTATAGGTTACCAACTTAAATAAAGCCTGTTATCACTGAAAGAAGACATAGTTTAAAAAAAATTCAGTGCAAAAATACGCATTAGCTAATCAACTGATCTACAACAATTTTCATGAAAATCACAATTTGAATCCCATAATATAAAGTGATCCTCTAAGACTTTAATTAAAAATAAAAAGCTGTACAACAGCCATCAAGTTTTCTTTTGTTACTATTCTCTAGTAAATGCTTTTTTTTTATTAGCTTTTACAATGTCATCAGGTGATGCTGATTTGAAGTCAAATGGTATTATCGCTACAAGAGGACTTATTTCTTTGTCCTTTACATCTTGAACTTGTCTACTATAAAGAAAAGTCTTACAGAGGTCAAGGGTGCGTCGCTTGCAGCTTTTTAGTGGGTAACGAAGACACAGTGTTGAGGCAAAAGCTGAAGGTCTAGCAGCAACGGCCTTGGTCCGAGACAGAGAAAAAGGTGGTTTCCTAGTCAGACAGCCTTTATTGTTTTTCTCATTATCCTTAGCAAAATTGGATTTCTTCCCTAGCTTTGAACTTAGAACTTTAGTTCGTGATGAAGGAGCAATGGATTGGTCTACTATAGGCTTTGGAAGAAAATCTGGGTTTTTTTTATAAGGACCCTAAGATCAATATTTGAATCTATTCCAGGAGACCTCACTTCAGATAAACTGACCTCAAAGGACTCTTTCTTAATCTGAGAGTTGTATACATCAATTGTTTCTGCAATCAATTCAGAAAGTGACAAATTCTCAAGGTCTCTTGTGGGAGAAGCTTTAGGAAATGCCAATGACAACATAGATCCTGTTAATTCTGATATTCCTGGTGAAGACTGACAGTGATTTGCTAATTGTGACAGGGGAAAGGATCCCAAACTTAGATCTGTGAAACTGACAGATGACTGGTTACAAAGGTCAGACAAAGTAAAGCACTGGCTTATATTGTTTTCTTTGTGTTCCCGAAACAGTTCAGTTAGGGATGGACTTTCACACTGGGAAAACTGCAAATTATCATTTTTAAAAATGTAATTCTTGGCACTTTGTTCAACTAAAGAAACACTTCCAACTTCAGTTTCTTTACTAGCATTTAAATTATCAACAGTCATATTTTCCAACAAGCTAGTTAAGCACAAAGGATTATCTGAACTTCCTAAACTGTCCTGTACTGGAATGTTTTAAAAATCAGATAGTGAATTACTTTGAATATATGAAGAATTATTCAGTGTTGTGCTCTTTATCATTATGGACTTTAAATCTGGTATTTCTTTGAATGCAGAATCATCTTTGGAAGCACATTCAGATGGATGAAGTCTCAACAAATCAGCATCTAGGTTCTTTGAAAGCAGACTTTCCAGACTGTCTGTAGATGACAATCTGACTGATGGCTGACTTTCACAGGAATCTCTTGACATATCAGGAATTAAGTTAGCTAGTGAAAGTTCTTTTGTTAACCTACATGATTCTGGTTTCTTTTCACTTTTAAGTCTGTCAAGTTTCTTTTTCCTATGGAGTAAACAGTGACTTGGAACTGAAGAATTATGAGATAATCCATATTTTCCTACTGAGCTAGAAAAATCAAAGGGTTTGCTACTATAATCCAAATGATTTGCTAACTGAGGATAAGAACTTTGAACATTATCAGCTGAAACTTCAGAAGAAGAAAATAAGACTCCTTACCTTTTGCTATCTTTCCTGTAGATACTCTTCCCTCATTCTTGTCCTTCAAATTCTACATGCTATCTTGTTCCAGAACCTCTGACAAAGGCTTCTGCACATCAAACTTGTTCTTCAGAACTGATTCAATCAATATTTCATCTGGCACAGCATCTCCAAGTACTTTCTCTCATGTGATCAAGGCATGAATAAAAACGAGCTTGATTAAATCCACTGAGCTGATGGTTCGAAACATAATTGAAAGATTCTTTCAGATCTTCATGATCGTATTCTTCTATAGGCTCAACGGAAGGTTTGTCACGCTGTGAATAAATAAACTGAGCAGCTGTTGATAGCAAAATACAAGAATCATCCTCTACAGACTGGCCATGGTGATCATCATCTTCAAGATCTTCATCGCAGTCACAGCCTCGAACATTCCGATGCTGGGCCATGACGGTGGAGAGGGCGTTTGCTACAGCCCCTTAACTCCTTCCAAAACACTCCGCTTAGATACTGATAAGGTGCCAGCTCAGGAGTACTATTTTTAAAGGGGCACTTAGTTTGGCTAAAATCAAACTCTGTCTCCCTGTAGTGGGAAAACACTGAAATCTCAGGTCAGTCCTTTTTGCCTTGGCTTCTGGGTTGTTTGAAGTCTGTCCCATTCATGCATAGTTAGGGGTCAGCCAAGGATCTGAGCAGAGTTCAAACCTAGAATTTGGCCTCATTTCCTGGCTCTCTTCTTTCTAGAATTTCTCATTTCACTTTCCAGATCCTCTGGTTGTCCAGAACTCTGTCCTCCAGTTCTTCAAGCTAGTAGGATTGTATGTTCTAGCAGAGTTTCTGTCCCCACAGCATCAACTGAGGTTTGCCTTCAGGTGAGGGTCTATAGAATGAGAAATTCACCAGTGCCATTCCTTTCTTCCAGGTGTCAGCTGACCTCCAATTTCTGTTGCTCTGGTCACTTCCCAGTGCCTCTGGGTAGTTGTCTTTTTATACATTTTCCACAGTTTATAGTTGATCCCTGTGTGAGGGCTGCTCCAATGGGAGCGACTTGGCCATAACCAGAAGTCATGCCTTGCTTTCTAAATACTTATGGCCAAGGGAGAATCCCTTTCCTTTCTTCTATGGAGCTGTCGGGATCTCTGAAGGGCAGCAGGTGGCCCCGGTCCCCAGGCATAAAGAAAGCCCATCCACAAGAGAGCGGACGGTGTGGTGGCTCCACAAGCAGCAGGGACGAGAGACTGAGATGGAGCCTGAGGGTCTGGGAGGCCTTCCAGGCCCTGGATCTTTGCTCCTCACTCCTTGGACACCCTTAGCAGTGGGACTGTCACACTCAAAGGCCACTGTCCCTTCCCCAAGCAGGATGGCTTTTGGCTCTGTGGGGACTTCTCTGTCCCATGCTTCCGCTGGACTGCTCCTTCTTTTCATAGAACTTGTCCCCACACTGTGATTCCGTTGATCCTGTTTCACACACAGGCCCTGAGAGATCTGCATGCTGGGGACACTAAGTACTCCATACCTCTGAAATCCTACACGAACACACAATTTGACTCTTCCCACAGACGGCTAACCCTATCCGGTGGGTACACGTGAATCTGTGTGTGTGTGTGTGTGTGTGTGTGTGTGTGTGTGTGTGCGCGCGCTACAATTTGACGTTTAGCAGGGACAGTCTTCACTCCCTTCACTCCCTTTTCTCCGAGTGCTCTTCTGCCCCACACATATTGCTAACAGGCTTTCACTCCTGTTTATGTCTCTAGGGCTGAGCAAGTGCCTGCACATAGTGGGCCTGTGGGAACATGGGCTGGTCTAGCTGGAACAGACCTGACATTGAATCCTACGCTGCTTTCAAAACTCAGCTCGGGTGTTGCTGCTCTGGGCCAGCTCCTGGACTCTCCCAACTCTCCCTGGGCTGGGTCCCTCCCCTGGCTCCCTTGGCACCAGGGACTCCTGCAGATGCACTGATGGCACAGTGCTGTGCGCCCAGGCCTCCTCCCGTGTCTCCTCTGACAGGTGCGAGCCCCTCGGGAACAGGCACTGAGCCAGGCGGTGTGCCCTCAGCACAGGCCTGTGGGTCACGTGATGACTGGATGTGGAGGCAAGCTTCAGAGTCAGGGAATCATCTGAGAAGACCCAAGGATTTGACTCTAGGAGCCATAAACACTCAGATCAAGACCCGAGGAGTCAAGAGCTGCTTCCAGGAGAAGGCAGGTTCCTGCTGGGCTCAGCAGCAGCTGTGCGCAGGGCCGTCAGGCTGGGGACGGACATTTGAATTCAGTTGACTGATGGAGGAGCAGTGAGCCTGTGAGCCAGCCTCTGGGGTCAAGGCTCCCAGACAGTGGCTGCTCTGTTACTCCATGTGTTCCCTACCAGCTCCCCCACGGTGGCTGCGGGGACTGAGCACACAGACCCTGCACCTTCTGGGGCATCTCCCCTGCCTCTCACAAAGTCCTGCTGCTTCCTCTGCTGTATTCATCACAGTCTTCACAATAGTCATGTCACCGATTTCTCAAGAATGTGTAGGAATCATGCCTTGCCCCATGCCCTCAGCATTTGTGGGCCGTTCAGAGGTATGTTATGTGAAAACACGTCACTACAATCCGCTGAAAGCTGGTAGGTGCAAAGCTCCTCTATGGAGTTTCCAAAGCGCCCCAGCAGCCTGGGAGGCCTGGCAAGTTGACTGGCTTCCTCAGTCCCAGCTCATGTGACAAAGTTTCAAACACAAGGAGAACAGAGACCAGCCTAAGCCCACAGCAGTGGATACACAGTAATTCCAGCTGTCAAGCCAGACCGGAACAATGGGAACAGCAGAGCCGGAGGCTCAGGGTGGGAACCCTTGTCACTGTCACAGCTAAAAGCAGCCAAATTACCCTTTTCAACATTATGGCTAATGACTCAGTGCTTATTTACAAAATGTAGCTCTTTTCCTCTCCAGAAAAAAAAAAAAAGTGAATACTCCAGAAGGAGCCAAACGGGTGGCAGAGAAGACCACCTTTTTCTGGGTAGGTGGGGGCATCCATCCTGCTGGAGGACAGCTGCCCCACGGCAGGTGCTCGGCACTCTCATTCTCCATCCCTCCCTCCTAGCTGGATTTGGGGTGGCTGCCCCCACTGGGGACAAGGCCGGGGCTGCCACAGGAGACCTACAGAAGCTGCTCAGTCACTTGGAGGCATTTACTGACATGGCACAGAAGTGAAGTAGGACTCAGACGTAACGGCAGATGACAGAGATGAGAGCTGACTGTGTGCCAGGTATGGCCCCATGCACCCTATGAGAGCATTTTCCCAGGAGGAGATGGCACAGGGAGGCGGAGGGCCTTGCACAAGGCCACACAGTCAGGAGCTGATAGGGTTGGGGATCAAGCCCAGGCTGCCGGGCCCAGGACTGGGGAGGTGATGTCCTGCCGGCAGAGCAGAAGCAAATGTTATGTTTGCAACACAAGATGCAGCAGGATGCAAGGCAACAAACTCTCATATAATTTGGCAGAGTGATGCCTTCCCCCAAGACAGAGGCCCCAGGGAGGTTCAGGGGTGCAGCACAGAAGAGGCTGAGAGGAGGCAGTGGACCAAGCAACTCTGAGGAGAATCAATCCAATGTCACACTACTGTCACTCACAGAACCTAGTTCTTTAAAACAAAGTTTCTTAGTCTATTTTCCAAAAACCATGTATACAATCAAAATGTTTTCAAAAGTGGAGCTGAGACCACCAAGTCCACTAATTTGTTCCTGTGTCTTCTCTGTGCCAGGCAGTGAGCTAACGTGATGAGCTCCTATCTTTGAGGTACTCATGTTTGAGCTGGGGCATGAGACCATGAACAGGCGAGTGGGTGCCCAAGGTGTGAGGCCCATGTGGCAAGGAGCTGAGACCACCTCCGGCTGACAGCCAGCAAGAAACAGAAGCCAGCCAGGTGCGGTGGCTCATGCCTGTAATCCCAGCACTTTGGGAGGCCAAGATGGGCAGATCACTTGAGGTCAGGAGTTCAAGACCAGCCTGGCCAACATGGTGAAACCCCATCTCTACTAAAAATACAAAAATTAGCCGAATGTGGTGGCAGGTGCCTGTCACCCCAGCTACTCAGGAGGCTGAGGCAGGAGGCTTGAGCCCAGGAGTTGGAGGTTGAGCCAATTTTGTGCTCAATGCAGTGAGCCGAGATTGTGCCACTGCATTCCAGCCTGGGGGATAGAGCAAGGTTCTGTCTCCAAAAAAAAAAAAGAAAGAAAGAAACAGAAGCCAACAAAGTGGATCCTTCCCCAGTCAAGCCACAGATGTGATCACAGCCCCAGCCAACACCCTGACTGCAGCCCCTGCAGGGGACCCAGCTATGGCATGCCCACACCCAGAGAAACTGTGAGATAGTGTGTATTATTTTAAGTTACTACATTTGTGGCAATTTGTTACCTAAGAAATGGGTAACAAATACTGTGGTTGAGGAAGGTTGCACAGGGGAGAGTTGAGCACAGGTCTGCAGAAGTGAGGGATGGGTTCTGGTGGTACAGGGGCAGGTGTTCCCATAGAGGGAAGAGTAGTGCAAAGCTCTGAGGTTGGAGCTGGCCTGGCTGATTGGCTGTGGTTCTAGACAAGCTATCCATCCACAGTTTTGGGGCGGGGCACTCTGGACGCTTGTTCAACGGCACCACATTCTCAATGGAGACTGTAGGGCAGCTCTTAGGGACAATCTACTATGTGCTTGCCCCGTTATTCTTCCACTGAAGCTTGTTTGGTTTTGCTGCCTTTCTGTGAATAAACAAAGGGTTTCCATGGCAGGATGGTGAATCTTCTTTTCAGGGTCTTTGCACAAGCCCTGCTACCCAAAGAAGAACTGATCACAGGGAAAAGGAGGTCTGAACAGGCTTAAGAAGGAGCTGGCTGGCTGGGGAAACTAGGCCATGCTGATTCAGCATGACCCAGGGCCAGAAAAGAATTAAAAAATCCCAGACAGCCCATGTCAGGGAGTCCAAGGGAGAGTAGAAGAAGGGTGAGTGGAAGAGAGTAGAAGGCCTGCTCTGACATGGGTATTGGGGCTAGGGGGTAGGGGGAAGGAGGGAGAGGAGCAGAAACAGGAAGGGAAGCAAAAAGGGGAGGGGAGGGAGAGGCTTGCAGAAGAGGCCCCAGGCAGCCCAAACCTCTGGCCTTCAGTCCTTCCTGGCCTAGCCCCGCTTTCTCCTATCTGCTACCCCTGAGATTGGACCCCTACTGCTCTGCTCCCAGCCCAAGGCCTGGCTCTGCCCTCTCTGGGGTGCTTTGGCTGCATGGCCCAGCTGGGTGAGCTCTGCCCTAGGGAGATGGGGTGCATGTTGAGATGTGGCAATGAGTCCAAGCGCTGCACACCTTGAGGCTATCTAACTTTATAATGCCTTGGCATGTGTGTGGACGAGGGTCTCCTCGAAGGTCTCCAAGCACAGCAGTGGTGCCTAGCACAGTGGTATGGTGTAGGGGTGGAGCCAACGGCTTGGTCACACTTGACCTGCCCAGCTCCGCGGCCTCCCCTGAGAGGCTGGATGTGACTCTGAGCAGGTCAAGGCATGGGGTGGTCTGGCCAGTGTCTGGTGACTGCAGGTGTCATCAGAGCATAAACAACACCCAGGGACTCACAGACGATTTCTGAGGCACAGCCACATTTAAACACAGGCACACAGCTGCCAGCTTACAGGTAACCCCGAGACCCCAGCTCCCGGCCCGCAGCCTACCTGCTCCATAGACCACCGCGTACACCACCTTCTTGGTTTGCTCTCTGTCTGCGTGTGTCACCTGTTCCACGGGCACATCCTTCCTGCATGGAGAGACCATGTGTGAAGTTCAGGCACAGAAGGCACTGTCAGTGCAGGGCAGACAGTCCAACCACACACCCCACCACTGTGCTTCCTCTGGAAATTCCTTATGCTTTCATGGTGGCCGGCACACTGGCAGGGGAGACATTCCATACCTGTGGTGTCAGCTCAGCAAGGGCCCCAGGCAGATGCCTTCGGCGAGGCTGCAGCAGCTGCTGCCAGCCAAGCACCACCCCACGTTCCCAGGTGTCCACAAATCAAAACCCAAAACTGCTTTCACCAAAGGCATGCCCATCCAACTTCAGGAAAGGCCGTTCCCCATATTGGGGTGCCTGGGCCTGGGCCACGTCTGTGTCTGCTGCAGTGGGGGAGCTGGTTTCTAGGCCTATCTAGTCCCACTGCTTGACTGGATGAACAACTCTGTCCTGGCCTCCCACAGACAGAGGCCATGGGGGTGAGCCCCACCCTGGAGCTACAGCATTCAGATAGAATAAGGATCAACTCAGCATCTGACTGGCATGTGAACCACAGCAATCTCCAGAGATTAAAGCTGAGACATCTGAGTAGCACAGGAGCTCCAGAGCACTCCCAGCACCACCAAGAGTCCCTCCTCCTCCGAGAGCACCTTCAAAGGACAGGCAGCCTGACATGTACCCTCGGTGCCACCTCCTGCCTGCTGCTTTTGTAAACATCCTTATCATCTACACCAGGCCTCCCTGATGGAGTGGGCATCTCAGATTCAGAAGCCGAGAGAAAGAGAGAGAGAGAGAGAGAGAGAGAGAGAGAGAGAGAGAGAGAGACACACAGAGAGAAACAGAAAAAGTAACAGAAACTTCTCCCAATCTGTTTTGTGGATGGCTTTGTGCTGGGGCCTCCTTCATTGCTTAGCCAGGCTTTTCACAGCTCTACCTTAGCCTTCACTTCCTACTTGCACTGAGCATAGAGACCAGCCCCAGGTGAAAGCTCAGGTCTTCTTAGATCTTTTCTGAGCATGCAAGCTCTCTGCGCATGTATGGTGCTTTCTACATTTCCCGATATCCACAGGTACTTTTGAATGCCCTAATTTCCAAAAGCATCTCTCTCCTCAGTTTTTCTTCCAGAGCTTTCAGTGCTTCATTGTTTGCCTCAACTATAATTTTTAGCTCCAGGAAGCTGCAAGTTATTTGCCTTACAATGTTTCCAAGCAACGTCTGCCACTCTTCTGCAGCAAGTGGGTTCTGAGTTAGGTGAAACAATGACAAGTGCCTGTGGCAGCCCTTCAGGCAGCCACCAGACTGGTGAGAATAAATACCCACTTCTTTTCGAGTAAGGTGTGCTCTGCCTCCAGAAGCAGGGACCAGGTCCCATGCTAGGAACATGCTGCTGCCTTCAAGATTGGGGGGTGGGAGGAGGGCAGACAGAGTCATCACCAGGCTCTCCTACCATTTTTTTTTTTTTGAGACAGAGTCTTACTCTGTCACCCAGGCTGGAGGGCAGTGGTGCGATCTCGACTCACTGCAACCTCTGCCTTTTGGGGTCAAGTGATTCTCCTGTCTCAGCCTCCTGTGTAGCTGGGATTACAGGCACCTGCCACCATGCCCAGCTAATTTTTGTATTTTTAGTAGAGACAGGTTTTATCATGTTGGCCAGGCTGGTCTCAAACTCCTGACCTCGTGATCAGCCCGCCTTGGCCTCCCAAAGTGCTGGGATTACAGGCGTGAGCCACCGCACCAGGCTCTCCTACCATTTTTAAGTTTTTTCTTATTTTTCTTTTTTTAGAGGTAGGGTCTTGCTTGTTCCCCAGACTGGTCTTGAACTCCTGGTCTCAAGGGATCCTTCTGCTTCAGCCTCTGAAAGTTGAAAAGCTGGGATTACAAGTGTGAGTCACCATACCCCACCTGCCTTTTTCTTGATTCAGCATTTGCTTGGTTGCTGTAAACCTTTGCCTATTTTTCAAAGTTTTGATGAAGTTGGTTGAGACAGTTTTGTTAGATTTTTCAATGTTTCTTTGGGGGACAGGCCCATGGGGCTGTGTACCCCACCATTCTTGCTGACATCCCAGACTTCACTGATTTTTTGCCACCTAATTTCTAAGTACCAATGCATTTCCAGTTTTCCCCCTTTTCCTGCTGTGTTAAGCTATTTTGCCACCTTGTTTAGCCACCCTTAAACTTGGCATTGTTAACAGCTATATTTAGATAAGAAGCAAAAAGCCAAAATGGGCTGGGTGCAGTGGCTCATGCCTGTAATCTCAGAACTTTGGGGGGCCTAGGTGGAGGGATCATTTGAGGCCAGGAGTTCGAAACCAGCCTGGGCAACATAGCAAGACCCTGTCTCTACAAAAATGAAAAATAAAAAATTAGCTGGGCATGATGATATGCCCCTGTGGTCCCAGCTACTTGGGAGGCTGAGGTGGGAGGACTGCTTGAGCCTGGGAGGTTGAGGCTGCAGTGAGCCATGAGTGTGCCACTGCACTCCAGCCTGGGCGACAGAGTAAGACCCTGTCTAAGTGAATAAACAACTACATGACATTTTTGTAGACTATTTTATAAAATATTTTTAAACTTAACCAAATGAAAATGTATCATAGAGGTCTTGGTAAGTTTAGATTGATGCCAGGTACATAAGCAAGAGAAGGAGCTAGAATGATCCATGGGTAATGGGTTAGCACTGGAGACATCAGTATGAACTCATGATAAGCTCCATGTTGATGCACATGGTTACATAGAGAAATATCTAAAGATGTGTGTATACACACAGGTTGGCATGCATGCACAACTTCTTGTTCTGTCAGCTGAGAGGGCCTAGAAGCAACCTGCTCAGTAGCAAAGAGCACCTAGCACCAGAACTTGGCCTTTAATAGCCATTCTCCAGTAAAAAATGGGGCTCCTTGGAGAAATGGCTGATTCCAGGACTGGGGCAGGAAACATACAAGATGAACCTGGAATATCTTTTAGTGCCAGAAAGCAAGGAAGTGATAAATGTGTGTGCACATGCACGTGCGTGCGCACACACACACACACACACACACACACTGAAGAGGTTAAGTCAAGGGACACAGGAGCCAACTGAAAGAGGTCCCAATGGCCAAAGCTGGAACAATTTAAGCGAGAAAACAAAAAATAAATTGTATTATAGCTATCCCAAAGTAAAAAATAAATATTCATGAATCCATACGAATTTGGATTCAAAGGATTAAATAAATAAATGGGGGAGAACACAGATCTCCCACACAGAAGAAATCCAAATAATGTATATAGATACCCTGTTCTTAAGAAGACAAAGGGTAACCCCCAACTCCTTAATTAGAGGCTATGCTTAGTGACTTGCTCTCAAAGGGTACCATGTGGAATCGGAGTAGAAGAGAGTATCTTTATAGTAGAGAAACCTGACAAATACGCTGTCACCCAGGTGACCCAGGTCAGCATCAGCAGGGGTAAGTCCTGTTGACAGTGCAAGTCCCTGATTCAGTGTGAAGGGAACGGCCCTGCACCTCTGTGCTCTTCCTCCCTCAAACCCCAAATCCCAGTCTAGTCATGAGAAAAACATCGGACAAACACCAATTGAGGGACATTCTACAAAATACCTGACCAGTCCTCCTCAAAACTGTCAGGGTCATTGAAAACAGGGCAAGTCCAAGAAAGTGTCGCCATCAAAAGGAGCCTACAGAGACTGTGACTAAAAGCAGTGTGGTGTCATGGAGGGGGTCCTGGAGCAGAAAGGGGACAGCAGGGAAAGACTGAGGAAATCCAAGTCATGTGTGGACTTTAGTTTATAATAACATACCAGTATTGGGTTCATTCATTGTGACAAATGTACCATATTAATGGAAAACATTCATAACAGGGAAGCAGGGGTGGGATATATGAGAACTCTTTGTACTATCCTTGCCATTTTTATGTCAATTTAAAACTGTTCTAAAATAAAAAGTTTATTTAAAAAAGTGATCCAGTTCAAGACCAGCCTGGGCAACATGATGAAACCTTGTCTCTACTAAAAATACAAAAAAATTAGCCAGGTGTGGTAATGTACACCTGCAGTCCCAGCTATGTGGTGGGCTGAGGCAGGAGGATCACTGGAGCCCGGGAGGCTGAGGCTGCAGTGAGCTGAGATTGTGCCACTGCACTCCAGCCTGGGTGACAGAGTGAGACCCTGTCTCAAAAAAGAAAAAAAAAGAAAAAGAAAAAAGAGAGAGAGAGATCCAAAAATTATGCTAGGGTTCAAATCGTTTATATGGTATGACTTGATTTTAAGTCATAAAATTGCAGATAAATAGTGGGGGAAAGCCCACAAGTAAGTCTAGTGGGCTTATGGAAATCTGGTTTTTGTTATTTTGATAACTGGTATTTAAATTTTTTGTAACCAATGAAAATTATAAAGAAAAAATTAGCCATAAAAAATTCCACGGTAAATACAGGAGAGTCAATAGCTTTCCTACTAGTAATAAACAGAAACTACAATAAAAGAAAAGGACCACACTCACAATAGCAATAGAAACCTCAACATACCTGACAATAAGTTTAAGAAGAAATGCACCAGACTTTCATTAAGGAAGGGGGCATTAAAAGACACAGTGGAAGATGTGCTGTGCTCCTGGACAGGAGAATACAACAGTGAAAAGACATCAACTTTGCCATATCCAGTTTTACCTTAGCACACTTTCAATTAAGGTATCGGGAGGACTGGGGGGTGAATACTTAAGAAAGCAATTCTAAATTTCATCTGAAAAACAAACCAAATGAGAACAGTCAGGCCAAAGTTAAAAAGGGCGAGTAATGAGGAAGAACAGGGAAAGGTACACAAAACTCAATACTGATGCAGGAGTAAAAATAGATAAATCAGGGGAAGCAAAGAAAAAGCCCCAAACAGGCTGTAGTATATTTTAAAACATGATTTGGCATTTTAAATCTATACTGGGTTGGAATTGACTAATTATTTGGGAAACTATGAAGTTAAATGCCTACTTCCTATCATACACAAAAATAAATTAGAAGCTCATTAATGTAAAAACAATCATGAAAGGATGATGTTGAAATACATATACAGAGTAGAACAGAGAGCCCAGTGGCAGTGCTGGGGCTCATGGGCCTTGGTGTGTTGCAGAGGTGAAACACTGGACGTGGCCCCATGCATTGACCTGGGACAACTGGCTCACCATGGTGGAAAAAATCAAATTAGATCTTTGTTGCCACACAAATCACAAAAATGGGGTCCAGATTGAGTACATGCCTAAACATGAAAAAAAAAAATCAAAACTGAAATAAGGCTAAAGAAAACAAAGAATACATGAGTCTCATAAATAGGAGTGTGTTGAAAAGAAACACAAACAATACAAACCATACTAAGAAATGTCTTTTTTTTCAAGGCAGCTGATTAGATGCATTTCAAGCATGCCTCATCCACTTAAAAGAACCAAAATGCTATGTAGACAATCACACTTTGAATACATTATCCAAGACAGAACACAGCAGTTCAACAGAAAAGCAAAAGAAAACTCCACAATCTAGGAAGAAGGAAAACAGGCAGCCTGCATGGCCCGGACGGGCTGGGAACCAGAGTGACTCCCCAGTACCGGAGGGGGTGATAATCTTTCTGTGGTCCACTTTCCCACTGGGGGATTGTACAATCCAGGCCATAGGAGAGCACCTTAACCCTCCCCAGTCCTGCTCCAGGGAGGGAACATGCCCTGGGTCCCACGTCCTTCCTAAGACCTAAGCAGCTAGAGTAAGATGTCATTCTTGGTCCTAGCTTTTAACAGACTGTGTGGTGCCATGAAACAATGGCGTTAGGCCTAGGCATTAGGAAAACTTGGGCTGCTGCTTGTGGAACAAGGGTGTGAGCAGAGTGTGAGCTCCCACAACTAGAACTGGGAAGCAAGCATGGCATGGGCTGCAGCCACCATCGTTGAAAGTAGGCACTTCCCCTGGGAACTGAGCAGGACGAGAGTAGCTGTGGAGGCTTGGTCTTGAGCTGGGTAGGGGCTCTTATGCCCCAGGGCTGAATTGTGGGTTAGATGTGAGCTGCCAGGTCTGACTGAACAGTGAGTCAGCTGTGACAGCTGGGATGGGGGAGGATGCCTGGATTGGACTGGGGTGTGAGAGGGACACAAGTTCCCCACTCTCCAGCCAAGGCTGTGATCACTGGAACAGGCCCTAACTCCCACAGCAGGACCTCAGCATAGTGGCTGTTGCCCTTCACTCAAACATTTCACCAGGGGCCTGGGGATTGCCATGCCCTCCCTAGCCCTTCACCAAGGCAGGTGCATGCACTTTCCACTGGGGGGCACTTAACACTGGGGGTCCAGCACAAGTTCACCTGGTCTGGCTGTGCCTGCCTTCATCCCCAACAGAGTGCAGGATCCACGGTCCTGGGGGTTCCACAACCCAATTTACCACCTGGGACACTCAAGCACTTTTCCAGGGGGGCAGAGGTCAGGCATAAACACCCTACCATTACCACCTCAGCTGGCTCCTACCTGCAAGTGCTGCCTGCTGGCCTGGGGGCTGGCCTGCAAAGCCCATTGCAACCACTGCCAACACAAATGCACAGCACTTGGGACCCAACAGAGCATCTCACAACCACTGCTACTACCATCACTCAAACCATCCTGGCTGCCCAGGAGCTCGAGAGCCCACTCACCCAACCAGGACATCACTAGTACAAATGGCATCTGAGAAAGCCAACCAGAGGCCCAAGAACTGGTCTGCCTGGAACCGCCAATACAGGTGCCAGCATATGTTGTCCCAGGGCACAAGGACAGACATGCTTAGCCCACTAAGAGAGAGTGGCTGAAACCTGAAGAGAGGCCCATCTGGCATTTTAGTCCCCACACAACTTTACCACAGCCTCCACCAATACCTACACCCTAACATCCCAAAGAAACCACAGATACCACTAATGCTATTCACAGCCAAAGAAATCATACAGAGTCTTCACTACTACACGCACTCAGAAACAAAGCCAAAGGGTCCTACCCAACCAACAGAGAGTCACATCTTCAGGAACCCCCACACTCAAATGAAAGTAAATTAAAAAATAAGAAGCAGCAACTGTTACACCAGATGTGCAGAAATCAATGTAAGGACACAGGAAACATGAAAAAGCAAGGTAGTATGACACCCTCAAAGGAACACAATAATTCTCCAGCAATAGATCTTAACCAAAAAAGAAATCCTCAAAATCCCAGATAAATAATTCAAAATGCTGATTTTTAAAGAAGCTCAATGAGATGCAAGAGAAATCTGGAAAATCAATACAAAGAACTCAGAAAATTAATTCAGGATGAATTAAAATTAATTCACAAATGAGAAACTTACCAAAGAAATAGATATCTCTAGAAACAAAACCAAAAAAACCAACTAAACCGACTTTCTGGAACTAAAAAATTCATTGAAAGGAATGTAAGATACATTTGAAAGCTTCAACAACAGACTGGGCCAAGCAGAAGAAAAAATTTCAGAACTTGAAGGCAGGTCTTTTGGAATCCACTAAGAAAAATTAAAGAAAAAAGAATAAAAAGAATGAACAAAGCCTTTGAGATGTTTGGGACTACATAAAACAGCCAACTTTATAAATTATTGGTATTCCTGAGGTTGAAGAGAGATCTAAAGGCTCAGAAAACCTATTTAATAAAATAGTATATGAAAAATTCCTGTCTAGCAAGAGATTTTGACATCCAAATACAGGAGGCTCAGCAATCCCCGGGAAAATACAATGTGAAAAGGACTTTGCCACAGCACATTATAATCAGACCGTCTAAAGTGAAAGTTAAAAAGCAAATTCTAAAGTCCGCAAGAGAGAAGCATCTAGTCATCTATAAAGGAAACCCCATTGGACTAACAGTAGACTTTTCAGCAGAAACCTTACAAGCCAGAAGAGAATGGGATGACATATTCAAAGTGCTGAAAGAAAAAGCAAACAAACAAAAACGCTGCCAGTCAATAATTCTATATCCAGTAATATAACCTTCATAAATGAAGGAGAAATAAAGTCTTTCCCAGACAAGTAAATGATGACTGTATTTGTCACCACTAGACCGGCCCTTCAAGAAATGCTCAAGGGAGTCCTAAACTTGGAAGCAAAAGGATGACATTCACCATCATGGAAACATACAAAAGTATAAAACTCACTGGTAAAGCAATCACACAAAGGAGGAAGTGAAAGTAATCAAATAGCACCACTACAGAATTTCACCAAACCACAATGACAAACAGAGAAAATGAAAGAAACAAATAATTTATAAAACAACTAGAAAACAATTAGCAATATGACAGGAACAAAACCTCACATATCAACATTAACCTTAAAGGTAAATGGATTAAATGTCTATGGCAGAATAACAATCCACTGTATGGATAGACCATATCTTGCTTACTTGTTCTGCTGACAGACAGTTAGGTGTTTCCACCTTTTTGCTATTATGACTAATACCACTATGAATATCATGTACGAGTTTTTGTGTGGACATATGTTTCCATTTCTCTTGGGTATGTACTAGGAGTGGAATTGCTGGGTCATATGGTAACTCTGTATTTAACTTTTTGAAGAACTACCAGACTGTTTTTCACAGTGGCTGCACCATTTACCAATGGCAATGGATGAGGGTTGGTTACTTTTATTTTGTAGAAAAGCAGGAAGGAAGATCAGTCTTTGAGCTTTTTACCCAAACCTCCCCCAGTAAACACAACCCTGAAGCCCTTAACAAATAAATAAAACTCTCTGGAGGGATATTTGACTGAGCAACATGGGCCTATGCTGTCTCTGCACCCAGCAGAGAGCCTCACTTGCAAGTGGCATCTCCCTCTTATAGTAAAAGCTGTCCCAGTCAGACCACGTGAAACATGACAGCTGTATCTATGGCTGAAAGAGGAAGAGCCCCATGAATAGACTGTGGCCTCAGGTCATGGATCAGAGCTGTCCACTTCTCAGTGTGAGTTTCTGCAAAGGTGTGCTGTTGCTGTCACTCACCCTCCAAGTGCTGCACACCTATCAGGGTGGCAGGGAATCAGACTGGCTCCCTTCAGAAGCGTGCACAGGTGGGGGCACACACATGCACACAGTCACATGCAGCCCAAGAGCAATCACGACAGCAGCTACCCTTTGTTGAGATCTGCCCCCCACCATCCCAACTGAGCCCCAGTCTCAACAACCTATTTGGCCTCTCCACATGGGTGCAGCAGAGATGTCCCAGGCTCAACAAATTTGCGACTGAACTCTTGTTCTGACCTCCCCTCACGTCTCGTGAAAGCACACCACCCACCCTGCTGCTGGCCCCCAATTGCCCCACTGGGACTCCCACGTCTAGTCCATCTCCAAACCTCATCACTTCCACCTCCTAATATCGCTGGAGTCTGGACCTTTTTATCATCTCTACCGATTTTTCCCTGGCCATCATCTGGATGGCAGCAATAGTCTCCTCTGCCTTTTTTTCCCCTACAACCCATTCTCTGCTCAGCACCATGCAATTTGAAAACTTCCTTGCTGAAAACCATCCAACAGGCATCCAGTTAAAGGTGGCACATCTGTTTCTCTCTGCTCCCTACCAAGAACCCACTAAAATAAAGCAAAGGAATTAAGAGGAATAAATCTATAAGAAAAAAGAGATCAGGAGAGGGATTATCATCAGGCAAGAGAGCTCCATATATTTATGAAAGTTCAGGAAGAGCTGGTGGTGAGAGGAGCTATGACGCAGAAGACCCAAGAATGTGAGCTCAGAAATAGGGAATAACTGGTATAACACAAGGCAGAGAGGGGGAGCTGAAAGTAGGGAGGGGACATGAATCCAACACATGTACACAGAATGGTCAAGCATCCTCTCTGACTCACCACCCATGACTCCCTACCCCAAACATTCCACACAAGTCTGTCCAGGAGCCCACTCTCCCAGACAAATAGTGATGATGATGATGATGATGATGATGATGATGATGATGATGATGGTGATGATAAAATGGACCATGGGATTCTCTCTACAGAAACTGATGGTCTTGGCAAGCTCTCCAACACCCTCCATATTGCTGAACTTGACAGTCACTCCCTAGTCTGTGGCCTTCTTAAGATGCCCTGGAAGAAGAAAACCTGTTCTGTGCTGCTCACTTCACTCTTATTGAGCAAACTCAGGAAGAGTTTACTCCGGTACTCTTTTTTTTTCTAGCAAAAATGATCTCTATGGGCCTACTACATTTATAATGCTAGCTAATGAAATTCCAGAGTCTGTCTTTAAAATGCAAGTCTTCATAATGAAAAAAAAATGAATCTAAGAAAGAAATGAAGATGTTCTCTCTGTCCTGCAGCTGTGGAGAAAGAAACATCATTCACAGATCCAATCTGAAAAGTGTTAAATGGGGAATTTTCACGTGAATAGCCATCCTGGTTTCCTGGGAACTGCAAAAACTGGCATGAATATCTTAACTACGACACTCTTCTCTCTTCTGTTACCATAAAATTGCCTTTGGAGGTCTTGCAAGACTCCTAGACTTTAGAATGTATTGCCATGTCCTGTGACAATCATCTCGAAGAAGTCTTATAATTTTGATAGACTGTCTTACTTGATATTTTTTTTGCCCAGGGAATAATGCTAAAATTGGCATGTGTGAATGCCTAACCCATATAAATACTTATAAAACTTAGCTGTTGAATAAGAAGAGTGTCACTGGCCGTCCCCTCTTTCAGCACACACAGGATCAGTAAACAGAAAGCCCAGGGCTCTTACAGATGATTATTTAACAGATCCTTTGAGAGAGTTTTTCAGTTAAATTGCATTTATCTTTTATCATATACTAAATGCTTATACATATCCCAGTAGGTCTTTTTATGGACTTCATTTTTTTTCCATTGATCTATTCTGGTTTTTATTCATACCACTGTGTTTTAGCAACTGTGACTTTAACATTAATATATTTTAGTATCTGGCAGGACTTGGTCTTTTTTAGTGCTCCTCTTAAAAAGTTTTTAGGATTATTATGCATTATTTTTGCATCATAAACTGCAGATTAGTTTGTCTAGTTACTAAAAAAACCTTACTGGTATTTTTTGGCATATTTGTTAGGACATTTCTGTATTTACATATTAATGTAAGGAGAAGTAACATCTTCATAAAATTGAAGTTTCCAACCTGTCTTTTCTGTGCTATTCTATTTTTCACATTTCTCAGATCTTGCACATTGTCCATTATATTATTATATATATTTTCTTTTTCATTGCACCTTTTCTTCCAATACATTTTCTAACTGGTTGTTTATATTTAGGGAGGTAATTTCTGTATATTAATTTGTGCCTAGTCTTCTTCCAGGTCCTAGTTTTAATAGTTTTTAATAGTTTCCTTTTAGTTGATTCACTTGGTTTCGTAGGCAGGTAATCATACCATCTTCACCAAATGATGGGTTCACTTCCTTCTTTCCAGTTTTTAAGCTTGTCTCATTATTTCATCAACTAGAGTAACCATACATACTAGCAGCAATAGTATCTTTTCTCATCTGAGTCTCACAGGGGTGCTTTGGTGTTTCATGTGTGATCTTGCTGTTGTTTGTTAGCTTGCGGCGGGTAAATATTGTCAGCCATTGAAGGCTTGGAGGGGTTGCATGAGCTGACTGAATCTTAGAGAGATAACGGGGGTAGCATTAGGGCATGGATTGGGGTTGGGGAGTGGGGGACCAGCCAGGAAGTTATTACACCAGTAGATGTGGGAGATAACGAAGGCCTGATCTGAGGTTGTGGAAACGCGAAGAGAGAAAAGGCCTAAGGCCAGGGGGACCACTGGCCTGGCTGGGATGTGAGGTAGGAGAGAGGAAGAGGGGAGGCAGGACTGCTGCCTGCAGGTACTGGCCATGGCACTGAGCTCCCTCCAGACCCACTGAGTTTGAAATGCTTGTGGGACAGCCAGGGAAAACTGCCGCTGGGGCCTGGAATGCTTGCCTGAGGTCAGGACAGAGAGGAGCTACAATGACCATAACAGCCACATATTGCCAATGATGGACACATCAACCACTTCTGAGGTCTTGCCATAAGCCAGGCACTGGGCCATTGCTTCTCCTCTGAGTGTCACCTGATCCCATGACACCTTTGCGATGCTCTTCATCCGAGCGCTTTGCACCTTTGCTCCTTTTGCCTGGTGAGCACCCCTTCCCTTCCTCTGTTGGATTTCTCCTGACTCCTAAACACTCAGTCTCTCTTGACTTCTTCAAAGAAGCCTTCCTGACTCCAAGCAATCCCAGCTGAGGGTCCCTTCTCTTTCCGGCCAGGGCTCAACTGTGATGATTCTAAACACAGGAGGCTAAGAGAAGGTGCGAGGCATTGACTTGCCAAGACCCAAGGGCTCAGATCAAAGCTCCAGAATCAGACTGTATGGGTAAGGAAGGCAGCCGCTTGCTCTTGCTGGACAACTGTGCCCCCTCAGGCACATTTCTTAAAGGCCCCAGGCCTCAGTTTCCTAATCCATAAGATAGGGACAATAGCAGCATCCTAAGTGTTGGCTGGTACTCAATCAGATGTGCTTAGACAAACCTAGACATATAGTAAGAACTTGATAAATATTAGCTATTTTTATTGTTAAAGGGATAGAATGCAGAATAAAAAGAGGGAGAGAATGCTCCTGGGTACAGAAAGGAGGATATCCACAAGGTGATCAGAACAAAAGTGTAAATTCGGTGAATTTTTCTTCTAACTCTCGATTACAGGTCCAAATTAAACACGCATTGCATCACATGTATTGACGCCCATTAAAATTGAAGAATACTTTTAGGGTAATTTTGTCACAGTTATTTTCTCCTGGCTTTCTCCCTGTAAAGCATGCTGTGTGATTCTTTGCGTGTTGCTCAAGCTCTGGAACTTGGCTGCAGCTAACCAGAGACACCCCAGACAGTGCCAGAAGTTTGTGGCTGACAATCACCCCTTCCCCCATGGGTGCCCCCTCAGTATGGCACACTAATCCTCAAAACCTTGATGGGAAATGACAAAATCGCTATGGTCCTCAGGCATGCAAAGACACTTTCCTCGTGGGCAATGAGGAAACAGTTAACCACGCTTTTCCACCGAGAGTGGTGGTTCTGCTCATTCACAGGAGTGGGCGTCTGCTCTGCCCGCTAAGCAGAGCTGCTGCTTTGGAGGGTTTGTAGCGCTAGGAGGCTTTGAGGGCTTGAGAAACACTAAATCATTAAAAAATCATCAATGATTATAGAAATTTTGGAAGGAATTAGATGTGCCAGGGATCTGGTAAATTTTTTAGTAGAAGAATCTGAAAGATTAAGCAATATCATTTAGGAGGAAATGATTGAATATGAAAAACAAAAAACAAAAGGAACCTCTGAAGCAGGGTTAATCATGGGAGGAGTCCTTTGCTATAATTAATTGTTATGGCATAACTTTCTTAAGGAAGCACCACACAGGGTCTAGGAAAAAATAATGTATGGTAATCAATGTTTAACAATGCAGACAGCCTGAAATCAGCAACATAAATTGTATCCTAAAAGAGCAATAATCAAAATAATACAATATGGCATCTTAATTGCACACTTATTAAACTTTATTTAAATAGAAATTCCCCTTCTGAGAAAAGCAATGAGACTTTTTCAGGGAATGAATGATTGAATGAAATGTAAATTCGATTTCACTCTTTAGTTCTGTCAATTTTTGCTTTAGGTATTTTAAAGTTGTTTTAATAGGTGTATTAAAATTTAGGATTACTATATCTTCTTGATGAATTGGCCCTTTTATCATTATGAAATGTCCCTTTTTATCCAGCAACATTTTTTCTTTTGCAGTTTACACTGATACTAATCTAGTAATTGGCTTTCTTATGCCTAGTGTTTGCATGGCATGTTTTTCCTTATCCTTTTATTTTCAACCTGTCTACACATGTATATTGATCAGTGTCTTATAAACAGCATTATAATTGGGTCTTGCCTCCATCTTGTTATTTAACTTTTATTTATCCCATCTGTATTTTGTTCTGTTTCTCCTTTCTTGGTTATTTTGGGCAAATCACATATTTTTATTAAATATCCCATTTTTTCTCCTTCATTGATATTTTAGCTTGACTTCTTTTGGTATTGTTTTAGAGGTTGCCTTAGAAATTATAATATGCATCTTACTCCTCAGCAAATGTAAAAGAACAGAAATTATAACAAACTGTCTCTCAGACCACAGAGCAATCAAACTAGAACTCAGGATTAAGAAACTCACTCAAAACCGCTCAACTACATGGAAACTGAACAACCTGCTCCTGAATGACTCCTGGGTACATAACGAAATGAAGGCAGAAATAAAGATGTTCTTTGAAACCAATGAGAACAAAGACACAACATACCAGAATCTCTGGGACACATTCAAAGCAGTGTGTAGAGGGAAATTTATAGCACTAAATGCCCACAAGAGAAAGCAGGAAAGATCTAAAACTGACACCCTAACATCACAATTAAAAGAACTAGAGAAGCAAGAGCAAACACATTCAAAAGCTAGCAGAAGGCAAGAAATAACTAAGATCAGAGCAGAACTGAAGGAAATAGAGACACAAAAAACCCTTCAAAAAATGAATGAATCCAGGACCTGGTTTTTCGAAAAGATCAACAAAATTGATAGACTGCTAGCAAGACTAATAAAGAAGAAAAGAGAGAAGAATCAAATAGACGCAATAAAAAATGACAAAGGGGATATCACCACCGATCCCACAGAAATACAAACTACCATCAGAGAATACTATAAACACCTCTACGCAAATAAACCAGAAAATCTAAAAGAAATGGATAAATTCCTCGACACATACACTCTCCCAAGACTAAACCAGGAAGAAGTTGAATCTCTGAATAGACCAATAACAGGCTCTGAAAATGAGGCAATAATTAATAGCTTACCAACCAAAAAAAGTCCAGGACCAGATGGATCCACAGCAGAATTCTATCAGAGGTACAAGAAGGAGCTGGTACCATTCCTTCTGAAACTATTCCAATCAACAGAAAAAGAGGGAATCCTCCCTAACTCATTTTATGAGGCCAGCATCATCTTGATACCAAAGCCTGGCAGAGACACAACAAAAAAAGAGAATTGTAGACCAATATCCTTGATGAACATTGATGCAAAAATCCTCAATAAAATACTGGCAAACCGAATCCAGCAACACATCAAAAAGCTTATCCACCATGATCAAGTGGGCTTCCTCCCTGGGATGCAAGGCTGGTTCAACATATGAAAATCAATAAACATAATCCAGCATATAAACAGAACCAAAGACAAAAACCACATGATTTTCTCAATAGATGTAGAAAAGGCCTTTGACAAAATTCAACAACCTTCATGCTAAAAACTCTCAATAAATTAGGTATTGATGGGACGTATCTCAAAATAATAAGAGCTATCTATGACAAACCCACAGCCAATATCATACTGAATGGACAAAAACTGGAAGCATTCCCTTTGAAAACTGGCACAAGACAGGGATGCCCTCTCTCACCACTCCTATTCAACATAGTGTTGGAAGTTCTGGCCAGGGCAATCAGGCAGGAGAAGGAAATAAAGGGCATTCAATTAGGAAAAGAGGAAGTCAAATTGCCCCTGTTTGCAGATGACATGATTGTATATCTAGAAAACCCCATCGTCTCAGCCCAAAATCTCCTTCAGCTGATAAGCAACTTCAGCAAAGTCTCAGGATACAAAATCAATGTGCAAAAATTACAAGCATTCTTATACACCAATAACAGACAAACAGAGAGCCAAATCATGAGTGAACTCCCATTCACAATTGCTTCAAAGAGAACAAAATACCTAGGAATCCAACTTACAAGGGATGTGAAGGACCTCTTCAAGGAGAACTACAAACCACTGCTCAATGAAATAAAAGAGGATACAAACAAATGGAAGAACATTCCATGCTCATAAGTAGGAAGAATCAATATCGTGAAAATGGCCATACTGCCCAAGGTAATTTATAGATTCAATGCCATCCCCATCAAGCTACCAATGACTTTCTTCACAGAATTGGAAAAAACTAAAGTCCATATGGAACCAAAATAGAGCCCGCATTGCCAAGTCAATCCTAAGCCAAAAGAACAAAGCTGGAGGCATCACGCTACCTGACTTCAAACTATATTACAAGGCTACAGTAACCAAAACAGCATGGTACTGGTACCAAAACAGAGATATAGACCAATGGAACAGAACAGAGCCCTCAGAAATAATGCTGCATATCTACAACTATCTGATCTTTGACAAACCTGACAAAAACAAGCAATGGGGAAAGGATTCCCTATTTAATAAATGGTGCTGGGAAAACTGGCTAGCCATATGTAGAAAGCTGAAACTAGATCCCTTCCTTACACCTTATACAAAAATTAATTCAAGATGGATTAAAGACTTACATGTTAGACCTAAAACCATAAAAACCCTAGAAGAAAACCTAGGCAATACCATTCAGGACATAGGCATGGGCAAGGACTTCATGTCTAAAACACCAAAGCAATGGCAACAGAAGCCAAAATTGACAAATGGGATCTAATTAAACTAAAGAGCTTCTGCACAGCAAAAGAAACCACCATCAGAGTGAACAGGCAACCTACAGAATGGGAGAAAATTTTTGCAACCTACTCATCTGACAAAGGGCTAATATCCAGAATCTACAATGAACTCAAACAAATTTACAAGGAAAAAACAAACAACCCCATCAAAAAGTGGGTGAAGGATATGAACAGACACTTCTCAAAAGAAGACATTTATGCAGCAAAAAAACACATGAAAAAATGCTCATCATCACTGGCCATCAGAGAAATGCAAATCAAAACCACAATGAGATACCATCTCACACCAGTTAGAATGGCAATCATTAAAAAGTCAGGAAACAACAGGTGCTGGAGAGGATGTGGAGCAATAGGAACACTTTTACACTGTTGGTAGGACTGTAAACTAGTTCAACCATTGTGGAAGTCAGTGTGGCGATTCCTCAGGGATCTAGAACTAGAAATACCATTTGACCCAGCCATCCCATTACTGGGTATATACCCAAAGGATTAGAAATCATGCTGCTATAAAGACACATGCACACGTATGTTTATTGTGGCACTATTCCCAATAGCAAAGACTTGGAACCAACCCAAATGCCCAACAATGATAGACTGGATTAAGAAAATGTAGCACATATACACCATGGAATACTATGCAGCCGTAAAAAATGATGAGTT
Organism: Homo sapiens; assembly: GCF_000001405.40. Classification (NCBI taxonomy): domain Eukaryota; kingdom Metazoa; phylum Chordata; class Mammalia; order Primates; family Hominidae; genus Homo; species Homo sapiens. The sequence goes on from NC_000004.12 coordinate 2,113,073, forward strand.
CATGTCCTTTGTAGGGACATGGATGAAGCTGGAAACCATCATTCTCAGCAAACTATCGCAAGGACAAAAAACCAAACACTGCATGTTCTCACTCATAGGTGGGAATTGAACAAAGAGAACACATGGACACAGGAAGGGGAACATCACACACCGGGGACTGTTGCAGGGTGGGGGGAGGGGGGAGGGATAGCATTAGGAGATATACCTAATGCTAAATGACGAGTTAATGGGTGCAGCACACCAACATGGCACATATATACATATGTAACAAACCTGCACATTGTGCACATGTACCCTAAAACTTAAAGTATAATAATAATAATAATAAAAGATATTATAATATGCATCTTTAAGTCATCACAATCTATCTTTACATGCCATTATAATATTTCAGGGACAGCGTAAGTACTTTATAATAGTATAATTCCCCTTTCTCCTCTGTACTTTTGATGTCTTACATTTTACTTCTATCTATGCTATAAACCTTTTTCAAAAAAAAAAATGGCTGGGCATGGTGGCTCATGCCTGTAATCCCAGCACTTTGGGAGGCCAAGGCAGGTAGATCACCTGAGGTCAGGAGTTTGAGGCCAGCCTGGCCAACATGGAGAAACCCCATCTCTACTAAAAATCCAAATATTAGCCAGGCGTGGTGGTACATGCCTGTAATCCCAGCTACTTGAGAGGCTGAGGCAGGAGAATTGCTTGAACCCAGGAGGCGGAGGTTGCAGTGAGCTGAGATTGTGCCTTTGCGTGCTGGCCTGGGTGACAGAGCAAGACTCCATTTCAAAATAATAATAATAATAATAATAATAATAATAATAATAATAATAATGTCTTTTTTTTTTGACACAGATTCTCACTCTGTCACCCAGTCTGAAGTGCAATGGTGCGATCACAGCTCACTGCAGCCTCAACCTCCTGGGCTCAGGTGATCCTCCCATGTCAGCCTCCCAAGTAGCCTGCACTATAGGCACACACGTCATGCTCAGCTAATTTTTGTATTTTTTGTAGAGATGGTGTTTCTTCATGTTTCCAAGGCAAGTCTTGAACTCCTGGACTCAAGTGACCCTCCCACCTTAGCCTCTGAAAGTGCTGGGATTACAGGCATGAGCCACCGTGCCCAGCCTGCTAATAGTCTTTTGAATAATTCAGAACTATATATAAACTACATACAGAACTATATAAAAATATATAAAATAAACTATGTAAAATAAAGATAAAATTTAAAAAATATTTACCCTGATATTTACCCATTCTGGTGCTCTTTCTTCCTGAAGATCCAGGGTTTTATGTGGTATAATTTCTCTTCAGCCTGAAGAACCTCTTTTACCATTTCTAGTAGTGCAGGTCTACTAAGACACATTCCTTTGGATTTTATATATCTGAAAATGTATCTTTTGCATTAATTTTTGAAAGACAATTTTCTGGATACAGAGTTCTATATTCTACATTCTCTAAGTGTTTCAGCACTTGAAGGAAGTTATTCCATCATCTTCTGGCCTCCACTGTGCCTGGTAAAAAGTCAGCTTTAATTTGTATTGTTGTTCCTTTGTATACACATGATGTGTCTTTTGTCCTCAGATGGCTTTCAAGATTTTATCTTTGGTTTTCATTAGCTTGATTTTACATTGTCTAATGTGTTGTGTTCTTTGCATTTAACCCATTTGGGATTTGGTGAGATTTTTGGATACGTAGATTGACATCTTTAATCAATTTTGGAAAATTCTCAGCCATCATACCTTCCAATATTTCTTTTACCTTATTCTCTCTCTTCTGCTTGTGAGATGCCAAATATACATAAGTTAGTCCATCTGATATTGTTGCACAGATCTTGGATTCTTTGGGGGGAGGGCTTCCACTTTTTTTTTCCTTTGTATCTCATTTTGGACACTTTCTATTGGCCTGTCTTCAGGTTCATGGATTCTTTCCTATGGTGAAATCTTATCTCCTGTGAAGCTGATCTAATGGGTTCTTTAGTTTTTGTTTGTTTTTTGAGATGGAGTCTCGCTCTGTAGCTCAGGCTGGACTGCAATGGTGTGATCTTGGCTCACTGCAACCCCTCCACCTCCCTGGTTCCAGCAATCTCCTGCCTCAGCCTCCCCAGTAGCTGGGATTACAGGTGTCCACCACCACAGCTATATATATATATATATATATTTTTTTTTTTGTAGTTTTAGTAGAGATGGGGTTTCACCATGTTGGCCAGGCTGGTTTCGAACTCCTAACCTCAAGTGATCTGCCTGCCTCAGCCTCCCAAAGTGTTAGGATTACAGGCATGAGCCACTGTGCCCGGCCTCTTTTTTGATGTAGTATTTTTCATCTCTTCCAATCTATTTGATTCCCCTATGTAGTTTTCACTTCTCTATTGAAATTTATCAACTCTTAATACATATCATCTATTCATCTGAGACATATTAGCATTTTAATCATAATTTTTAAAAGTCTCTTCTGAAAGTCCCAATACCTGGGCCAGATATCTCCTTTGTTGATTTCCATTGGCTACTTACTCTCTTGGTCACAGTCACATGTTCTTGCTTCTTCTTAGGTCTCATAACTTAGAAAAATTATTATATGCTAGATATTTTGCATAAAAGAATGGTAGAGACTGAAGTCAATATTTATTTCCTAAAAAGGACACACCACTTCTTATGTCAAGCCACTAGATTTGGAAGCAAAGTCAATCTGACCCGTAACTGGGCTGGGTCTGGACTTCATTGCAACTCTAGTTTTGATTCAGTTCACTACTGGTTTGAAATGTTTTGTGAATGGGATCAGAATTTTCCCTTCTGTGGGGTCCGGAGTCTAAGAACTGCACAATTTCAGGATTTCTTGGAGTTTTATAGCTTAGCTGTCAGCTTTTCAGACGATAGGAGACCCATGTGTTTCAGACCAGCTGCCAGCTTTTCGGGTTCACTTTGCCCTCTAGTCCCATCCCATTCCAGCTTTCTGCACCTTGATTTTTTTCCCTTCCAAAAGGCCTGGAGGAGTTTCTCCTGGTTTTTCTGCCTTATTCCAGCTCTTTGCAGCTGAAGGTCTGAAATACCTTAGTTGATTTCTTCTCTCAGCTCTCCTACCCTGCCCCCAGCTTTGATGTCTGTCCCTAGACACTCTGGAAAGACTTGTGGGCAAGTTGATAAATGGATGTGCTCTGGAGCTGGGGCTCTTTAGAATTCTAATCTGTCACACCAACCCACATGTTAATTAAAAGTTCAGCTGGTTTCTTCTTCCCTCATCTATGGAAGATTCCTCCTCATCCTCTCCTTCCCTAGGCATGAGAAAATCCATGGTTTTTTCTTTTCTATGAAAAGCTCATCGCTTTCTGGAGTTCTGTTCACTTAGCTATATCACCAGCTCTCTGAGAAGTTCAGAAAACTGATTTTGTAGTTCATTTTGGTTTGATTGTTAGAGTTACAACGAATGTCTCATGGTTTTTTCCAGCTTAACTAGAAATTAATCCTTCTTCTCATGAATTACCAATTAAAAAAAAAAAACCCAAATCCATGTTTCAGAACATCTAATCTAGTATAGGATAGGGTGTGCATACAGAGAAAGATGTAGGGGAACTCTTGTTGCCTTGCAAGGGCAAGTGGCCTGCAAACTTGGCTCCTCTACCATGTGGCAGTGTGACCCAGGACCCCAAACTATAAGGTCACGAAGGGACTTTTCTGCACCCATTCATGGCATTCCAACAGAGCTCCCTTCCAAAGTTGTTCTTGGCCTTCCAGGCAGAAGACTTCTCAAATGGCCTCTGAAAGTCAGTCTAGAGTACCTAGAGGGCACATATTCTCTGCAACACAAATCTGCTGACTCAGACGCCTAGCAAAACTCTTTAATGAAGCAGACAGAAAGTGGGATTTGATTTCATTTTTAATGAAGACATACCCAAATACTGACAAAACAAATAGTTGCACCTGTGCTATACGGTAAGGACAGCCTAAGTTATGCTCAAAGGCTTACACAAAACCAGGGTTTATTTCTTATTCATGCAACATGTCCATTACAGGTCCACTGCAGCTCTGTTCCATGTCATTGCTTTCTGTGATTCGGGATTGTGGCCCAGACTACATCTGGGTCACTGGTGGTTGTCATGGCAGAAGAAGAAGATAAAATGGGAACCATGTGTTGGCTCTTAAGTTTTCTATCCAGCAGTGATACACGTCATTTCCATTCACATCACTGGCTGAAGCAAGCCACGTGGCTAACCCTGAGTCAGTGGGATGAGGAAGTATACTCTTCATTTAGGGAGGGGTAATAAATATTTTTTAATAATAATACAGTCTGTTTGTGACCTTTTTGATTACAAATATTTGCTTTTCTCCCCCTTGTACACACAGAATATATTTATCCCCTCACCATGGGTGACAATCCAAAATTTCATCTTATCAGGGCAGCAGGCTGGAAGTCCAGGATTTTGTGATCATCCTTATATCAGGACATGATGTGGCCCCTTTGATCTGGAGACTAATGAACTAAGAAGGCAAGTCTGTCACCCCATAAATGTGCTATGCAATGGTGGGACAGGGACAGGACAGCCACAATAAACACTCCATTTGGAAAGGGGAAGAATGTGAGACACACAGCAGTCACCGGCCCATGGCAGCTCTGAATCCTGACTGGGTAGGTGTTGAGGGAGGTCTTCTCTAGGCTTGGGCAAAGGTCCTGGATTAGGCCCTTAATCTGCTCCCTTGGGAGTATCTTCCTAGTCCATTGTTCTCCATGGCCTTTTGCTCCACTTTCTGGGACTTCCTTTTCCATTACCTTTCTTGGTTACATGTAAGAGAGCAGTGAAGAATTTGCTTTCCTTGGGGAATGAGCGTATTTCCCAGGCTGTTTCCTGCCTATAGAAGACCTGGAGCCCAAGGGTTGCTTTAAGTTTCAGGTAATCAGTCCCTTTGAGCCCAGATGGGTGGTTCTTTGGGCAGTACAACTCTTACAAATGTGAACAGCTTCTTACCTATTTGACTTTAGTCAGCTCTATCTATGCACCAACAGACACACCCACAGTTAATTTGGAGAGATGTATCCTTTGTCTAGACTTCACTGCAGGTACCTTGAGTTTATCAGGAGCATAGGGGAGAGCCACAAACTTTTACCCTTTTTTACTCTCTTTTTGCCAGAGCTATGTTGCCCAACTGTAAGGATTTTGGGGTGTCAGCCTAATTCTTTCTGGTGTGTTGGCAGTAGGTATTGAGGCCACATCTTTGATTTCTGTGTTTTAATTGGCCTTTGTTGCTCACAGGCCTTTTCAGATTTTTCTTTTACTGGCTGGACATGAGAATCATCGATATATTTAAATGTGCAAGACTCCAACTTTCAGGAATCTCATTCTTCACTTTCATTCCTACTTGTACATAGGCCAATTCTTTTCTGAGTTTGTCTCTTACTTATAATACCTTGTCACATGTAGACATAGCTCAAAGCACGTTCTAGCATTCTGTTGGCCCATCTCTGCCTAAAGCCGCAAGCTCATTAGGGATATTATTTGCCTTACAAGTTATCACAGGTGACAGTTTTACCAAATGTTATACCATTTACCAAGTGCCATCCTTCATCCTCCAGTAAGCATCTCCTCACTGCCTGCCCTGGCCCTGAAGCCAGTGCCACACATTTCAGGATTTTTTAATAGCATCTTACAGTGCAGTTCCTGCAGATGCCACGATAGGCCAGGTTATGCTACCATGAGAAGTCACTCCCAACCCTCACTGCCTTACAGCAAGAATGGTTTATTTCTCATCCTCACTACCTTCCATCACAGGTTGGTCCACCATTTACAATGCAAGATGATGGAGCAACCTCTATCAAAAATTTTACCAGCAGTTGTAATAGAGGGAAAGAGATGAAGAGGAACCACGTGCAGACTCTTAAAGTCTTGCTTAGGAGTGACATGTCACTTTTACTCATGTTCCATTGGCAAGTCACATGGCCAAGTCTGACCCCTACCAGGTACGGAAGCACCATCTTCCCTGGACAGGGAGCCACAGACAGCAATACTGTCTTCCACACTTGCCTGTACTTTTTCTGTATATTCCTTGGAATTTTCTATATTGACAATCATGTCATTGGCAAGTAGAGACAGTCTCAGAGAAGCACTCCAAAACCATCTTAAGCAGAAGAAAAAATGAACATATTCTGCAGTTAAAAGTTCTTCTAAGTTTCAGTCTGAAAATGCTGAGTTGAATGCACAGCTGATAAGAATTGTTTTGTATTTGCATTTTATAAAACTTTTAGGAATTCACCTAATGAGCCAAAGACGTGATGGTTCCTTGAAGAAGGCGCCTTAATGGCATGTCTTGGACCCCGAAGTGCATAATGGCTGTGTCTTTTGCTTGTGTGTGTGTGCATGTGTGTGCACACGTGTGTGTGTGAAGCTGCTGGAGCTGCAGTAATCAGCTCTGAGGTCCTGTCTGATGTGCATTCCCTGGGCAAATCCCAGCTCTGTGGGTCTCAGCACCAGTCTCTCAAATTGTGGCTTTATAGTTGATTTCTTTGATTTCTTCCTAACTCCATTTATATAAGCTTAAAGGTTTTTCAAGGAAATTGTTATTCTTTGAAAACGTTACTAAGTATTTCAGAATATAACATCAAATTGCCTTTTTGCTTTTTGTGTTTCAAACAATAAGGCATTTACATGAAATAAACATTTTTAAGAGTGTATTTGATCTTGCTGCTTTTTTACCACATGCTATTCTAGTCCTCTGCTTGGAACATAAAAATTATTTCCACAGCAACTAATTATAGTATAAGTCACGAATGTTGGATTACTATTGCTGATGGGGAATTAGAAGTAACCACCATGCAAATACTAAAAGCTTCTTATTTTTGAAGTTCTCCCAAGAACTAATACAAGCTAATAAAATGCAGGGAAGACATATGCTATATTCAATGTAGATATGAACTTTTCAAGTTGGCTTTATGAGTGCTCAGCTTGACACAAATCTGAAGAGAATTATTTCCTAATACATTACAACTTTGTCAAAAATCGGTTAAGCATATTTGTGTGGGTCTATTTCTGGTTTCTCTTTTCTGTTCCATTGATCAGAAGGTGCCTATCCTTCTGTCAGCACCACACTCTCTTGATTACTATATATATAAAGTTTTAATATCAGGTGGGGTGATTCCTCCCATTTTATTTTCTTCAAAACTGTTTTAGTTATTCTAAGCCCTGTGCCTTTTCATATACATTTTAGACTAAGCTTGTCCATGTCTACAAAAACCTTGTTTGGGTTTTAATAGGAATTGCACTATAAACCTATGGACCAATTTTGGGAGAATTGACATTATTTGTATGTTGAGTCTTCCATACCCCGAACATGGTATTTCTCTTGAATTCTTTGATTCCTTTCATCAGCATTTTATACTTTTAGGCATATAGATCTTATACATGTTTTGTTAACTGAAATTTAAGTACTTTATTATCTATAGAGTGATTTTTTTTTTTTGAGACAGAGTCTCGCTCTGTCACCCAGGCTGGAGTGTAGTGGCGCGATCTCAGATCACTGCAACCTCCATCTCCCGGGTTCAAGTGATTCTCCTGTCTCAGTCTCTCGAATAATTGGGATTACAGGCGCTCATCACTACAACCGGCTAATTTTTTGTATTTTTAGTAGAGATGGGGTTTCATCATGTTGGCCATGCTGGTCTCGAACTCCTGACCTCAGGTGATCCACCCACCTTGGCTTCCCAAAGTGCTGGGATTACAGGTGTGAGCCACTGTGCCTGGCCATCTTTGGAGTGATTATTAATGACATTGTGTTTTTAATTTTGATTTCTGCATGTCCATTGTCAATTTATATAAATGTGACCAATTTTTGTGAGCTGATTTTAGGTCTTGCAACCTTGGTGAACTTACTTATTAGTTCTAAGAGTTAAAAAACAATTCTTTTTGTCTGTTCCTTGGGATTTTGCACATAGACAATCATGTCATCTGCTAAGAGGGACAGTTTTATTTCTTCCTTTCCAATCTATATGTCATTTCCTTTTTTTATCTTGTGCAGTGGCTAGAACTTCAATATGCAATATTAATAAGTTGTTCCTGATCTTAGGGGGAAGGCATTCTTTCACCATTAAAATATGCTATTGGGGCTGGGTGTGGTAGCTCATGCCTGTAATCCTAGCACTCTGGGAGGCGGAGGCAGGTGGATTGCTTGAGGTCAGGAGCTCGAGGCCAGGCTGGCCAACATGCTGAAACCCCATCTCTACTAAAAATACAAAAATTAGCTGGGCATGGTGGCAGATGTCTGTAATCCCAGCTACTCCGGAGGCTGAGGCAGGAGAATCTCTTGAACCTGGGAAGCGGAGGTTGCAGTGAGCCAAGATTGCGCCACTACACTCCAGCCTGGGTGACAGAGCGAGACTCTGTCTCAAAAAAAAAAAAAAAAAAATATATATATATATCCAGGGAAGCCATCTGAGCCTGAGGGTTTCTTTTTCAGGAAATTTTAAGGGACAAACTCAATTTCTTAAATAGTTATAGGAATATTTAGGTTATCTATTTCATCTTAGTTAGATTTTGGTAGTTTGTGGTTTTCAAGAAATTGGTGCATTTCTTCTAAATTGTTGAATTGTTATAGTATTCCCTTTTTAACCTTTTGATGTCTGCAGAATCTATGGATATATCTCCTATTTCATTCCTGATATTGATGATTTACATCATCTATTTTCATTTTTTGTCATCCTTGTTAGAGTTTATCAATTTTGCTGATTTTTCAAAGAGCTAACTTTTTTTTTTACCAATTTCCTCTATTGTTTTCCTATTGTCAATTTCATTGATTTCTGCTGTTTATTACTTCATTCCTTCTGCTTGCTTTGGGTTTCTTTTGCTCTTCTTTTTCAAGTTTCTTGAGATAGAAACTTTTGACTTGAGATCTTTCCTGATTTCTAATGTAAGCATTTCGTGCTATACTTTTCCCACTTTACCCATATCCTTTTCCCAGTACTTTGACAAAAATGCTTTGCTGTAATACTTGGTTAGCAACAGCCAGAGCAGCTTTGGGCCCACTGAAGAAAGTAACATGCTCGTGATCTAATCACCAACACTTGCCTTGAATCGCAGAGATCCTCTCACACGTTCTAAGGTAGGAAATCCAGGACACCTATTCCATCCAAGCACTAAGGTGGCAACAAAGCTCAAACCAAGAGGCAAAATAGTCTTCCTGCCTGAACTAAAACCATCTTCTAAGACTTCCCATACCTCTGGAGAGAGAGCAGGGGTGTTATTAAATTTATTACATACTTTAAAAATTCTATATTGTCTTATATCTTAACTGGAAGGAAAGCGAAAGTGAGAAAAAAGGACACCTTCTGGGAGGAGGGACACAGAGAAAGGGAGGCAAGTAAAACACCCCAGGGTGCACCTGTGTTCAGAGGTAGAGGAGGGGCAGGGACAGAGAGTAAATGATGAGCCCACAAAACCGTGCTCAACATCCATCCCCATCAAGGAAATGCAAGTCAAAGCTCAATGAGATACCACTTCACACTCACCAGGATGGCTAGAATCAAAAAGACAGGTAATACAAAGTATTGGTGAGAATGCAGAGAAACTTGAACCCCACACACCTGTGGGAATGTAAAATGGTGCAGCATTTTTGGAAAATTGTTTAGCAGGTCATGGAAAAGTTAAATATGGGTACCACTGAACTGCACATTTTAAATGATTAAGATGGTAAATTTTATGGGATGGGTATTTTACCACAATGAAAAAAAGTTAAACATAGAATTATTTTATGACCCAGCATGTCTACTCCTAGGTATACACTCAGGAGAAATTTAAATGTATGTCTGCACAAAAACTTGCACACAGACCAGGGGCGGTAGCTCACACCTGTAATCCCAGCACTTTGGGAGGCCAAGGAGGGAGGATTGCTTGAGCCCAGGAGTTTGAGGCCAGCCTAGGCAACATAGGAAGACAGAGCCTCTACCAAAAAGAAAAAAAAAAATCTAGCCAGGCATGCTGGCATGTGCCTGTGGTCTCAGGTACTCAGGAGGCTGAGGCAGGAGGATTGCTTGAGTCCAGCAAGCGGTTGAGGCTGCAGTGAGCTGTGAGTGGGAGTGAGCCACTGCATTCCCACTAAGGGTAACAGATCAAGATCTTATCTCAGAAACCAAACCAAACCAAACCAAACCAAACCAAACCTCAGCTGGGCGTGGTGGTTCACACCTGTAATCTCAGCACTTTGGGAGGCTGAGGCAGGTAGGTTGCTTTGTAATCAGGAATTTGAGACCAGCCTGGCCAACATGGCGAAACCTCATCTCTACTAAGAATACAAAAATTAGGCTGGGTGCAGTGGCTCACACCTGTAATCCCAGCACTTTGGGAGGCCGAGGCAGGTGGATCATTTGAGGTCAGGAGTTCAAGACCAGCCTGGCCAACATAGTGGAACCCTCTCACTACTAAAATTACAAAAATTAGCTGGGTGGTAGTGGCGCATACCTGTAATCCCAGCTACTCGGGAGGCTGAGGCAGGAATCGCTTGATCCTGGGAGACGGAGGTTGAAGTGAGCCAAGATTGCACCACTGCTCTCCAGTCTGGGCGACAGGGTGAGACCCTGTCTCAAAAAAAAAAAAAAAAAAAAAGAAAAAAAAATTCAGCCAGGCATGGTGGCATGTACCTGTGGTCCCAGCTACTTGGGAGGTAAGGCTGGAGAATCACTCAAACCTGGGAGGCAGAGGTTGCAGTGAGCCAAGATCGTGCCTCTGCTCTCCAGCCTAGGGGACAGAGTGTAACCTTGTCTCAAAAAAAAACCAAAACCGAAGCCAAAACCAAAACCAAACCTGTATACAAATGTGCATAATGCATTGTTCATAATTGACAAAAAGTGGAAACAACCCAAATGTCCATCAAAGGACATTTGATGAATAGATAAATACACGGATTATTTGCTTATTTATATTGAAATATATAGAATATATTATTCCATATAATAGAGTATTTTTCAGCCTTAAAAAGGAATGAAGTACTGTTAGCTCCTACAGCATGGATAAACCTTGAAAATACTATGTTCAGCAAAAGAAGCCAGATACAAAAGGTTCCATGTTGTACAATTTCATTAATGTGAAGTGTCCAGAATAGGTAAATCTAGAGACAGAAAGTAGATGAGTGGTTTCCAGGGCCGGGAGGCGGGGTGAATTGGGAGTGGTGGTTAATGGGCATGAGTTTTCTTTTTGGGGTGATCGAAATGTTCTGGAATTAGATAGTCGTGATTGTAACTTTATTTTTTGAGAGACAGGTTCTTGCTCTGTCGAGGCGGAGTGCAGTGGTGTAATCATAGCTCACTGCAGCCTCAACCTGGGCTCAAGCAATCCTCTCTCCTTAGCCTCCCAAGCAGCCAGGACTACAGGATAGGCGTGTGCCACCTCATCCGGCTAATTTAAAAAAAAATTTTTTTTGTAGAGATGGGAGTCTTGCCATGTTGCCCAGGCTGGTCTCAAACTCCTGGCCTCAAGTGATCCTCTCCTCTTTGCCTCCCCAAATACTGGGATTATGGGCATGCGCCACTGTGCCAGGCCAATTGTAACATTAAAAAGGTGAATTTTATGGTCTGTGAATTATATCTTGATTTTAAAAGATGGTGAGAGCTTAGGAGAAGGATGTTTTCCCAGGAGCGGGGGCACAGAGACCAGGAGAAAGCACCGGGACAGGCAGGGCCCAGGGATGCTGCACACCCACAAAGACCCTGTGGAGGCTTTGACTTGTCCCTTGCTGGGGGTGGGGTCCTCGTTGCTGTTGCTGGCCCTGGACCTCGGAGCCAGGCACATCCTGGAGGCGATCATTGTCTTAGATGTGAGGAGCTCCAGGCTTCAAATACAAATAAACGCCTATGTAGGTAAAATGAAAGTTTGTTTTAAGAAGCAAGAAAGAGCTGGCAGTGAGAAAGTAAAGGGAGTAAGTATAGATTTCTTTTGTACCTAAGCAATAAATGAGGTCTTCAACCAGGTTGAAGATAGGATTTCTTTCTAGGGTTATATTTAGGGCAATCCTAAAGCAGGTTTTTTGTCCCCCAGTAGAGGGGAACGAGGAAATCAACAAAGGATATGTTAACAATGCTAGAGTAAAAATGGAAAATAAAAGGAACATGGATGAAGGCTGCCATGTAAGGCTGGGCTGGTTGTGCACTGCACAGCTGTAGGAGGAGCCAGGCACACAGGTCTAGACATGTGGCGACTCCTGGAGATGTGCACTGCAGTTCTTATCCTGGCAACAGAGAAGCTCCCTCCTTTGAGACAGGAGCCATTGGAGAGGGGGAGGAGGGTATACGGAGACAGTGAGGTGGGGTGGAAGGGAGTTCAGGAGCCCCTGTCTTAGGCCTTCTACTTTGTCACTTAAGTAAGAGCGGGGGTTCTTTTTGGAGATTAAGAGAGAATAGTAGTTATTTGTGGAAGATCAAAAAAGTCTGGAGCAACAAGAGAAGACAGGAAGTCAAGAATATTAAGGGCTTCTCTCAGTCCACATGGCCTGAATTTCTAGTGGACTCAGCTGCCACCACCTTGCAACTTCCGCCAGCACCTGGGGTGGGGTAAGAGGTGAGCAAGTAAATAATGGGGATCACTCAGGGCTGGAAACCAGAGAGCAGGGAGAAGTCAGAGGAACACAGCTTCCTAAGGGGGCAGCTGATGGGCTGAGCGGAGATAACAATGGGTCTATGTGTGTCCCGGGATCCATCCTGCGACCTTTCCTGAGTGCCCAGGAGGAGCTGGAGCTGACTGGGTCTCAGTGCTTTTGGAGCTCAGTGGGGTGCAGGCAAGACTGGCTAAGTGACAGACCTGGACAGAGATGCCAGGAGGAAGGCCACTGGCAGAGCTGTGAGTGAGGCCAGCGAGGACCCAGTGCAGATATGGGCATTGAGAGGTGGAGAGCTTGGAGTCCTAGAGTGGGCCCCGATTGGGGTGGAGGCCACTCATGTGAAAGGACAGGGTCACAGAGGGTAAGGTGCAGGGTCTAAGGAGGAGGACAGAGGACAGGAGAGAACGACAAGAGGATGCCCTGCATACTGGGTGGGAGGCAGGACTCCAGTGCCCAAAAGCTGGCCTTGGCTCCTGGTGCCCTGGACCCCACCATGTGCTGTGCTCGTCACATCGACCCGGTACAGTGCCTCTTCCTGTGCTGGGCAAACACTTCATTATTCTTTGCTTTTGTCACTTTCCCTGCTGTCACCATAAACACAATTTCACAGCTACTCCAAAGTCCAGGTGAGTGTAGAGTAACATTCTCAATCCTCTGCTCCCCGTATATAAAATATTTCTTCCTGAATTTTGTCATTCAAGTAAGAGTCCTGTGGTGGTAGCCTTTTTGGAGAGATTTTCTGATTCAAACGCAAGTTTGCGTTCTATACTATTCATTCATTTATTTGACAAATCCTTTGTGAGTCCCCACCCTTTGTGGAGCACAGTAGGGACGAGGGTGGATGAGGTCTCGGCCCCTGGGCGCTGTCGCTGCAGCAGGATGGACAGTAGAGCAATACATGGGAATGTGCATCGGACCAGAGAGGAGCAGAGACCAGAGAGGAGCGGAGACCAGAGAGAAGCGGAGACCAGAGAGGAGTGGAGACCAGAGAGGAGTGGAGACCAGAGAGGAGCGGCGCCGTGCCCAGCATCAGGGGAGGGTGGTCAGGGGAGGGCCCTGAGGAGACGCCGGGAGGGCCCACTTGGATGAGGTAGGGGAGGGAGACACACGGACATTCGGGGAAAGAGCTTCCTGAGCCCCAGGACAGGAAAGGCCAGAGTGAGGCGGGTAACTGGTGAGCTCAGGCCTAGCCAGGGCAGCTGAAGAGGGAGCACCAGGAGAGTGGGTGGCAACCAGGCCAGAGAGCAGCCAGAGCCCTCGCAGGTCCCCCGCCTTCAGCAAAGACAGAGGCGGAGACAGCGCATGGGGAGGGGAGTGCAGGGGGCCGGCCTAGTGAGGGGCTGAAGGACAGACCCCTCACCCGCTTAGGACTCTGCTCCTCTGACTTCTCCGATCCCCATGATCTGCTTCCTCATCTCCCACCCCCAGGTGCTGGGCAGCCTTTCTGTGTGACATCGTGAGGGTGAACAGGTGGCAGGAGATGAGCTGGGACGGAGGGTAGGGAGGGGTGAGGGGGCCATAGGGAGGGGTGAGGGGGCCGTAGGGGGAGCAGAAGAGGCCCAAGGTGATGGGGAGGTGGCACCTGCAGCTGATGAGGGAGGGGACAGTGACTCAGACACACGGACCTTCCAACAGCCAGCACACACTTCCCCCTCCCCTTCCTCAAAGGGGCACTGATGCACCCGGCCCGGTGAACACCTGTGATGTATAAGCCAAACACAATAATCCACTCCTCCTTTTTTCTGGAGTATAATCTCTCCACCTCCCTTGCAGCTGGTGCAGCTGCATGACCTGCTCTAGAAAGTGGGTATAGCTGTTGTCTGCACCGGGCTCTCCAAGAGCACCTTGACTTTCCTGGGCAGAGGAGAGGGGTGAGAGAGAGCCTTGCACCCGTCTCTCCATCCTGCTTTGGAGACCGGAGCAGGTATTCCACCAGGAGGAAGAGAAGCCAACGTCCTGAGAATATGATGAAAAAGGACGGGCCTGGGACGACACTGCCAAGCTGCCCAACAAAACCCGAGCCCATCTGCCTCTGGAATTCTCTGTGAGTGTAAGCCACTCAGGCAGGATCTTTCACCCGCAGCTCAAGAAGCCCCTGGCCCACAGATGGGCTGGGGCGTGAGTACGCAGCAAGCACCTTGGCTCTCCTCGGAGGGCAGTGGCTCACAGCCAGCACCGCGGGCTCGCTCTTTCCGTGGTGCTCGCCTGCAGGGCGCGGGACTCGCTGGTTATTTTATCATTTCTATTACATTCTCTAGGAATGGACTTCTTTTTTTTAGTGGGGAAGAACCATCACTTCCTTCACAATTAGGTAACTCATGGCATCCTAGTTATCTACTCTTCTTTTCAAAATGATTAGCTATTAGCCACAAAAAATATAATTTCTGCCTTATGAAAGTAGCCTTGGAATAATTCCAGGCTTTTAAACTCATGTTGGCCTTCCTGCAGATCTGATAATATTGTGAGTTCATATATCTTACCACTGTGAAGTCAGAGTAGAAAATACATCATCTCTTTCAGATTCCTGGAATAACTTCAGAAGTTCCGGATCTCCAGATAAATGTGTAAGAATGCGCAATTCAATCTGTGAAAAGTCTGTGAGATACAGTTCTGCATTAATTTAGAGTTTGCCAGCAATGTTCCTCGTGTTTGCTGCGCACCCCGGCCACCCTCAGACTCTCCTGACTCTGTAGCCTCAAGGTCCATGTCCCTGCCTCCCATCTCCCAGGGTCCTCTGACCTCAGTGTCAGGAGGTGAGAAATGAAATGGGGAGGATTGTGCAAGGTGAGGAGGCTCAGGAGTGAGTGAGAATGTGTGCGTGGAGGGGAGTTGTGATAAATAGGATGACCAGTTATCCTATTTATAGGCCCCATCAACAAAGTGACATTGAGTAAAGGCACGGAGGTGGCAAAGGAGGGCACCAAGATGGTCTCTGGGGAAGAGGAATGGCCTGGGCAAGGGCCTGGAGTGGAGCTGACTCTTAGCTGGGAGGAGTAGGGTCCGGCAAGGCCGCAGCGAGCAGGGCAGACAAAGCACGGGGGCAGGGCCAAAGGTATCTGGGATTTAGATACGGTGATGTGACGGGACACTGCAAGAAAAACTTGTTATTATGTACTGTGCCTTAGAATTTATTTGAAAGAGGCCAGCCGCAGTGGCTTATGCCTGTAATCCCAGCACTTTGGGAGGCCAAGGCAGGTGGATCACCTGAGGTCAGGAGTTCGAGACCAGCCCAACCAACACAGTGAAACCCTGTCCCTACTAAAAATACAAAAACTAGCCAGGCATGGTGGCACATGCCTGTAACCCCAGTTACTTGGGAGGTTGAGGCAGGAGAATTGCTTGAACCCAGGAGGCAGAGGTTGCAGTGAGTCAAGATCATGCCACTGCACTCCAGCCTGGGCCACAAAAGCGAGACTCTTGTCTCAAAAAAAAAAAAAAAAAAAAGAATTTATTTGAAAGAATGAATTCCATAAGTACCTTTGAATTGTTCAATTTCTAAACCTTTGAACCCTATGAAAATGCATAAAGCAAGCTACAGCAACGTACCTGCTGCTAGAAAGGTGTGGCCTTTGGATGAAACAAACATGGCCCTCGGGGAGATCGTGAGAATCTTGTCTTCTTTACCTGAATTGTTATTTCAAGAGCATTTAGTGAATTTGGTCATGAACTGATGCATAGCTATTCCTCAATACAATATTATTTGAATATTATTCTGAAGTCCAGAGTTAAGATTTTAAATTTTTCCGAATATTTTTATTAATTTAATTATTTTAGAGATGGGGGTCTCACTTTGTTGCCCAGGCTGGAGTGCAGTGGCACAATCATAGCTCACTGCAGCCTCGCACTCCAGGGCTTAAGCAATACTCCTGCCTCAGCTTCCCAAAGCAGCTGGGACTACAGGTGCACACTGCCATGACCAGCTGATTTTAAAATTTCTTGTAGAGACAGGGTCTCACTATGTTGCCCAGGCTGGTCTCAAACTCTCAGACTTAAGCAATCCTCCTGCCTTGGCCTCTCAAAGTGCTAAGATTACAGGTGTGAGCCATGGCGCCTGGCCTTATTAATGTAATTTAAAAATAACATATTACTACTGAAAGTTAACTAGGTTTTCTGTTTTTTTTAATTTTCTGTTCTGTCTAGAATTCTTAATGAAGAAAAGAAAAAGTCAAACGTTGACAACCAAATGCATTCCAGTAAAAGCAATCTTGAAACTCTCTGAGCCTCACTGATTGAAGGTCTATGTGGGAAGGGGCAGCAGGGGATGAAGCTGCTCAGGATCCCTCTCCTTGGACCCTATTTCAGGACAGTCACATGTATTTTAGAAAGGACTGCTCATTGGGGCGGGGAGCACTGGCTCACACCTGTAATCCCAGCACTTTGAGAGGCCGAGATGGGAAGATCACTTGAGCCCAGGAGTTTGAGACCAGCCTGGGCAACATGGTGAAACCCTATCTCTACTAAAAATACAAAAAATTAGCTGGCCGTAATGGTGCATGCCTGTAATCCCAGCTACTAGGGAGGCTGAGGCAGGAGAACCCAGGAGGCGGAGGATGCAGTGAGCTGAGATCACAACACTGCACTCCAGCCTGGGCAACAGAGCGAGACTCTGTCTCAAAAAAGAAAACAGAAGAGGAGAGGAGAGGGGAGGAGAGGGGAGGAGAGGGGAGGGGAGGGGAGGGGAGGGGAGAGAAGAGGACAAGACAAGACTGCTCATTGGGCTTCATTGTTTTGCCAGGACCTTCCTGCACAGCAGGGCCCCCAGCACAGGGGCAGGAGCGCCACTGCCAAGGGTAGGACGTGTACAGGGCATGGGCAGCAGAACTCTCATTTGCTCAGATTTGAACTTTTTCTTTTTTAGAAATGTACCCATCAGCATCACAGCAGAATAGCTTAAAAGAAAGAAGAGTGTTCATGTGCTTTTTAATGAGCTCTTAAACTCTTTTTAAGAGTGTTAGTGTGCTTTTATAAACATTTCCAGTAATGTTCAAACTTTAATAAGCACCAGTGCTATTATATGTTTGTTTTTTCTTTATTGGGAGGCTGGTGGGGGAGAGATGGCAGGAGGAAAGCTGCTTTCCTGATATAATTATCATCCATTTCCACTTGTAAACTGCTAACAGGGAGGTACCATATCACTTTAGCTGTTTTTCATTCTTTCAATGTATGTTTAAATCCTGGTCATGCAAATACAGAGAACTTCAGGAAGGTGAAGCAGTTAGTTATATAGAAAATCAATGACAAGTAACTTTTTAAAAAATGTTAAAAAGGGCACACTGGCTCACACCTGTAATCCCAGCACTTTGGGAGGCCAAGGTGGGAGGATCACTTGCGCCCAAGAGTTTGAGACCAGCCTTGACAATATGGCAAAGCCTCATCTCCACAAAAAATACACACACATACAAATTAGCCAAGTATGGTGGTGTGTGCCTGTAGGCCCAGCTACCCAGGAGATTGAGGTGGGAGAATCACCTGAGCCCAGGAGGTCAAGGCTGCAGTGAGCTGTGATCGCACAAATGCACTCTAGCCTGGGTGACAGAGTGACACCCTATCTCAAAAGAGAGTTACCAGAGACTTTAGCAAGGTAGTAAGAAATGAGTTACCTTTAAAATTCTTAGGTGTAGTAATCTGAATTGGGTGCTTGGAGATACCTTGGATATTCTGTTAATAATAAGAGACTAGCTTTAGTTAAAATATCTACTCTTAATCTGTACTACTTAGGGTATTTAATGTACATCACATTTTATTAAACATTAAAACAAGTAAGCCAATGTAACATGCATAAGCACATTAATACTTAATACAGTTGTCTAATATCAAAACATAATTTTGGTGAATACACCACTAAATGTACTTAGCAGATTTGAGAACAATTCCTTTTGACTCTAGCCTGTGTGACCCTTAACATAATTATGTACAGTCATTCTTTTTACAGCAGCCCAAATTATGAACTCAGTTAACTTAAAAATTCCTACAACATACGCTAATGGTAGATTTATGTGAAATTTGTATATTGTACTTTTATTTTAGAACACATTTTAAGATGAAAATTCTGGTCTCTTTGATGCTGGTCATTCCCCTCCCTCACTGCTCCTGGCACTTCGTACCTGCCTCTGTCTTAGCCTGTCCTAAACTTGGTGGCTTGTGCTACGTCCCCTGCAAACTCTTAGGGCCATCTGTTAAGCACCTTCACACTTTTACAACTTGGGCAATGTGCAATAGTTCACATGCTTCTAGCCCGTTTCAACTATTCAAATCATGAGAATTTCTGTCACAACATCCTTTGGATTCTTGGCAGTACCTTGGACAATAATACCCTGCTTTGTCTGGGAATAGAACTCACTGGGCATTATTAGTTGGTCTTGACTCCCTGGCTAAATCTGACGAATTGTGCCAAGCATCAAAGTCCTGCAATCTTACAGCAATGCTCCTTAGTTCCCCCTAGAAGCCCTGGGAAGTGGTAAGGCCACATTGTCATCCTCATTTTTTTAAGATGAGGACATGAAGGCCTTGGGGTATTAAGTCAGTGGCTCTCAAGTTTTCTATACATTAGAATCACATGATACCTCAAAAAATACCCAATATTTACAGGATAAGCTCAATAATAGTGTAGAGATGACAGAGAAAACAGCTATTGAATTTGAAGAGAGATCAATAGAAATGATCCAATCTAAAGAAGGGAAGAACAATAAACAAAGACTCAAGGACCTGTGGGCTAATATCAAAATACAATATCAAATTGTGTTCTCTTAGTTCCTAGAGAAAAGAAAGAGAATTGTGCAGAAAAAAGTTTTCTTAAAGAAATAATGGCTTCAAATTCTGAAATTTAGTGAAAGACATACTTTTTCCAATTTGAGAAGCTGAACAACCCTAAATATGGTAAATTAAAAGATAACCAGGCCCAGAAACATCATAATCAAACTGCTGAAAAAACTGTGATTTAAAAACAATCATCTTGAAACTAGCCAGGGTAAAATGACACTTTTCATGCTGAGGAACAGCAATGTGAGTGACTGCAGATTTCCTGTCAGGGACCATGCAGACCAGAAGACAATGGAGCCACAACTTCCACAGACTGAAAGAACTGCCAGCTCAGAGCTCTTTATTCTATCCTCCAGGAATGAAGGTGAGTGAAAGACATTCTCAGATGAATAAAAATTAAAGTACTCTGTCATCTGCAGACCTGCTCTAAAAGAAATGCTACAGGAAATTCTTCAGGCTGAAGGGAAATGCTTCCAAAGGGAAACCTGGAACTTCAGGAATGAAAGATGAGCAACAGAAATGGTCAGTATCTGGGTAAATATAATAAATCAGCTTTTTTGAGTTCAATGGCTTTTGTAAGCCTTTTGCATCTTATTTGAAGTGGTAGAATATGAAATATAAAAATAGCTTGTGGCTGGGCACAGTGGATCCCACCTGTAATCCCAGCACTTTGGGAACCCAAGGCAGGAGGATCACTTGTGCCTAGGAGTTTGAGGCCAGCCTGATGTAAATTTACATGGCTATTATAAAAAATGGCAAAAAAAAAAAAAAATAACATGCTGTCAATAATGCAAAGAAAGGGGGAACTCTGATATACTGTTGGTGGGAAAGTAAATTAGTGCAGCCACTATGGAAAACAATATGGAGGTTCCTCAAAAAAAGAAAAATTAAAATGCCATATGATCCAGCAATTCCACTGCAGGGGATGTATGGAAAAGAAAGGAAATCAGTATGACAAATAAGTATCTGCACTCCCATGTTTACTGCAGCCCCGTTCACAACAGTCGAGATATGGAATCAGCCTAAGTGCCCATCAATGGGTGAATGGATAAAGAAAATGTGGTAAATATACACAATGAAATACCATTCTGCTATAAAAAGAATGACATCCTGTCATTCGCAGCAACATGGATAAGCCTGGAGGCCATTATGCTAAGTGAAGTAAACCAGGTATAGACAGACAAATACTGCATGTTTAATTCCAGTATATGTACATAGTGGTAGCAGAATTGTTCACCTGTACCCCTGTGGAAAACAACTTTATTAACTAGAGTGCAATAATTGTGTTCAGTTGCTTCTGTCTTTTGTCTTTAAGACTCCATTTGTTTCAGGTCAGCATCTCTTTTCTCCCCCTGCCCCCCAACAACTTTCCCCAGTGAGGTTGTTTCACACAAATTTAATATAATTAGATGGACATGTCACATTCTGTCTCCCATCCTGAGATCCCCCGACTTCATAAATGACTTTTAAAAATTTACATACATTATAGTTCACTCTTGCTGTTGTACATTCTATTGGTTTTGACAAATGCATACTGTCAGCTATCCACCATCATAGTATCATACAAAATAGTTTTACCGCCCTAAACGATCCCCGGAGCTTTACTTATCCAACCTCATCCCCAAGTGCCAGCTCTGAACTTTTGGAAACCACTCATCTGTTTACTGTGTCTACAGTTTTACCTTTTCCAAAATGTCACATAATTTGGAATCGTGTGGTATGTAGCCTTTCCAGATTGATTTATTTCATTTGGCAATATGAATTTAAGATTCATCCATGCCTTTTTATGGCTTTGTAGCTTATTCCTTTTTATCACTGAATAATATTTCTCAGTATGAATGTGTCACAGTTTATTTATCTATTCACTTCTAAAAAGACATCTTGGTTGTTTCCAGTTTTTGGTGATTATGAATAAAGATGCCATAAGCATTTGTGTGCAGGTTCTTGTGTGGACATAAGTTTTCAAATTAATTTGGTGGATGCCTAGGTGTGTAATGGCTGGATCATATGGTATTTAGTTTTGAAAGAAACTGCCAAACTCGAAAAGTGGCTGTACCATTTTTCATTCCCACCAGCAATGAATGAGTGCCTGTTGCTCCACACCCTCACCAATTAATAATGTAAGGTTTTTGTTTGTTTGTTTGTTTTGCTTTTTGATCTTAGTCGTTCTAATAGGTATGTAGTGGGATCTCATTATTGTTTTAACCTCCCCACCTTTTTGATACCACGACTTCTCCTCATCCTTCAAATCTGCACACAAGCAGACTTCCTCCTTTCCTTAAGGAGGAAACCTCCTCTAGCTCCCTAATTAAGCAGGCTGGGGGTCTGTCACAATGCTCTGAAGAGCATCCTTGACATCTCTCAGTTCAGACCAAGTACTGATCACAACGTTGAACAGCTGGAGACCTGGATCCCCCTTTCCAGGAGCACCTCACACATAGAAAGTATGTAATACGTGCGTGTTTACTGAATGAGTGAGACAGAGAGGCATTGAAAGCATGTCAGTAATAAAAATTGAATACACATAACGTACAAATTGCCACCTTCGACTAAACTCCTTCCTTCTGCTTGTGCCTTGTGCACGCATCCCCCCAATACTGATGATGTTCCGCTACAGAGAAAGCACCACGATATGCAGCCCAGGGCAGCAATGCAAAATGAACTCGCACACAAATCTGGCCTTCTGGGAGTTATTGTCTGTCATGACGTGTGTATCACACATACAAGTCACATAACGCAGGGTTCAAATGAACAAAATGAAAGGGTGTCACAGGAGACTCTCCATGGTGCTCTGAGGGAAGAAGAGAGTACTTCAGGCCCCTGAGGAGTGAGGCTGGGGAAATCAGCCTCACTCATGGCAGAGTTCCAAGAAATCAGGAGACAGGAAGCGGCCACAGAACCACATGTGTTTCTTCTGTAACCAACCTTCATGGGCCTTCAGCAAGGCCTCTCTGGAGGAGATATCAGCCCGTGCCAAGCTTTTCATGGCCAATGCTCCCCGTTGGTTGTGGCACTGTGCGCCAACCAGATCTGTGAATGTCTGTTCATGTGCACGGGTTCACATTTCCAAACACATGAAACACTGCTGCGCTTCTCTATGGGCCTCTGTGATGCAAGCAGCCATCAGACAGAGTGCCGTCCCTAACGCCTCATGAGCAAACGCATGTTCACAGGTGTCTACGTGAGCAATTAGCACATACAGCACGTGAACTACCAAAGACCGAGGGTGACCAAAGTGACTGTGGTGGGAAGCGACAACTAACAAGAGTCCGAACATCTGGGAGGAAGCTGGGTCCCACCAGGTGAGAGTCCAAATGTGGGAGAAGCCTGTGGGGGTCACCCAGCACACTGGGGGTGTGGATGAAAGCGTGGCTATCACACGCCCATGAGAGCATCGAAGTCAGACATCACTCTAGCAAGCGGCTGCCGTCACAGACCAACACCACGTGCTAGCACGCAGGGGAACCGTTCGTGGAAGAAGAATAGAGAAGCGATCACTACCTGCAGGCATCCTCTACTGGGAGGGGCTAGACTCCCCATTACTCTCCTCGGGCGAGGAGCTGGCCACCCAGGCCGAGAGCAAATGGTGATATCTGAATGTTTCTGCAGGTGAAAGCCTCAGAACCAGCATACTCCTAATTTGTTGGAGTCAATCATGTTATTTACATTACATAAGCTGGTCCCCTCGTGTTGACCACCCATGAACATTTCATCTCCCAGGTCCAACGAATGTCCAGGGGGCGGAGACCATGCCCATGTGTCTCCTAAGCTGAGCAGAGAGAGCACACAGTAACGCAATCATACAGCAGAATGACTAGTTTAAGTTCCCCAAACTACGGAGATGGAAGCAAACTGGAATAATTTTCTTACAATTTTAATCTCCTCTAGGGTATACAGTTTTCTGCTATTACTGTGGACATCAAAATGTGTGGAGATCACTTCTCAGCTGCCTGTTAAATAAGCCCAGCTGAACCCCGCAGAGGAAGGCACCTGTGCTCAGCCCTCATGGGTTGCTCTGGGCAGCCCAAGTCTCCCATGAGTGGTTGCAGGGGAAAGTGCCAGCCATGTGGATGGGGCACATCCCAGCATCTGTTTTCATGGTGAACTTGGTATGTTTTTGCAAATAAGAGAACTGATCTAAAAAAATTGAATGTTAACAGCCTTTATTTAACATTCAGTGAAAGGCAAGGTGCTGAGATGACGTTTTAATTCTACAATGTGGCATTTGTTAAAATCTCAGTAGCTGTTAGTGGAATGCTATGCAGGGAATAGTCTCAGCTGTGGGTGAAGGGGTTGCGCCCAGGAGGTACATGAGCCCGTTGCTTTTCTCCCTAGGTATTGTGTGGGCCTGGGTATCTTCATCTGTCTACCTGACTGAAGCTCCAGATGGAAGGTGCCAAACTGGGGAGGTGGTGGAAATAAGGAAAAGGTGATGGCAGCCCTGCTTTTAATGTGTTGACTATGTCCTTGCAGCCTCTGGAATGAAGCCAAAGGAAAGTGATAGTCACAGGGTCTTGGCCAGCCTGAGGGCATGCTGGCTCTCCTTGTCTTGAGAAAGCTGTGGCAGTCGCCCCACACGTGCCAGGCTGTGTGAGGCACCTGAGAGGTGCTGTGCAGAACAGCCACACGGCACTCTGCCCTCTGGACACAGCCTCCCGGGGCAGGGCCCACGGCGTTTTCACCGTGTCCCCAGCACCTACTACACAGCCCAGCACACAGGAGCAATTCACAAATAGTGGCTGAATGAGTAAGACGAAAAATAAATAATTTTCACAATAACCTAGCAAAGAAGGTGCTGCTTTTATCATTTCATGGATGAGAAAAGTGAGGTTTCCATAAGTTAAGTAACTTGCTAGAGTAACACATCTATTGACTGAGCTGAGATTTGAACTCAGTTCTGCCCTAAGCCAAGGTTCTGTTGCCTCCAGGGTCCGCCAGACAATGCCAGCGGTCTCTTGAAATAATTTTTCTTGATTAAAAGAAAATCCAAGTGAAAACCACAACAAAAACACAGAAAAGGGCAGCTGGCACAGAGCTCAGAGTGAGGGCCACAGCAGCACACCTGCTATGGCACCTGAGCCAGGCTGATGCCACTGCACTTGACCTAAGCAGCTCGTGGAGCCTGACCTGCAGCCTGAAGGGCAGTGTGGCCCTGACACCATGTGGGGTCTGGAACCCTGTGAGTGGCTTGGATGGGCAGCCCCCTCTGCCTGCTCCTCCTGATACACTCCCGTGGCCCCCCTCACCCACTAAAGCTTCTGCTCAGCTGCCCCCTCCCCAACCTCTTGAACACTGCTTTCCCGAGGCTGGCAATCGTCCCCCCACTACATACGTTCCATACATTCACATTTCACTCTCCTCTGTATCGTTTCTCATTCCACATGCGTATTGGCTGTCTCATGCCCTCTATCTCCAAGACTCCATAGAGCAGAGGTGTTTCTTCGGTCGGGGGGCGGGTCGGTGGGGGAACAGAGTCTTACTCTGTAACCCAGGCTGGAGTGCAGTGGTGTGATCTTGGCTCACTGCAACCTCCTCCTCCTGGGTTCAAATGATTCTCCTGCCTCAGCCTCCCGAGTAGCTGGGATTATAGGTGTACGCCACCACGCCCAGCTAATTCTTGTATTTTTGGTACAGACAAGGTTTCATCATGTTGGCCAGGTTGGTCTCCAACTCCTGACCTTGTGATCCGCCCACCTCAGCCTCCCAAAGTGCTGGGATTATAGGCATGAGCCACTGTGCCCAGCCAGGATAGAGTTTTGACCCATACAGTGCAAGCACCCTGAACATCCTGGCACACAGGTGTTCAGAAAACATCTGTTGAATGAATGATGATGAATGGAGAGTGACAGGAAATGGGGTTGGAGAAGCAGGTGGGGTCAGACCACCCAAAGCCCTAAGAGCTAGGTGAGGAGACCAGACATTAGTTACCCCAAGAGCTCTGGGAGCCACTGGAGACTTTAGGGATTGGAGCTGTGGAGCTGGGCTTGCATTTCTGACTCTCCCGGCTGGAGGGATGAGAGCAGGAAGGTGGGTGGGGAGCTGGAAGGCTGGCACCAAGATGTGCAGGCAACAAGGGTGGGGACAGCTATACCAGGAGGCCCAAAGGCTTTGGTGCCCAGCCCGGACCCCTGGGCTCCAGCCTGTGTGACCAGTTGAGCTGAGGAATCGCCACCCCCACAGGGTAGCTCAGAGGAGAAGCCAAAGATCTGGCTTAAAAATGGTGAAATCAGCCAGGCACGGTGGCTCATACCTGTAATCCCAGCACTTTGAGAGGTTGAGGTGGGCGGATCATTTGAGGTCAGCAGTTCGAGACCAGCCTGGCCAATAAGATGAAAGCTGGTCTCTAGTAAAAATACAAAAATTAGCCAGGTGTGGTGGTGCATGTCTGTAATCCCAGCTACTCGGGAGGCTGAGCTACTCTGAACCCGGGAGGCAGAGGTTACAGTGAGCCAAGAATGTGCCACTGCACTCCAGCCTGGGCAACAGAGTGAGACTCTGTCTCAAAAAAAAAGAAAAGAAAAGAAAAGAAAAAGGTGAAATCACTGTGCCTTTTTTTTTTTTCCTGATATTCCTGAAGGAAAGCTGAATGAAGAGGGTTGAGACTGGTGAGCATGTGCGCAGGCATGGAAGCTGCCGGGAAAGGAGATGCTCATGCAGTGGACTCCGAGGAGCAAGGATGAGCACCCTTGACCACAACAAATGGGCAGAGGGAGAGGAGCCCCTCCTCTGGGAAGGGGACAAGCCGCAGGGTCAGAGGGGAAGGGCAGAGCCACACTGGGTCACCAGCAGGGCAGAGTGGGGAGAGGGAGGAGCCACGGAAACGGGCCAGGCCCCCAGGGGGAAGCGTGAGCCTCTGCCAAGCAGGGCTGGCCGGAGCTTGGGGCCCGCAGCTCCCCTGGGGTCAGCAAGGCTGTGGTCACTGTGCTGGGCAGCGTGACTCAAAGGGAGGCCAGGCTCCTCCACCTGCCAGCCTTTGGCCCTGATAATCCATTTTAAACTGCAGGTCCCAGTTCCTTAGTGGGTCACAAACAGCACTTTCAAAGGTGAACTGAATAGAAGAGAAAATAGCAATGTGCGCTGCACACAGTGGAACCTGCTCTGCATATGTCCCTGTCAAGAGGCAATGCACAGAAAGTACCAGAACGCTCCTCTTCCCACTGTGAGGTGATGCATGGAATGAGGGGATGGCTCAGTTTACTCTAGATAGAAATAGGAAAATATTAAATCACTCAAAATAATAAAGTATAAAGATTTTAAAAGTTCATTTGGGTTTCAAATAGTGCAGATTTAGCAGTAATTATGTGGTATATGAACACCTTGCTAATAAATCTTTTGATAGATATTTAAATTATATGGGAGGAATATTCATCAGGAAAGCAGAAAAATAACATGGCAACAACGTAAAGGCCTTGATTAGAATTACTTCAGAATAGCACTTATATCATTTATGTGGGTCCTAATGAAAACAGAGCCTAAAGACTACATCAGGAAAGAAAGGCAGAGCTCTCCATCTGGGGGTGCAAGTCAGTGCCCTGAAGAAAATTTTATAAGACTCTCCAGGAAATAACAACTTACGAGTGGCTGGGGTTCTGGAAAACAGAATAGAACACTTCCTATTAGAACTCAAAAGGTAAGTAATAAATAGCTCTTTCACCTTTTGTTGGGTACATTCAAAGGGATTATTTATTTATTTATTTATTTTTTTGAGACAGAGTCTCACTCTGTCGCCCAGACTACAGTGCAGTGGCACAATCTTGGCTCACTACAACCTCTGCCTGCCAGTTCAAGTGATTGTCCTGCCTCGGTCTCCTGAGTAGCTGGGATTACAGGCGTGCGCCACCACACCTGGCTAATTTTTCTCTTTTTAGTAGAGACGGGGGTTTCACCTTGTTGGTCAGGCTGGTCTCGAACTCCTGAACTTATGATCCACCCGCCTCAGCCTCCCAAAGTGCTGGGATTACAGGTGTGAGCCACCGTGCCTGGCCAGGATTTGTTAAATTGATGCATGGAATAGGTTTAAAATTTGTAACTCTTATTTCTGCTGACTGTAGGAATAAAATAATTTGCCACTTGGGCTGGACGCAGTGGCTCATGCCTGTAATTCCAGCACTTTGGGAGACCAAGGTGAATGGATCACTTGAGGCCAGGAGTTCAAGACCAGCCTGGCCACCATGGCAGAGCCCCATCTCTACTAAAAATACAAAAATTAGCCAGGTATGGTGGTTGTACATCTGTAATCCCAGCTACTCAGGAGGCTGAGGCATGAGCATTGCTTGAATCAGGGAGGTGGAGGTTGCAGTGGGCCAAGATGACGCCACTGCACTCCAGCCTGGATGACAGAGTGAGATTCTGTCTCGGGGAAAAAAAAAAATTGCCACTTGTGGAGGACACAGCTATTTGGGGCCACACAATACTTTCTTTTCCATTTTGTTTAGAAAATGGCACTCGGATCTTCATGACGGTGCCCACCACCCCCCTCCTTTAAGCCAACCAGCAGACTTCATCGTCAGGCCGTGGAGACACAGGGAGACACTTGCCAAGGCATCTGTGAGACGCACTTCTTCATCCTTCTGTGAAGCTGCATGAGGCGCTCTGCATCCCCACTGGAGAGAAACCCAGCAAGCACCGCCCAGGCCTGCTGGGACCCGTGGGGAGGCTATGCAAGAAAGAGGCTGAGGAAAGGGCAGAGAGAAGCTGGGTGTGCCCATATAATGTAGGCTGCCAGATCAGACCTTGCCTGAAGCTAGCCCTTCTTCGGCCTTCTAGGTCAGGTAAGCTGAGACATACCCTTAATTGTTTAGGTCAGCTGAGTTTGGTTTTGTGTGATCTGCAACTGAAAGTCTGCCTGAACACATGGATTGTGGTATTTTAACCTCCAGTTTAGACATGTGGGGAAAGCACTTGGTCAGTGTGGCATTCACAGCTGGTGGATTCAGAGCCCAGCTGCTCTCCCCTCTCTGTCCTTCTCCTTCCACTCACACTTCTGCTTCCCAAGGTGGTGTCTGGGGTGGTGGATGATGCTGGGAGCCTACATACCCCCCGGCACCTGAAGAGAGGGTCCTGTGTCCCCAGCTGTGGCCACCCTGTCCTTGTGGGCCTCGGCTGCCCATGTCCTTGCCCTGTCTGCTCTGTTGGTGAAGTGTTCATGAAGGACTGCGGTGCGTTCTGTGCTCTCAGCACGGCCAGCATCTGGCATATGTCCTCTGCCAACTGGGCCCTGGTGCTGGCTCTGGCGACACTGTTACCTCCTGAAGCTCAATGGCACCCTCCCTGTGCACCTGGCTTTTGGCTGTCCATCTCACAGCTCTCCTCCATGAACCAGTGAGAACCCAGAAAACATGGGCAGCCTTGGTTTCCATACCAGGGGAGTGCAGGACCCCAGGACCACAGGAGCTTCCAGCCCCCTCTCAGGCTCCTTGGAGAGCTCGGCCCCCTCGGCATGGCACTCCTGGAGACTGCGACCCAGCCTGTGGGGCGCTGGCATTCCCCTCCTCTGGCTTTCCACCCACGCTCTGAGTTTCTAACCCAGAGGGGCCAGAGGAAGTCAGAGCCTTTCAAAGACTCTTTCAAAGTGTGCTCAGCTCTTGGTTCTGCTCTCATGCTCTCCCCCTCAGCACCTCTTCCAAGCCAAGGAGGTACCCTCTCCCTCCTGTGAAGTGGGTCTCTTGCATCCTCTCTACTCAATGGCTTCCTTTATAATGTTAAACTCTAAAAATACAAGGCTTTGAGTCTTGATATTTAAAAGGAAGCTTCTGAAATTCAAAAATTAACAAAACAAAACACTTTTTGATCTCTCATGCCGATACTTTTCTTGTTTCTGCTGTGCCCTTTCACAAGTTCTAGTTGAAAGCCAGAGCTGAACACTGATTCCTTTATTCTCAGCTGTAACTCCCTCTCCCTCTGAAGTAATAGAGGCCTCAGCCCTACTGGGCAGGCAGTCTCTAAGTAGCAAGAGGTGCTGGGAACAAAATATGCACTGGAGGGTTTCTCAAAACTACCCCTGTGCTATCAAGTATTTTGTTCGATTAAAGCTGCCAATAAGGAGACTTCTGCTTCCAGGAAGGTTGTGTAAACACGTTCCCTATCCCTGTCCCAAGATACAACTAAAACCCTGGGCAAGTGTAAGAGACTCGGAAAGGTGGAGAAAATACGGCAGACTGGCTAGGGACCGTGGGACCCAAAGAATCTCACAGAGGTGAGTCCCAGGTTTCTTTTTGCCTAATGTGTCCCAGACAAGCCAGTAGCCTGGAAATGCCAATAACCACAGACAAAAACAACAACAAAACAAAACAAAAAAACAAAACCTAACAAAAGCCTGCTCTCATTAGCCAAAGGACCAGGAAAAGGACAGCCTAGCGAGAAAGAAAACCTTTAGACAATAACTATACTACTCCAGCCAAACACCACACAAAAACCCGTGATTGTGGTTTTTTTTTAATCCCCCACCCCCACCTCCGCCATCCTTGATACCCAGCCAAGATTTTTTTGGTAATTTTCCATCTACTGAACCCTCACCCCCTCTGTTGGTTATAAATCTCCAGCTGCCAGTGTGGTATTTGGAGTTGAGTTCAATCTCTCTCCCCTGTTGCTATAATCTTAAATAAACTCTCCCTTACACGTTTAACTCTGATGCAATTTTTTTTTGGACAAACTATAACATGTCAAAATGTATGGGTTAAAGATAGAGCAGTGCTGAGAGGAAAATTTATAGCACTAAAAATGCATACATGAGAAAAAAGAAAAAGTCTCAAAGCAATAATCTAGGCTTATACCTAAAAAGCCTAGAAAAAGAAAAGCAAAATAAACCCAAATCAAGCAGAAAAAGGAAATAATATGGAAATCGATAAATTGAAAATAGAAAAATAGTAGAGAAAATCAATGAAAAGATCAATAAAATTGACAAAACTCTCAGTAGATTGACAAAGAAAAAACAGAGAAGACACAAATTATGAATATCAGAAATGAAACCAGGAATATCACTACAGACCCTAAGACATCAAAAGGATAAGGAAATGTTATGAAAAATCACACGCACGTAAATTTCACAACTTAGACAAAATGGACCAATTCTTCAAAAAGCAAAAACAACTGAAATTCACCAAATATGAAAGAGATAATGTGAGCAACTGTATAACTATTAAGGAACTTGAACTCATAATTTTAAAACTCCCCAAAAATAAATATCTAGGCCTAGATGATTTCATTAGAGGATTCTATCAAATATTTAAAGGAGAATTAACACCAATTCCACGATATCTCCCAAAAAGCACAAGAGGAAGGAACACTTCCCAATTCATTTTATGAAACTAGTAGTACCCTGAAACAAAAACCAGATGAAGACAGATTAATATCCCTCATAAACATACACACAAAATCCTTTAATAAATATTAGCATATAGAATTCAGTAATATATTTAAAAATATATGATCCAACAGTTGACTTGTGCACACTTATCCCAGAAAAATAAAGACAAGTACACACAAAAACCTGTATATGAATGTCTTTGGCAACCTTATCTTAATAACCCAAAACTGGAAACAACCCAGATGTCCTTCAAAACTGAAGTGCAACTTATACCCAGCAACTTCAGGTGGTAATACATTGCCCATGGGAACTTAATATATTGTCTTCAAAATATCATATATTTTAAATATATGATTTAAATATATGATTTTGAACAACCAATAACTTTCCTTAAAGTTGTAAAAAGGGTCTTCTATAAAATACATATTCACTGTTAAAAATTTGTTCTTTTTTTTTTTTTTTTTTTGAGATGGAGTCTCACTCTATCACCCAGACTGGAGTGCAGTGGCGTGAACTCGGCTCACCACAACCTCCACCTCCTGGGTTCAAATGATTCTCCTGCCTCAGCCTCCCACGTAGCTGGGACTACAGGCACGTGCCACCATGCCCAGCTAATTTTTGTATTTTTAGTAGAGATGGGGTTTCACTGTGTTGGCCAGGCTGGTCTTGAACTCCTGACCTTGTGATCTGCCTGCCTCAGCCTCCCCAAGTGCCGGGATTACAGGTGTGAGCCACCGCCCCTGGTCCTAAAAATATTCTTAAGAAGACTCTTTTCTTAACTAGAAGAATTCATTCATTGTATTCATCAAAATCCTGCCACGTGCCAGCTATTATGAAAAATGCTAGTTCTTCAAACACATAACCTACAAATAATTAATATTTAAATAATATATACACTACTGGAGGAAATTCCGTTACCTAGTGAATATAGGCTGTAAGAATGAATGCTACATATTTTTCCTTAAAAATTGCTCCCCCACACCCCAATAATCCGTTAGCTGTATTTAGCACTCGATAACTAAGATGTAAGTCCCTGGTTTTACTCTTTCCTTCAATAACATTTAGCGATTACCTATCAACTGGTAGACACTGTGCTTGTTTCTTGGAATAAAATATTGAAAAAATTCAAGGAGCCTACAGTAGAGGGAAGGCAATCCCTAGCAACGGAACGATGACCACGTTAGGTAGTCGACACTCTGGGAATACACATCTGTAATGAAACTATTGGAAGTTAAAAGAGTGGTAAGAATATGGAAATAGACCAAAGGCACAGAATTGAGAGCCTAGAAACAGACCTATGCATTTGTCAAAATTCACAAATGACAGAGGCATTACAAATTACTGTAGTTCTTACAATAACAATAGCTATAACAAACAGTTACCCAAATGGAAAAATAATCAGATCGCTACCTTAGACCTAAATAAAAACAAATTCCAAGGGAATTAAAGACTCAATGTAAAAAGTAACTTTATTAAGAGAGAATTTGCTATCATAGAACACATTATAGGCGAAAAAAAAAGAGAATTTGAGGATCTTTATGATCTCCAAGTAAGATAGGGTTCCTTAAATGAGACACAGAGAGGTACAAACCTTAAAGGAAAAGACCACAAATTTGACAATATTTTTTAAAAATCTGTAAATCAAAGACATAGAATCCAATCTGAGAAAAACAAACCAACCACAGACTGGGAGAAGATAATTATATAAGGGCACAAAAGACTAGTATTCATAATACATAAAGAACTTTTACAAATTAATAAGAAAAAGACAAACCACTAAACTGAAAATGGGCAAAAGAAATAAACAAGTGAGTCATTGAAAAAATTCAAATGACAAATAAACATAAAAATACACTGACCCTCATTACTAATAAAAGTAATGTGAATTAAGTCACAATAAGATACTAATCCACACTCATCAAATTGGCAAAAACTTAAAAATCTGGTAATACCAAGTGCGGTGGTCTGTAGGGCGATGAGGTCTCTATCACACTGCAGGTGAGAACATGAGTCAGTCCACTCATTTGGAGGGTGTTTAGTGATGTCAGGAGAGTTGAATACCAGCATGCCCTATCGTCAGGCAATACTGGTGAGGTGCTAGAGAAACCCTCGCACATGTTCATAAATACTCTTCCCAGCATTTACTTTTTTTCTTGCAGCATTGTTTTTAATAGTGAAATATTGGAAACAACCTAGTATATCTGTACAATGACATACTATATAGCAGCCAAGATGAATAATTTAGAGCTACGTCTGTCAACACAGATAAATCTCAAAAACATAATGTTGAATGAAAACAGCAAATTTATAAGTACAATATGCTATAATTTATATAAACTTTAAAATAGCAAAAAAAAGACAATCTATCATTTAAGGAAATATATATATTTAAGAAAATATAAATAAATAAATAAATGCACGCATTAAAATGGGATGATAAAGACTAAATGTAGAATAGAAAAGGGAGCTGAATTGGGAAGAACACACTTGGGAAAGGATTAACAGGGGCTTTAAATGTTGTCAAGTAGGCCAGGCGTGGTGGCTCACACCTGTAATCCCAGCACTTTGGGCGGCCGAGGCAGGCGGATCACCTGAGGTCAGGAGTTCCAGACCAGCCTGGCTAACATGACGAAACTCCGTTTCTACTAAAAATACAAAAAAATTAGCCAGGCGTGGTGGCACGCACCTGTAATCCCAGCTACTTGGGAGGCTGAGGCAGAATTGCTTGAACCCAGGAGGCGGAGGTTGCAGTGAGCCAAGATTGCGCCATTGCACTCCACTTGGGCAACAAGAGCAAAACTCCATCTCAACAACAACAACAAAAGCACTCAAGTAATGTTGAAGCTTTTAAGCTGAATGATGAATACACACATGATCACTGTATTGGGCTCTATAGCTTGTTACTAGGAAAAGGGGTATCTCACTGAGCTCTGGTGTGGGGAGGGGCAGGCAGATAGGGGCAGGGGGCTGAACAAGGCTTTTGAGGACATGTCCCCTGCACTGAAATCAGAAGAACTAACGGGCAGCAGCCAGGCCAAGAAAGCTGGGCTTAAAGATATGTTCATGGATCTAGGGGCAGAAAAAGTATCTCGACAGAGGTAACAACAGCAATGGCTTGAAGGCAGGCGAAAGCATGAGGAATCAAGGAAACAAATTATATCAAAGTATTACCACCATAGGACAAAATGTTAATTTGGCTCCATCCCAGCTAGATACTAAAAAGCTAGTACAAACATGCTAATGCAACAGTGAGCATATATTTAGGAAAATAAAAAAACTAAGGAGGAGAAAGACTCACCAACCAAGAAACCAAAGCAAATATCCAGCTAAATAATCCCTAGATTTTAACATTTCCAATTAATATAGCTATAACATTTTTAAAAATTAAATACTACGCTGCAAGAAAAATGAGAACTCAAGATACTAAAGAATTCATAAGAATACAATGTGAAAGATCAGATATTTTGAATTACATAATGTTGATAAATTCTGAGCCAGTATCATGAGTGGCACTGTAGTGAAATGAGGACATTGACAAAAACTGGCTCTGCTGATGCAGAAACATTAGGAGAGACCTCAAAGCCACGTGTGATAAGGAGGTATTAGATTTAAGAATGTGGCTCCTGGCAGTGCAATGAGAAAAAAGGTCCTCAACACCTTCCCATGAGGAGGCCTTCGTAAAAAATGACAGTTCTAAGAGGGGCTTTCAAAACAAGGATTGACAAGATGATCCCTAAAGTATCTGAGTTGGGGAAAGAGGAGGATTTAGAAAAACAAGACTCCATGACCAATCCATGCCCAGGGTGAAGAGGGTGACAGTCCAGCATGGAGAACAGATTGGCCCACACTGTCAACAGGCCATAATACTGATCATGACCCCAAACCAAATGATTTTGAGACACTGAAAGACAATTCAAGAGTAGATCAGACATCCAGTTTTTCTTTTCTTTTTTTTTTTTTTTTGAGACAAAGTTTCACTCTTGTTGCCCAGGCTGGAACACAATGGCGTGATCTTGGCTCACCGCAACCTCTGCCTCCCAGGTTTAAGCGATTCTCCTGCCTCAGCCTCCCGAGTAGCTGGGACTACAGGTGCACACCACCATGCCCAGCTAATTTTTGAATTTTTAGTAGAAGTGTGGTTTCTCCATGTTGGTCAGGCTGGTCTCGATCTCCTGACCTCAGGTGATCTGCCTACCTCAGCCTCCCAAAGTGCTGGGATTACAGGCATGAGCCACCGTGCCCAGCCCGGTTTTTCATTCAATACACACTTGGTGCCTACTGCATTCCAGGTACAGAGCCAGGCTTGGGGAAATGTCAGTGAAGCACACAGAAAAGGCTCCCATTCTCATGGAATTTACAGTCCAGTGAGGTGAACAGAAGTGCAGGATGTTATAATACAGTATAACGAGCACTATGCTAGAGGAAGTATAGGGAATATCTAGGAGGACACAGACTGAGGTTCTAATAAAGCAAATATTGAACTAGAGCAATCAGTGAACTAGACAATATAGTAATAGAAACTATTCAAATTGAAACAGAAGAAAATCCAAGGAAAAGAATAAAAGTGAGTCTCAGTGAGCTATGGACAAATTCAGTGAGCTATGGGACAAATTGACCTAATATATGTAATTATAAGTGGAGTCCCTGATGGAGAGGAGAGAAAAGGAGGCCCATAAAAAGTATGTGAATAGGCCGGCTACGGTGGCTCATGCCTGTAATCCCAGCACTTTGGGAGGCCGACGCGGGTAGATTACAAGGTCAGGAATTTGAGACCAGCCTGACCAACATGGTGAAACCCTGTCTCTATTAAAAATACAAAAATTAGCTGGGCATGGTGGCATGCGCCTGTAATCCCAGCTACTCAGGAGGCTGAGGCAGGAGAATTGCTTGAACCCAGGAGGCGGAGGTTGCAGTGAGCCGAGATTGCACCACGGCACTCCAGCCTGGGCGACAGAGCGAGACTCTGTCCCCCCCCCAAAAAAAAAAAGTATGTGAATAAATAATCACCAATAAATTTTCAGGTTTGATGAAAACCATAAACCAAAGATCCAAGAAACTCAATGAATCCTAAATACAAGAAACATGATACTATATCATAATCAAATTTTTCAAAAATGGTGATAAGGTAAAAGCAGTAAAGAAAAAAGACACATTATGTGAAGATAGTGATGAAAGACTTCCTATCAAACAATGTGAGAAGAAAGTAACATCTTCAAAGTATTGAGAAAAAAAACCTTTTAACTGAGAATTTTATACCTCGCAAAAATAACTTTCAAAAACCAAAGGTGAGGGCTGGGCACAGTGACCTGTCACTGTGGTTACAGGCTGGATGTGGGTATGTAATCCCAGAACTTTGGGAGGCTGAAACAGGCAGATGGCTTGAGCTTAGGAGTTCAAGACTAGCCTGGGCAACATGGTGAAACCCCATCTCTACAAAAAATACAAAAATTAGCTGAGCGCAGTGGTATGCGCCTGTAGTCCCAGCTACTTGGGAGGCTGAGGCAGGAGAATTGCTTGCGCCTGGGAGGCAGAAGTTGCCATGAGCTGAGATCGCACCATTGCACTCCAGCCTGGGCGACAGGAGTGAAACCCTATCTCAAAAACAAACAAACAAACAAACAAACAAACAACAAAAACCCAAAACAAAAAACAAAACCAAAGATGAAATAAAGACATTTCCAGATCTACAAAAGCCAGGGGAATTCATCAATGGCAGACCTACAATGCAGGAAATGTTAAAGGATGTCCTTTAGGCAGAAGGAAAATGATGCCAAAAAGAAACCTGGTTGTAAACAGGGAAATGAGGGCATTGGAAACAGTAACTACATGGGTAGATAGGATTTTTCTTATTATTGGAATCTATGTTGCCCAGACTGATCTTGAACTCCTGGCCTAAACGATATAGGATAGCAAGACCCATCTCTAAAAAAAATTAAGAAGTTAGCCAGGCACAGTGGCATACATCTGTGGTCCTAGCTACTCTGAAGGATGAGGCAGAAGGATCACTTGAGCCCGGGAGTTGGAGGCTGCAGTGAGCTATGATTACATCACTGTACTCTAGCCTGGGCAACAGAGTGAGACCTGTGTCTAAAAAGAGAGAGAGAGGGCCGGGCGCGTTGACTCACACCTGTAATCCTAGCACTTTGGGAGGCCAAGGAGGGCGGATCACGAGGTCAGGATTTTGAGACCAGCCTGGCCAACATAGTGAAACCCCGTCTCTACTAAAAATACCAAAAATTAGCTGGGTGTGGTGGTGGGCTCCTGTAATCCCAGCTACTCGGGAAGCTGAGGCAGGAGAATCGCTTGAACCCGGGAGGCAGAGGTTACAGTGGGCCAAGATCACGCCACTGCACTCCAGCCTGGGCAACAGTGTGAGACTCCATCTCAAAAACAAAAACAAAAACAAAAAACAAAAAACAAAACAAAACAAAAAGAAGTGGGAGAGAGACACATACACACACACACAAATAGTTTAAAAGTAAAAGAATAGAAAATACCATGCTAATATTCAAAGAAAACTGGAGTGGTTATTTAACATTAATATTAAATTATATTTTTATTAATTGTATTATTTCCAAAATTATTCTAACATTTTATTAGCTAATATTAAATTAATATTTTAATATTAGACAAAATAGATTTCAAAGCAGAGAACAATACCAGGGATAAAAAAGGTTATTTTATCAAAATAAAGTGGCCAATTCTCCCCAGATTGAGTTCTCGATTCAAGGTAATCCCAATGAAAATCTCAGCAGGCTTTTTTGTAAAAATTGACAAACTGCTGATTATAAAGTTCATATGGAAATGCAAAAGACCAAAGACCCAAAATAACCTTTTTTTTTCTTTTTTAAAAAAACAATGTTGGAGGACTTACATGCCCCAATTTAAAACCTTACTCGAAAGCTACAATAATAAAGACAACGCACTGCTGGCAATGGTAAGTATATAGATCAACTAGACTGAGTTCAGAGTACAGTATTAAACCCTTATATTGATAGTAAATGTATTTTAGACAAAGGCGCCAAGGTAATTAAATGGGAGGAAAGATGGTCTTTTCAAGAAACGGTACTGGGACAACTGGATGTCCACTTGTAAGAAAGATGATGTTAAACACTCACTTTACACCATATACAACAGTCATAGCTCTAAATGTAAAGCCCAAAACTATAATACGTCTAGAAAAAAATGTAGAAAAAATACTTGTGATTTTGGTTTACACAAAGGTTTCTTAGATACAATATCAAAGCATGATCCATGTAAGAACTCATTGATAAATCAGAATTCATTAAAACTTAAAACTTCTGCTCTTCAAAAGATGGTGTCAAAAGAAGACAAGCCACAGATTGGAAGAAAATATCTGCCAAGAATATACCTGCTAAAGGACTTGTATCTAGAATATATACAGAACTC
Organism: Homo sapiens; assembly: GCF_000001405.40. Lineage (NCBI taxonomy): Eukaryota > Metazoa > Chordata > Mammalia > Primates > Hominidae > Homo > Homo sapiens. The sequence continues at coordinate 2,151,107 of NC_000004.12, forward strand.
TCAAAACTTAATGATAAGAAAATAAGCAGTCCCTTTAAAATACGCAGAAGGTATGACTAGGTGCTTCACTGAAAAAGAAAAATGACTGGCAAATTAACACATGGAAGGACTCTCAGCAGTAGTGATCAGGGTAATGCAATGAAAACTGCAATGAGACACCACAAGACATCTAGCAGAATGGCTCAAATTAGAAAGACCGGCCAGATCAAATGCTGCTAGGAGTGTAAAAGAAGTAGAATTCATACACTGCTGGTAGGAATGTCAAATGGTAGAACCACTCTGGAAAAACAGTTTGGCAGTTGCTTAAAAAGTGAAATCTACACCTACTGTATGACTAGCTACTTGACTCTTTGGTATTTAACCAAGAGAAAAAAAAGTATCTATCCATGTAAGGACGTGCAGTCAATGTGTGTAGTTAATATCCCAAACTGAATAATATCCCCAAACTGGAAATGACCCAAATATTGATCAACAGGTGAACTCATAAACAAAGTGGGGTACACACAGTCCATGGAACACTACTGAGCAGTAAAAAGAAATGAGCTACTGAAACACAGAGCAACGTAGCTGAAGCTCATAGTAACAACGCTGTGAAAGGAGCCCGACAGGAGGAGTCCATGCTGTGTGGCTCCATTCACAGAGGTTTCCAGAAACTGCAAACGAATCGATAGTGGCAAACAGCAAGTCAGTGGTGGCCAAGGACATGGGTAAAAGATGAGGAGTGGGGAGGGAGATATTACAAAGAGACACAAGGATACTTTTGCACAACTGGTAGCAATGACTCTTTTTTCCTTCTTTTTTTATTTCCATATAAAGGACCAGAAGCAATAACTTTCTCTTAGGAGGGGGTGTGTGTGAGAAAATTAGCTTTCTGAAAATACTGAGAACCAGCTATAACCTAAACCTAATTTTCTTTTTTCTTTCTTTCTTCTTTTTTTTTTTTTGAGGTGGGATCTCACTCTGTCACCAGGCTAGAGTGCAGTGGTATCATCTCAGCTCACTGTGACCTCCTCCTCTCGGGCTCAAGCAATCCTCCCACTTCAGCCTCTTGAGTAGCTGGGACCATAGGCGTGCACCACCATGCCCACCTAATCTAATTTTCTGTATTTTGGGTAGAGATGAGGTTTCACCATGTTGTCCAGCCTGGTCTCGAACTCCTGAGCTCAAGAGATCTGCCCACCTCAGCCTCCCAAAGTGCTAGGATTACAGACATGAGCCATTGCACCTGGCCTGATTTTTTTTTTTTTTTTTAGGAGACAAGGTCTTGCTCTGTCACCTAGGGTGAAGTGCTGTGATGCGATCACAACTCACTGCAGCCTCAAACTCCTGGGCTCAAGTGATCCTCCTGCCTCAGCCTCCCAATTAGCTACCATGCTCAGCTAATTTAAAGCATCTTAAAATTTATGTAGAGATGGGGTCTTGCTATGCTGCCCAGGCTAATAATCTGATTTTTAAAAATATTAGTCAACTGTATTTTGTGCACTTTAAGCAAAAAAAAAAAAGTAACTGAAATTCTAGCCATTTTATGGCATTATCATGTAACCTACATAGTATTTTCTTAAATAGTGTGCAGCTGGATTCAAGTTTTATGTGTAAAAAAATGGAAGCACAAATGTTCTATCAGAAAACAGAGGTGAGTATTTAAATAATCTTGGAGCTGAGGACAGCCTGTCTAAGATGACACTAAGACAGAAACAATGAGGGATGTCAGTACAGGGGAAAGTCACCATAGAGAGTGGAGAAAGCTCTGCCACACATTGCTCAGGGCAGAGACAGGCTGAAAGCATTTTGGAAGGCAATCTAATAAAAGCTATTAAAAGTAAAAATGTAATATCCTCTGTACCCAGTACAGTAATTACTCAGTAATTTCATACCTGAAAATCTGTCCCACAAAAATACAAGTACCAATACAACAGGACATACGTGCATGGTGTTCATTGCAGCTTTACTTTTAGAGGGCAACTGTACAACACACCCACATGTGGAACACAAATAGCTAGAGTGGGACAGGCCTCTGTCAGGTGAGCTGCAGGGATCTCCACAAGCTGTTGCTGAGAGCAAAAAGCAAGAGGCAGGAAAGGAAAATTCTAAATCTGTAAAATAAATAATGACAAAGTACATGTCTCTATGTGTATATGTACAGATATATATGGGCCTATATGAGATTGCATAATAAGTCAGAAAGAAAATATGGATATACAAGCTCTAGGCTGCAATCATGGGCTACCAAGAGCACTGGGATTGAGGGTGGAGGGCTGAGGTATGTAGGTGTGAGAGAAGTGTCTACAATAAAAACAACATATATAATGTGATCCCACTTATGTAAATGTGTGTGTGCATAAAGAAGTAAATTAGAGGATGGTTACCAAAATGTTAAAGATGGCTATTGCGGGGATATGGAGTTTTGAGTGACTTTTTACTTTGTTACTTACATTTTTATCTATTGTTTGAATTCTTTAGAAATATCATGTTATTTGTATAATTTTTTTTTTTTTGAGATGGAGTCTCGCTCTGTCACCCAGGCTGGAGTGCAGTGGCGCCATCTCAGCTCACTGCAAGCTCTGCTCCCAGCTTCACACCATTCTCCTGCCTCAGCCTCCCAAGTAGCTGGGACCACAGGCGCCCACTACCACGCCCGGCTAATTTTTTTTGCATGTTTAGCAGAGACGGGGTTTCACTGTGTAAGCCAGAATGTTCTCGATCTCCTGACCTTGTGATCCACCCACCTCAGCCTCCCAGAGTGCTGGGATTACAGGTGTGAGCCACTGCACCCGGCTGTTATTTGTATAATTTTAAAAAGCCATTTTAAGGCCAGGCGCGGTGGCTCATACCTGCAATCCCAGCACTTTGGGAGGCCGAGGCGGGCGGATCACAAGGTCAGGAGATTGAGACCATCCTGGCTAACATGGTGAAACCCTATCTCTACTAAGAATACAAAAAAATTAGCCGGGCGTGGTGGCGGGTGCCTGTAGTCCTAGCTACTCGGGAGGCTGAGGCAGGAGAATGGCATGAACCAGTGAGGCAGAGCTTGCAGTGAGCTGAGATCACGCCACTGCACTCCAGCCTGGGCGACAGCGAGACTCCATCTCAACAAAAAAAAAAAAAAAAAAAAAAAAAAGACATTTTAAGTATGGCAAACCAGAATATATATCTTAAAAGTTAAAAGGCAAAAGAAAATTGGAGGAAAATAATTCAACATTTCATAAAGGGTTAATTTTTATTATATAAAGAGCTTTTCCATACCAATAGGAAAAAATAAACACCCTCCAGAGAAATGGGCAAATGACATGAACAGGCAATTCAAAGAAGAATAATTGTTTCATGTAGTCAACCTCAACAAATATTTAAAGAAATGGAAATTGAAAAAATGAGTCAGGAAAGTAATCAAAACGAAAATTCCTTGTGTTGGCAAGGATTAAGGGACCAAGCATTTCACATACTATGTGGTGGGAATGTTATTTTTGGCGAGAGGCTAATTTGGCAACATAAAGCCTTAAAAATACATATATACTGTGACTCAGAAATTCTATCTCTAGGAAATTGCACTATAGAAATCAACAGAAAAAAGTACCAAAAATGTTCATGGTATTGGTTATGGTATTGCTATTGAAGTTTGTATGGTATTGCTATGATAAAGTACAGGTATGTTTATGGTATTTCTATAAAATAATTAAAACTGCAAACAATCTAAATGACCATCAATAGGGGCAGCCATTAAATGGAATACAATGCAGCTGTTAAAAAGATGACACAAACTTCCAGTTAAAGGTCATGGCTGAATGCACATGTTATGTTTACATCTCATCTTTCCAAAAGTTCAACTGAAATAACAGAAAAATAAATAGGTAAAATTAGAGCTTCACTGAGAACCTGGGAGGAGTGCTACTCACAAACCAGACCCTTCAGAAACTTCTGGAAGAGAATAAAACACAGCAAGAGATTTACTGAAAATGTAATGGAAAAAGAAACTTATAACTGCATAAAAACAAAAGCAAGGACCTCCACGAAAAGTTTCTCAGCAGAATTCCTAAATAACTCTTAGATAAGAAGTATCAACTAAGAGAAACTACAGCAGTTGTGGTTGGTTGAGAAATTAGCCCAAGGGTAACGTGGCAGCAGTGCCTGCATTCAGAGGAGATGGCACTGGTATTCACATGGATATTGGTGCTGGTATTGGTATTCACATTACTATTGCTATTACTACCACTCTTCGCTAGATAAAGACCCCAGAAGAGCTCCCTAAAGTGCAAGGCCAGAGACAGCTGGCAGCCCGAGAGCTGACTGACCAAGAGTGGGTGTCCATGCACCCAAGAGGCCACACGATTAGCGCAAACTCACCCCATCCCAGCCTCTCTTCCTCTTCCTCACACAGTCACCTGAGTGTGTCCCTCTGCCTGCATGCACTCGGTACACCATCTATGCAAATGCCTGGGTGAAGGCCTGACCCTTAATGGAGGGAACCCACGGGACAGACACATGTTACGGAGGGAAGGGAAAGATGACTAACATTTGCTCATTCTGTAAACCTCCACATACTTGTATTTCTTTACCATGAATACATATTCATATTTATATATATATGTTAGTGTGTACTTAAATAATTCACATATTTAATTCATATATTTAAATTTAAATATAGATTCAAATCAATATTAATGTAGAATGATATCAAGAGATGTTAAAATAAGAAAGCATAATATAAAATAGCATGGCTTTATTTTTGTAGAAAAAAATTGTATTTTTTTTTTGACAGAGTCTCGCTCTGTCACCCAGGCTGGAGTGCAGTGGCGTTATCTCGGCTCACTGCAAGCTCCGCCTCCTGGGTTCACACCATTTTCCTGCCTCAGCCTCCCTAGTACCTGAGACTACAGGCACCCGCCACCACGCCCAGCTAATTTTTGTGTTTTTAGTAGAGACGGGGTTTCACCATATTGGCCAGGCTGGTCTTGAACTCCTGACCTCATGATCCACCGCCTCGGCCTCCCAAAGTGCTGGGATTACAGGCATGAGCCACCGCGCCTGGCCTAAAAAATTGTATTTTATAAATATATGTGCTTAGCAAAAAGTGTGGAAAGATAGATACCACAGTTCTGCACAGTGGATAACAAGTGACTTATTACTATTTTTATTTCTTTTCTGTATCTAAGGAATTTTCTATAATGAGAAATTAATCATGAGTCTTTTTTAGTTCAAAATACAGAGCCATTTAGAAAGTTAAGTGCTTTAAGTGTGATGCAAGCTGCATCATAAGTTCAAGGGAATTTAGAGCTTTTTTTTTTTTTTTCTTCATCAGAGATACAGCTTCAACAACCACCAAAAAATGGAGCTGTTCATCATAGCATCAGATACTTCAACACATTTCTGGAAATCAGAAGCCACCTGTCTGGCACAAATCTGAAAAGGAAGATGGGGTACGGGTGTCCTTTTTGCCTGCACACTGGAGTGCATGGGTTTCTGGGTGTGAAGCCCCCCTCTTGCTAACTCAGCACTTCATGAGAAGAGAACCCATCTGTCTTGTTCTCCTGCTATGTTCTCAGAATAAACAGAATAAAACACAACATATCAGTATGAAGTCCCCTCTTGGAAACAGAAAGTGCACAGGCAAACACATATGGAGAAAAAACTTCAATAGCAAGGCAGGAAAATGGCGTTTAACAAAGACAGTTGTTTAAACAACTTACAGGATGCTTGGCTGAAAGTCTTCCAGTCACAGTTCCAGTCTGATTCCATGTAGAGGAAATGGAGCCCTTTATTAGTTAAAAAGAATCAGTGTAAACTCCAGCAATGCTATGTGAAGTTAAGAATGTGGCGGAGCCTCCACTCACAACATGCAACACTCGCTGCTCCTCCAGAGGCCAACAAGCTGCTGGCCCTAAACTTCCAACCCTGAAATGTCCTTGGGGTTACAAAACTCCTGACACGTGATCAGGGAAGGCTGAAGAAGGAGGTTTCCCCCTAACCCATGTAGGAACTGCCATAAGACTTTATGTCACTTACAAATCCCATGCATGGGGAGAGGAAGGGCTGTTGGGCTGTGGGGAGCTTGGTGCGGGCTCGAGGTGGGACTGTGCGTCACAGACAGGTTCTGTCACTTGCTGTGTGAACTTGAACGAGTCACAGAACATCTCTTGACTGCAGTCTCCTCAAGTCTGAACTAAAACAGTAACATCTTCCTCAAATGAGTCCAGAACAGAGATGCAATCGTGGATGTGAAAGCAGGTCAGCTAGAGCTTCCTCATAAACAGAGGGTTTCAAGGCATAACATCAACCTATGCTGCCAGGGGACCTAAATGATGCCAATATCATGGCTCATAGTTTCAAGAATATTAGATTATTTCGGCTGGGTGAGGTAGCTCACGCCTGTAATCCCAACACTTTGGGAGGCCGAGGCAGGCAGATCACGACGTAAGAGTTTGAGACCAGCCTGGCCAACATAGTGAAACCCTGTCTACTAAAAATAGCAAAAATTAGCTGGGCGTGGTGGCGGACACCTGTAATCCCAGCTACTTGGGAGGCTGAGGCATGAGAATTGCTTGGAGCCGGGAGGCAGAGGTTGCAGTGAGCTGAGATCCTGACACTGCACTCCAGCCCGGGCGACAGTGCAAGACTCTGTCTCAAAAAAAAAAAAAAAAAAAAAAAAGAATATTTAGACGATTTCATCATTTACTAAAATTACAAAGGTTCTATATGTATCTGAACTCATACAAAAACCACAGTCCTAATCACAGTATCTTTTTGTAAAGCTTGTTACCTTTTTCATGCAAGCTAGTAATCCATCTACAAAGGTTGACTTGATCTTGTGAACCTAAGGTGGAAAGACAAGAATAATCATTTTCTTTAAGTCTTAAGTCTTTTTTTGTGGGGGGAAGGAGTCTCGCTCCATTGCCCAGGCTGGAGTGCAGTGGCGTGATCTCGGCTTGCCGCAACTTCTGCCTCCTGGGGTCAAGTGATTCTCTTGCCTCAGTCTCCTGAGTAGCTGGGATTACAGGCATGCGCCACCATGCTCGGCTAAGTTTTATATTTTTAGTAGAGATGGGGTTTCGCCATGTTGGCCAGGCTGGTCTCGAACCTCTGACCTCAGGTGATCCGCCCACCTCAGCCTCCCACAGTGCTGGGATTACAGGTGTGAGCCACCATGCCCGGCCTAAGTCTTTAAACAGGAATAGTGTGAATAGTGTTTCACAGAGTGCCGGGCACGTGCTGCTACTATCACCTTAGATGACTCCGAGAGGCCCTGGAATGACCTTAGGTGGTACCAGGATTAAATAACACTGACCCACAGAGAAAGATGTCATTCCACTCTTTAAAAATAGATCTATTAATTCTAGAATCATTCTAGATTTACAGGAAATTTGCAAAGATAAACAGATAAACAAATACCCTGACACAGTGTCTCCTCTGGTGGCCCCTTTACATCGTTGCAGGGAGAAAGGGCCAGGCTGGAGCCAATGTGCTCCCTCACAGCTGCCAGGCCCTCAGGATACAGCAGGCCACAGGCTCAGTGAATACTAGGACCTATGCTGTGGGCAGTGGCAAAAGCTATAAACGTGGTTCACAACCAAAAGAGAACTTTGGAAGGAAATGGCAGGTGTGTGAACAGAGAAAGGGAATCACCAGGGGAGGGAAGGGGGCCACTCATGAAATCCCTGGCAAATGTAAGTGCAAGATGACACAACACTACTACGGTATGGTCTTGGCAGACCTAGAAGCCAGGGAGGGGTTGTGGGAGGCTTTGAGACTAGGTACTGCTGGGCGTCTCCTGCACACCGACGACACACAGCCGTGGCATGCCACCTACTTCCGATTCCTCATTGTCTTCTTCCATTTTGACTCCTGGGGTTCACGAGTGGGGCTGATTGCAGACTTCGGTAAAATCACATGGGGTACAAGTAAACAGTGCCAGTACAAGGTTAACCTGACAAAACTCTATTCCCCTGAGAACACTGGGAGGGCTACTTCAGCCATTATGGATTTGTGTTGACAGACACAGGGCCATATGGTTCCCCCTCATCACCTTTTACCTTTTACGTACAAAAAAATTAACTTACCTGCCTGTATTCCAAAATTATCTTGGGTAATGGATGAAGGTCTCGCAGAGCATTTAACTAAACATGAAAATAGATACTACCAATGTAATTCGTCCATTTTAACATTTTAAACACGTATTTTCATCTGGAGAAAGTCCTCATAATAAATGGTCTAATTGAGCATATTTTCCAAAATAAAGATGCATAATAAACTCAAGTTTATCAAGTGTCTTAATCCTAACCCCTTACAAAACCATTCTGATGTCTACATGGGCACTAAAAACACCTCAGTTAAGCTTGGAAATAAGATTCCTCTTGAGATTTAAGTTAGCGAAATCTAAATCCAGGGTAGGTAAAATAACATGTCAGTGCCTACAAACGTATAGCTCGATAACTGCATAATTTCAGGGAGGGAGTAATGGATTACGAGTTTAAAAATTAACTTTAAGAATCAAAATATAACATACCTATAGGAAAGTGCAAGAGAGTAAGAAAAGTTTGTTAATTATCACAAAGTGAGCACAGTTGTTAACCACCACCCACAGCGAGCGACGAAACATTCCAATCTCCCCAGTAGGTACTGGCTCCTTCCCCAGAGCTAACCACCACCTGGACTTCTACCACAGGTTACCTGTTTCCTGTCGTTGGTCCAATATCATTTTTTGGGGTTCATCAACATATGAAGCAGTATTTCATTTATTTGCACGGCTGTGTAGTATTCAAGTGCATGAATGTAGAACATTACCCATTCCACCTTTGATGGATATGTGTTTTTTTCCACCTTAGGGCTATTATGAATAATGCTGGTACAGAGATTTTTGTTAATGTATGTTCACAGTTCTGTGGAATACATACATGAAGAAGGGTGAAACTGCTGCATCAACTTTAGCAGAGATACTGCCAGTTCTCCAAAGTAAACATACCTGTTTATACCCCTTTCAGCAAAACATAAACATTCAAGCTGATCCACATTTTTGCCAATGTATGTCATCACTGGTGTTAATTTTAGCTGTTCTGGTAAATGAGAAGTGATCTCTCACTGTAGTTTTAGTTTGTTATCTCCCCAGTGACTAACGCTGTTGGACACTATTCATATATTTGACTAATTGTATATCTTCTTTCATTAAGCCCCTGTTCGTGTCTTTTGCTTAGTTAAAAAATTGATTTGTGTGTCTTTTTCTCCTTGGGTTGTAGAAATTTGTTATTCTGGACAGTTTTTTGGTCTGTTATATTTATTGGAAATATCTTCTCTCCTTCTGTGGCTAGCTTTTTTAACTTTTAATTTTTTTTTTACATAAGGTCTTGCTCTGTTCCCCGGGCTGGAGTGAAGTCGTGCAATCATAACTCACTGCAACCTTAAACTCCTGGGTTCAAGTGATCCTCCCCTACCTCAGCCTCCCAAGTAGCTGGACTACAGGTGCACACAACCATGTCTGGCTAATTTTTTAAATTTTTGGCAGAGATGAGGTCTCGCCATGTTGCCCAGGCTGGTCTTAAACTCCTGGCCTCAAGTGATCCTCCCGCCTTGGCCTCCCAAGGTGTTGGTATTACAAGCATGAGCCACAGTACCTGGCTTTTTCACTTATTTAATGATGTCTTTTCATAATTAGAGATTTTTAATTTGATTGTTGTCCTGTTTATCAAGTTTTCCCTTTATGGTTGATGCATTTGCTGTCCTACATATGAATGTTTACCTACCTCAAGGCCTTAAAGATGTCCTCTTGTTATATTTTCTCCAATCTTTACTATTTTGCTTTTGATATTTAGATACACAATTCACCTGGAATTTATGTTTGTGTGCTGCATGAAATGGGGGTCAAGATGCACTGGCCCTTTATGTAACAAGCCCTCCTTACTTAATGCTTTGCAGTGATGCCCTGTGAGACACACTCTCTCTCCCTCTCTTTCTTTTTGAGACAGGGTCTCTGTCACCCAGGCTCGAGTGCAGTGGTACTGAGAGGTGACACCGCGCTGGCACTCCTCACAGCCCTCCCTCGCTCTCGGCGCCTCCTCTGCCTGGGCTCCCACTTTGGCGGCACTTGAGGAGCCCTTCAGCCCACCGCCACACTGTGGGAGCCCCTTTCTGGGCTGGCCAAGGCGGGAGCCGGCTCCCTCAGCTTGCAGGGAGGTGTGGCGGGAGAGGCACGAGCGGGAACCGGGGCTGCGCGGGGCGCTTGCAGGCCAGCTGGAGTTCAGGGTGGGCGTGGGCTTGGCAGGCCCTGCACTCGGAGCAGCCAGCCGGCCCTGCTAGCCCGGGCAATGAGGGGCTTAGCACCCAGGCCAGCGGCTGCGGAGGGTGTACTGGGTCCCCCAGCAGTCAGCCCACCGGCGCTGCGCTCGATTTCTCACCCGGCCTTAGCTGCCTTCCATCAGGGTAGGGCTCGGGACCTGCAACCCGCCATGCCTTAGCCTCCCACCCCCTCCGTGGGCTCCTGTGCGGCTGGAGCCTCCCTGATGAGCGCCGCCCCCTGCTCCATGGCGCCCAGTCCCATCGACCACCCAAAGGCTGAGGAGTGCGGGCGCACGGCACCGGGACTGGCAGGCAGCTTCACCTGTAGCCCCTGTGCGAGATCCGCTGGGTGAAGCCAGCTGGGCTCCTGAGTCTGGTGGGGACGTGGAGCACCTTTATGTCTAGCTCAGGGGTTGTAAATACACCAATCGGCACTCTGTATCTAGCTCAAGGTTTGTAAATACACCAATCAGCACCCTGTGTCTAGCTCAGGGTTTGTGAATGCACCAATTGACGCTCTGTATCTAGCTACTCTGGTGGGGACTTGGAGAACCTTTGTGTGGACACTCTGTATCTAGCTAATCTGGTGGGGATATGGAGAACCTTTGTGTCTAGCTCAGGGATTGTAAATGCACCAATCAGCGCCCTGTCAAAACAGACCACTCAGCTCTACCAATCAGCAGGATGTGGATAGGGCCAGATAAGAGAATAAAAGCAGGCTGCCCGAGCCAGCAGCGGCAACCCGCTCCGGTCCCCTTCCACACTGTGGAAGCTTTGTTCTTTCCCTCTTTGCAATAAATTTTGCTACTGCTCACTCTTTGGGTCCACACTACTTTTATGAGCTGTAACACTCACTGCGAAGGTCTGCAGCTTCACTCCTGAAGCCAGCAAGACCACCAGCCCACTGGGAGGAATGAACAACTCCAGACGCGCCGCCTTAAGAGCTGTAACACTCACCGCGAAGGTCTGCAGTTTCACTCCTGAGCCAGCGAGACCACGAACCCACCAGAAGGAAGAAACTCCAAACACATCCGAACATCAGAAGGAACAAACTCCAGACGCGCCACCTTAAGAGCTATAACACTCACCGCGAGGGTCTGCGGCTTCATTCTTGAAGTCAGTGAGACCAAGAACCCACCAATTCCGGACACAGCACCATCTTGGCTCACTGCAACCTCCACCTCTGGGGCTCAAGCTATCCTCCTGCCTCAACCTCCAGAGTAGCTGGGACTACAGGTGCATGCCACCATGCCCAGCTAATTTTTTTGTTTTTTGTAGGGATGAGGTTTTGCCATGTTGCCCAGGCTGGTCTTGAACTCCTGGACTCAAGCAATCCTCCTGCCTTGGCCTCCCAAAGTGCTGGAATTACAGGCATGAGCCACCATGCCCGGCCCGATTTTATTTTTTTTTTACCTTTAAGCTCTGTTGGACTTGATGTTTGTGGATTTTCTATCTTGGTCCATTGGCCTATTTACTGACCCTCGAGTCAACACCACATGGTATTGCTTAATTAATTCCTAGTAATTCCTATTGCCTTATAAGTAGTCTTGATATTCAATAGACTATGTCCTTAAATAGTGATCCCCCGCGCCCAGATTATTTTGGCTCTTTTTAGTGTTTAGTATTTCCACAGAAATCTGAGAATCAATTTTTCAGTTCCTACCAAAAAAAAAAAAAAAAAAAAAAAACTCCTGCCAGGATTTTAATTAAAATTGTCTAGAATCTATAAATCCACTTGGGGGAGAACTGATTATATGATTTTGATGTAATAGGTGAACCATTAAATCATAGTGCTCTCTGAATAAAGACTGAGAACACAAGAGTTGTGGCCATAAAACATTAACAGTGGGCGGTATCTTGCCTCAGTATAATCCAGAATTGCAGTTTTTGTAGAAAAGCTATCCCTAGGTGGGTGAAAGTGCATGGAAATACTTAGCCAAGAAAACAGCTTAAGATCTTCTAACTCTCCTTATCTTGATGACTTACTCACAAAATAACTTTCTAACCAATAGTCTCCCAGTATATCTTGACTTGAGCAGCCTGAGAACACTGCTCGCACTAACCGTGTACAGAGCACTGAGTGCTGGCTGAGGGCCAGAGGTGGAGCGCCATCAGCCACCATGGCTCCGCGGGCTCACCCGCGCTCTGCGCCGGCTGCAGACACCACATTCGTCTGACCTCCCTTCTCACTCATTTCCCGCTGGTGCCTCTTCTCTCACTGACCTTTAAAGATCAGTTTCTCGGAGTTTAACTCTGTGGTTATCTATGCTGGCTGCGTATCGCAATCAACAGGGAGCTTCAAAAGCAGGCCCATGACTAGGCTCCCCCGCCCAATTCTGACTCGTGGGATCAGCTGTGGGCCTGGGCATCCGTGTTTTCCAAATCTCCGGGCAGGGCAGAGGACCATTATCCCAGGGCGACTTTAGTAAAAATCAGCTGGCAGCTTCCAAGTGTGGATTCCCAGCATGGGACTTGTCTTGAGCCCCGTCCCACAGGCCCAACTGCTGTTTTGTGATACGGCACATCAATGTGTCATATGCACTTCTGTCCTAACATATCCAAGGCTGAACACTGGACCTCCCCCTCCATAAACAGTTCCTGTTCCAGTTTTCCCTGAGTAGTGGCTGTATCTATTTGCCCAAGTGCACAACTCAGAAAACTCAAAACTACTCCACATGCTGACTTCTGTTCACACTCACATGAACTTATCACAAGGTCCTTTCTGTTCTAAAAATCCTCTAAAAATCCATCTGCTTTCCATCTGCTTTGCTCCATTTTCATTGCCATGACCTGGACTGCAGTGACAGCCTACTAATGAGTATCCCCCATTCTCCAACCAGCTAAAAGAGTGATCTTGGCTGGGCATGGTGGCTCACACATGTAATCCCAGCACTTTGGGAGGCAGAGGTGGGCAGATCGCCTGAGGTCAGGAGTTGGAGACCAGCCTGACCAACATGGAGAAACTCTGTCTCTACTAAAAATACAAAATTAGCCAGGCGTGGTGGTGCATGCCTATTATCCCAGCTACTAAGGAGGCTGAGGCAGGAGAATTGCTTGAACCCGGGAGGTGGAGGTTGCCGTGAGTTGCTATCACACCATTGCTCTCCAGCCTGGGCAACAAGAGTGAAACTCTGTCTCAAAAAAAAAAAAAAAAAAAGGCTGGGTGTGGTGGCTCACGCCTGTAATCCCAGCACTTTGGGAGGCCAAGGTGGGTGGATTACCTGAGGTCAGGAGTTTGAGACCAGCCTGGCCAACATGGTGAAATCCCATCTCTACTAAAAATACAAAAATTAGCCAGGCCTGGTGGTACACACCTGTAGTCCCAACTACTCGGGAGGCTGAGGCAGGAGAATTGCTTGAGCCTGGGAGGTGGACGTTGCAGGGAGCTGAGATCATGCCACTGCACTCCAACCTGGCCGATGGAGCAAGACTCTGTCTCAAAAAAAAAAAAAAAAAAAAAAAAAAAAAAAAAAAAAAAAGAGTGATCTTATAAAAACATACCCAACACCTATTAGAATGGTGAAAATCCAGAACACCAACACCACCAAGTGCTGGCAAGGATGTGGAGCAACAGGAACTCTCATTCATTGTTGAACTCTCATTCATTGTTGGTGGGAATGCAAAATGGTGCAGCTACCCAGGAAGACAGTTTGGCGGTTTCTTACAAAACTAAATGTACTCTTATCATTTCATCCAGCAATCATACTCTTTGGTGCTTGCCCAGATAAGCTGAAAATTTATGTCCACCTAAAAACCTACACACAGATATTTATCTCCGCTTTATTTGTAATTGCCAAAACTTGGAAACAACCAAGATGTTCTTCGTAGGTAAATGGAAAATAAACTGTGATACATCCACGCAATGGAATATTATTCACTGCTGAAAAGAAATGAACTATCAGGCTGTGAAAAGACATGGAAGAAACTTAAGTGCCTACCACTAAGTGAAATAAGTCAATCCGAAAAGGCTACATACTGTGATTCCAATTTTATAACATTCTGGAAAAGGCAAAACTGTGGAAACAGTAAAAAGCACAGTGGCTGTCAGGGGCTGGTGGGAGGGAGGGAGGAATAGGCAGAGCACAGGATTTTTAGGGCAGTGGCGCTGCTCTGTATGATGCTGTAATGGTAGATGTATGTCATCATACATTTGTCTAAACCTACAGAATGTCTAACACCAAGAGTGAACCCTACACCCAAGAGCAGTCCAAGAGTATATTGTGTAACTACGGACTCTGGGCGATAACGATGTATCAGTGTGGGTTCACTGACTGTAACGATGGTACCATTCTGTCGAGGATGTTGATAGAGGGGGAGCCTGTACATGTGTGTACAGAACAGCGAGTACAGAACAGGGAGTATGGGAACTCTCTGTACTTTCTGCTCAATTTTACTGTGAACCTAAAACTAAAAAATAGTCTTTTTTTTTTTGAGACAGTGTCTCACTCTGTTGCACAGAATGGAGGGCAGTGGTATAATCACTGCTCAGTGCAGCCTTGAACTACTGAGCTCAAGTGATCCTGCCACCTCAGCCTCACGAATAGCTGGGACTACCAGTGTGCACCACCATACCTGGCTAATTTTTAAATTTTTTGTAGAGAAATGGTCTCACTATGTTGCCCAGGCTGGTCTTGAACTCCTGGCCTCAAGTGATCCTCCTGCCTCAGCCTCCCAACGTGCTGGGATTATAGGTGTGAGCCACCATACATGGCCATTAAAGTCTATTTTTAAAAAATCTAAGATCATAGTTGCTCCCTTACTTAAACAATTCCAAGGCTACCCATTTTTCTAAAAATCTACATTCCTCCCCATGGCCTACAAAGCACAGCAGAATTGGGTCCTTGTTCACCTCAACCCCATCCCTCCCATTCTTCTCAGTCACAAGGCTCCAGCCTCAGCCCCTGAGCAGCCTGAGCCTTTTCCCATTGCAAGGCCTTGTTCTTATTCCTTGCATAGGCACTTCCTGATCTTCGAGCTTCAGCTTACACATAACTCCTTAGCGTTCTCTCTGGACCACTCAGTCTGGAGTGTGTCACTCTCCCTGTTATTACCTTAATGGCTCTTATCCTGCTGGATGGTTCTTATAATATCTAATTTTAGGTGTCAACTTGACTGGGTTATGAGATAATGAGACAGCTGGTAAAGCATTATTTCCGGGTGTGTCTGTGCGAGTGTTTCCAGAGGAGGCTGGCATGTGGGTTGGTGGACTGAGCAGGGAAGACCTGCGTCAATGTGGGCAGGGACTATCCAATCAGCTAGGGGCCCAGTTAGAATGAAAAACAGAGGAAAGGTGAATTCACTCACTCTTCTGGATCTGGGACACCCTTCTCCTACCTTTGGACACCAGAATTCCAGACTCTCCCGTGTTTGGACTCTAGTACACACACTGGCGACACTCAGCCTTGGACTCAGAGTTACACCGTCAGCTTCCCTGTCCCAAGGCTTTCAGGCTTGGACTGAGCCACACTATCAGCTTCCCTGGGTCTCCAGCTTGAAGAAGGCCTATCGTGGGACTTCACAGCACCCCCAACTGCGTGAACCAATGTCCCTAACAAATCCCCTCTCATATACCTATTATCTGTATCTATATCTGCATATATCCTACCGGTTCTATTTCTCTAGAGAACCCTGTTACAGTTCCTCGCTGGAATAGATATTCCATGATGATAAAGACCTTTTCCCCACTAAACCATCAACGGTGTCTAACACAGAGCCAGGGCCACAATAGTGTTTGCTGAATAAAACAGGAAGGGCATCTGTCCTGCTCACGGCTGTATCCCACATACTGGATGCCCAGCAGTGGGTCAGTGCACACACATGACCTGGAGACCCCATCACTTCAGTTAGTCAAGGGGTCGCAGAAGCAACTCCCAGAAATGATGAGTGGCTGGTCCAGGAATCCTGACCCCAAGGCTGGACCATCTTCCCAGAGTTTGAACTCCTTATGATGTTCTGAGAACATGTGACTTCACTGCAGAAAAAAAACACCAAAGCTTCCTTCAGTTCGTTAGGGAGGGACCCTTGTTTCCCACTCATCATGTGCCTGCTGAGGGGAGGGAATTCCCACTATACCCCAGCAGGAGTGAGTGGACCAGCTAGGTACCACAGGACTCTAAACTACACTGCACAGGTACAAGGGGACATGTGTTCTTCAGCCCACGAGGAGCATCTGAGAACCCTGAGGTGAGTGTCAAAGAACTGACATTGCATAGACTGTGTTCTCTTATCACACTTCATTTAATTTAGAAATCAAGGCCAGGCATGGTGACTCATGCCTGTAATCCTAGCACTTTGGGAGGCCGAGGTGGGCAGGTCACCTGAGGTCAGGAGTTTGAGACCAGCCTGGCCAACATGGGGAAACACCATCTCTACTGAAAGTACAAAAATTAGCTGGGTGTGGTGGCAGGTGCATATAGTCCCAGCTACTCAGGAGGCTGAGGCAGGAGAATCGCTTGAACCTGGAAGGGGGAGGTTGCAGTGAGCTGAGATTACATCACTGCACTCCAGCCTGGGTGACAAGAGCAAGACTCTGTCTCAAAAAAAATTTTTTTTTTAGAAATCAATAACAAAAACTATCTGGGAATCCCCCACACATTTGGAAATGTTAAGACACACTTCCAGACAACTCGATGGTCAAAGAATTATAACAGAAATGAGAAAATATGTAGAGTCAAACAATGAGAAAAAAATAATACGTCTCAAAACTTGAAGGGTTCATTAGTGACTTCTTGAGCATCCACTATGTCCCAGGCATTGTACTAAGCACTGGGAACATCCCAGGAACAAAAGAAAAGTCATGCACTGTTAGGGCTACATGTAGTTGGGGGAGCTGAGCAGCAGCAAATGTGTGTGTGACACAGGGGATACCATCAGCTGGTTTCCCCGACATCAAACATGGATTCATGGAGGAAAAGGGCAGGGAGGGGACAGGCGCTGGGGTGAGAGGAGCCACAACGCTCACCAAGGCCTCCAGGAAGGGGAAAGGGAGGATGGAGAGAAGTCATGAGAAGAAATCTGAATCTTGAATTTGGCCACATACCTGGCACAAGCCAATCTTTTCACATGCATGAATGAGCAACTTGACTTCCTCAGTTAAATCAAAGAGTGAGGCTAATATGATTTATGCTCATCATGTCTTTATGGGAGAAAAATGAGCTCCTCGTGAAAGCTGTTGTCTTAACAAGAGAGCACATCGGCACCAGAAGAGAGTGATGCGTCCTTTCTTGCACTGTTGGTTGTCTGGAGAGGGAAGGGAGTTGCAAAGGGAAGGGCAACAGTGCCAGCTGGTGCCAGGACAGAGGTGAGCTCAGGTGCAGGTGCGGGATGCTCCCTGCTGGAGCTCTGGGGCATGCTGCCCATGTCCACTGTGTGGTGTTGAGACCCAAGCCTTAGTCTCCACAGCAAGACAGATGCTGCTTCCAGGAACCATCTTATATGACCCAGTGCTCCACGAACACACCACAGATGCTGAGTTCAGCACCAGGAGCTGGTTTGGTTCTGGGAACAAACTGAAGTCTTTGATCTGCACAACCTACATTCTAATGGAAAAGCAAACACACACCTAAGATAAACTTTAGGTAGTGGTGAGTTGTGTGCAGAAAATAACTCAAGGTGAAGAAACAGCTGTGACTTGGGGCCTTACTGTAGTCTGGGTGACCAGAGGTCTCCTGAACACAATGTTTAAGCTGACAATCAGAAGCAAGCAGGAAAAATTTGTGGCACGAGTCTGGGGACAGAGAAGGAGCTGGCGCACAGAGCTGCAGGCAGCTCAGCAGGCGCTGGAGTGGGGGGAGAGAGGAGGTGCCGGGCCAGGAAGGCACAGCCAGAGCACGGGCCTGGGGATACGCTCTGCAGCTCAGATTTGATGCTAAGTGCAATAGAAGCTACTGGAAGTCCTAGGGCAGTAACGTGACTTTTCCAATGCTTTTAAAGGATCACTCTAGGTGTGAAGGATGAGCAGCAGGGGCAAGAATGGTTGGAGGGATCTAAGTGAGAAAGGTCTATGGTAGAGACGGGGGAATGGGGAAAAGGAGGCATGCTCAGGACCTATTTTGTGGGTAGAGACCTTGACACTCACTGTGAGAGGAGGCGGAAGGAAAGTCAAGGACGACTCACAGGACTTTTCTCAGAATGGCCGATGCTTACTGGTCTTTTGAGAGCTTTTACGTCTGGCACGGTCCTAAGTGCTGTTTCACACAGACACATGGACACACACACACGCACACACACTGAAGCCTTACAAGATTCCAGTAGGGAAAGTACTATTATTATTTTTCTTTTATAGATCAGGAAACTGAGGCACAGAGCAGTCGAGCAATGTTTTCATGTTGTCCAAACCATGCTGGCCAGTGATGGCTGACCCCACTGCCCTTGTTCTTACTTACTACTCTGTACTGGCTCCCAAGGACCTGGAAGGAGGACGGGCCCTTCACTAAGGTGGAGAAAGCTTGAAGAAGAAGAGGATTTGGAAGAGGGCAGTTTCAAGTCCCTCCAGTGGAGCATCCTCTGTGGGAGTCCATTATTCACCCAGTAACTGTCCATTAAACCAGCAAAGGCCAAGTGCAGGCACAGTCAACGAGCTCAGGCTCCTTGAGGGCCTGTACTCTAAGACACCCTCACAGGGCGGAGACTGGAGGAACGTGGTGCTGGAGAGGGAATAGGGCCAGAGGAGACATCTTAGAAGGAAACCTTCCTCTGTTACAAAGTCGAATGCTGGACAGAGCACAGAAAGCACAAACTGGAGCCTCAGAAGCTGGTTCTCACCACAGTAACCAATATTCACAATAACATGAATTCACTTATTTACTGACTTCCACTCTGTGTCTTTTCAGTAAAAGCACTCACTGTCTTCTGAATATCGATCTATACTCTCCCACTCCAACACAGCACAATCTCACTACTCCTTGTCTTCAAAAAAAATTGATTCCTCTCAAGAGAGGGGTAGGTAAAATTCTCTAAAATAAATCTGAGGAAAGGAGAAGACTGATGACCCGTTTCTAGTTCCTCTTGGGGACACGAAGCAAAGAGGTTGTGACTGGATTGTCAAGAAATTGGTTTTAAGAACAAAACTCCACCAAATTATGCTTTTCAGGAAGTCAAGCCAATTAACTGCTTCTGCAAAAGTGTACTGTCTGCCTCTCTCCCTTGGTCCATAGCGAGAAAAGCAACCTTGGTGTGGGGAGCCCCTCTTCTGCAGAAACTGCTGCCAGCATGAGGGGACGGCCTGAGAGTCTCGGGTGGGTCTGAAGGTCAGCACACATGTGGTGCAGACATGCTGTCATTCTAAAAAGAAAAAGGATAACTCTGAAACCTTACCACTGCTTCTGATGTAGACGGGTATTTCTGCAACCCCGTTCTGGGGAGACTGTTCCTTTGACTCAGCAGGTGCAGCTTTAACTTGCCAAAGAGGATCTTCAACAAAACAAATTAAACATGGTGAGGGAATCTCACATTTGAGAGAAACAGAACATTACTATAGCAGAGCCCATGCCAACAGCCAGAGAAGACACACCCAAACAGACATTACAACATGCTTAAATTCTCATTTAGTACTTTTCTACAAGTTAAAGGCTTTGAAGTAATGAATCTCAATGTGTTCATTACTTGTGAGAGAACATGAAAAACTTACTTTTCAGATAGTTGACATAAAATAATACTTATAAATTCAAAATAAATCTCCCTTTAACTCCTGAATAAGAAATACATTTTATGAAAGAACCAAAATTCAGCTTTACCTCTCGAAGCTGGTTATTGCTCGTTATAAGAAACCGTTCTCCTGCAACAAAATGAGCTTCTTGCTCCAATTCCTTGAGACGAGCCTGAAAATATGATACACACAATTAATTTCATTCATAGTTTTCACAATTTAAGATTGTTTAATTTGTTCATCAAACAATTCTCAACAGCGAGATGGGCACGGTGGCTTATGCCTGTGATACCAGCCCTTTGGGAGGCTGAGGCAGGAGGATCACTTGAGACCAGGAGTTTGAGACCAGCCTGGGCAACATAGTGCGACCCCACCACTAAAAAAAAAAAAAAAAAAAAAAAATTAGCCAGGCATGGTGGTACACACCTGTGGTCCTAGCTGCTTGGGAGGCTGAGGTGGGAGGATTGTATGAACCCGAGGGTTCAAGGTTGCAGTGAGTTATAACTGTGCCATTGCACTGCAGCCTGTGTGACAGTGAGACACTGTCTCAACAAACAAACACATACACACAAAATTCCCAAAGAAAGCTCTTAAAAGAGTAATAAATAACCTATAATTTATCAAAATAAGCATAAAAATACACACTTTGGCCAGGCACGGTGGTTCACACCGGTGATCCCAGCACTTTGGGAGGCCGAGGCAGGTGGGTGTCTTGAGCCCAGGAGTTTGAGCCCAGCCTGGGCAACATAGTGAGACCTCATCTCTACAAAAAAATAAAAATAAAAATAAACATATTTTGCCTCATGGTGAAATACCTAGGCTCATAGAAGCATCCTCCCCCAAAGGTAAGAAAACAAACTTAAAGTAGTAAAAATAATGGGAAAGAAAGAATCAATTCTCCAACAATATTAAGACTAGAAAAGGGATCCAACATCACATAGAACAAGACAGAGGTAGAAAGTATAGGAAACAGGCTTGTATCCAGAATACATCAGGATATCCTATACATCAGTAAGAAAAAATATAAAAATGGGCAAAAGACTTGAGCAGATCCTTTACAAAAAGAAATTCCTAAAAGCTAATGATGCTATGAAAAGCTAATCGATCCCACTAATGTGAAATGTGACATACAAAAATGATATCACTCTGGTCCAGAGCTCTAAAGTAGAGTCAGGGAGCCATTCTAAGGACTGCCTGCATGACCTGAAATGCTGAAAAACAAAAACAAAAACAAAAAACAGGAACTTGAATTGAACCTCTGAACTGGGCTCAACTGCAATGACCACAACATCCTGGAAAACAGCTAGATTTTGCCAGTGCTGCACCTTCTGAAGAGCGACAACCAATGAGCTCAACGGACTCATGTACTAAGCCAACCGCCTCCAACAATGATAATTCTTTCACAACAACTGTGTATTCGCCCTTAGCTTCCTTTTAAAAATCTCAACTCCCCTTCCTCTCTTCAGAACACTTATTGGCCTTTAGCTGAACCTGTGTCTCCTGAATTGCAGTTTCTAAGACCCCAGGAATGCCTTGTCTAACTGCTTTGCAGTCTGCTCTTTCACCTCTTCTTGGTTGACATTAGTAATCAGGAAAATAGAAACAAAACTCATAATGAGATATCATTATAGCCTCACCAAAATGGCTACAATGTAAAAGTCTGATGCACCCAGGGGAAGTGAGGATGTGCAAGAATGGGATCCCGTATGCATTCTCATGGGTGAGACTCTGGGAAGCCATTGGGCATTATTGAATAAAACTAAGCAACAGCTTCCCTGTGTCCCAGCAGCACTAGTCACCTCACAGCCCACAGAAACCTGTGCCCACAGGCACAGGGAATGCACTCAGAGGTACAGCGTGGTTTGTAACGACTGCCACTTGGAAACAACCACACGCCTATCGGCAGTGGGACAGAGACACCAAGGGCAGCACAGTCCACAGCGGGAAACTCCACAGCACTGAGTGACACACAGAAACACAGGTGGAGCTGAGATGTAGAAGGCTGGGTAAAAGGCCACACGTAAGTCACTGTTTACTTACAGTTCAAAAGCAAAGCTAAACTACATTGCTTAGGCTTTGAAGTGGGAAAGCTAGAAAGAAAAGCAACGATGAAAAGGCTACAAAAGTCAGGGTTGCAGTTACTTTTGGCAGCAAGAAAGGGGTTCTGATAGGGAAAGCACACAGGACTCTGGAAAGTCTGTGCTTTGAACCAGGTGATGGTTATATTGGGGTTTCCTTTAAACATTTTATTTTAAAGATGCTCCTGGCATGTGCTTTAGCCTTTTTAAAAATTTGTGCAGATGTATGAGGTACATGAGAAAATGTATTACGTGTATATAATGTGTGGTGGTCACGTCAGGGTATTCAGAGCACCCATCATTCAAGTTCAATACCTTTTTGTTAAGTACAGTCATCCTACGCTGCTATCAAACACTGAATTTATTTCTTTTATTTTACTGTATGTTTGCACCCTTTAGCCTGCTTCTCTTCATCTTTGCCCCGCCCCGCCACTGCTCACCCTTCCCAGTCTCTGTGTCTATTTTCCCACTCTCCACCTACATGTGTTTTCTTAAGAAAACTGAAGTAGAGCATTTTTAAGTATTTTTTCATGCATCTTTACACATCTCTGTATTTTTGTTTTTCAAGAAACCCAAGAATTCCTTCACCAAACTACAGGGGACAATGTCCCTGTAAGAAAAACGTAACTTTTGAGGAGGATCCTGAGGAGCCATTAAAGAACTCCCCGGACACACACGCACTAGATGCTGTTTAGGTCTTTTCAATGCTTGGTTCTCCCCTGCAGGCGTCAGAAAGAGGGAGAAACACTGTCAACACCAAACAAGGAAGAGAAGAAAAGGAGAATCTACTCTAGACCTGCCACTGGGAACAACTATCTCATGCAGGAAAGAGATGGCCAGTACAAACCATCTGGAATAATAACTTACCCCAAGAAGTGCTGACGTCTTCTCCATCTCCTCTTTGTTCACCTGAATGGCATGGCTTTCCATCACTGTGATTCGAAACCCAAACCAGATCATATTTGCATTAATGTATTCTTTTTACTAAAGACTAAAATGCTTCGCTCCCTGATGAGGACAATAATGACTGCAACTGCCATTTACTCAGCACCTGCTGCATGCCAACCTCTGCACAGGATCTGTCAGGATCCCTGTGTCATACAGGCAAATGGGCGCATTGACAGAGCTGGCCTTTGAGGTGGGAGTGGGCGAGGGGACCGCACTGGCCAGCCTGGCCCTTCCCACACTGTGAATGCCCCCTGGCTGACGTGGTGCCCATCAGGACCTGCGGTCAAAGGCAAAGGCAGAAGAGAGCCCTGCATCAGTTCTTGCAGGAAGGTTCTCAAGGTTATAAGGACAGCAAACCAGAATGAGAGACAACCACTAACACATAAAACATCTAGAGAAGCCTACTCCTCCTTGGCCAGGCAGCACAGAAGGGATCCCATATGACCAAGATGTCAGAACCTCGAGTCTTTCCACACCAAGAGGGAATGCAGTCCAACCCCTCACTACAGAAAGGGAAAATAATAGGCTTGCTACCTCTCTGGTGCCCATGAGATATACTATCTACTCCTAAGTAAGGTATGGAGAAATGTTCATCCCAAACAATATGAAGAACCCTCTAGAAAAATGGCTGTACTTCATCTTTATGGTAACTTACCTGCCAAAATTGGTATCAGAGGAAGCTCCAAAGTACGAAATAGTTGCCATAAACCATAATCCTGTTTAATAGGAAGAAATAACATCAACGTCAATTTAAATATTATTGTATCTGCATTTTGTTGAAAAGCCTACTTTTTTTTTTTTTTTTGAGACAGAGTCTTGCTCTGCTGCCCAGGTTGGAGTGCAGTGGCGTGATCTCAGCGCACTGCAACCTCCACCTCCAGGGTTCAAGTGATTCTCCTGTCTCAGCCTCTTGAGTAGGTAGGACTACAGGCACCCCCCACCATGCCAGGCTAATTTTAAAAATTTTTAGTAGAGACGGAGTTTCGCCATGTAGGCCAGGCTGGTTTTGAACTCCTGACCTCAAGTGATCTGCCCACCTTGGCCTCCCGAAGTGCTGGGATTACAGGCATGAGCCACCGCACCCAACCAAAAAGCCTAAATTTTGTCGAGCTAGAATTAAGGTGACCCCTATCATGGGCATGGCTGGTCTCCCACCCAACCTCGACTCCTCTTACTTGCTCTTCCTAATGAACTCTTATTTCCCTTAAGTAGGCTATTTTATTACCAAGATCTAGTAGAGATAGTTAGAAATATAGATAGGTTCAAGTCAAACATTGGAAGTGGAAAAAAAGAAATAAAAAGAAATTCTGATAGGCCAAGCCCCATCCTCAATTTTCTTCACTCTTTTTCATTTTTAAGATTGATTTAAGCATTTGTGGACTTTTAGTCTACCATTTTAATTTCAGAATAGGCTTACTGAATTCCCAAAATTTACCAATAATTCTCATTGATTTTTCACTGCCACTATGGATTAATTTGAGGAACATTAGAATCTTTATTCCAGGCCACCTCCCCTGAGAGCATGGAATCTCTATTTATCCGGGCCTTCCTGTGTTCTTCATGAGTCTCATTGTTTTTAGTTTTCCTGCTGCCATTAGAGAGTCCCAGGCTCCATCCTCCAACTCTTGCCCTCATGTTCTCTCCTGCCCCTCCAGACCCATTCTCTGCCCTGCCCTTGCCCATAAGGCGGGGCAGGCTCCTCCAGGTCACATCACCCGGGCCACTCCTCTGCTCTCAGATGGGGCATAGGGGGCAGGAGGGAGGGAAACAGGCTGAGCTACTGCCTGTCCCTGGAGCTTTCTCCTTCTGGCTGGTTCCCTTTGCCCTCCCTGGCCTCTGGACACAGTCCCTCCACTCAGCTCTTCTTGGTGGCTCATTGCAGTGGCTGTCTGCTTCCCAGGAAGACTCTGGTTGAGTGAAGCTATGTCCATCCCACTATTAATCAAAATCAATGCTCAGCTTTTACATTAACTATGGCATTGGAAACATCCCACTTAAAAAAGAGGCTTTAAAAAATATTACAATTGTTTTCAACCTACAGAAAGCATTTTTAAAACTTCAGTTCTTATCATTCTAGACAACCCTTTTCTGAGTAATGCACAGGTTAATTTGTTCTTAGAACTCAACGTTTCGTTTCCTTCACATTCAAACTCCCTGGGAGTGCGGGTGCCAATGAAAAGACATCTCTTGTGAGCCTCTGTCAGCCAGAAATTATAATAAAATGCCTTGCCTTCAGTTTAGAGCAAAGGTCCATTGTAAGTCTGTAGAGTGTCTTCAGGTTCTCACGTACATTCTGATTCTTTAAAAGAGCAAAAGTATTTTTAAAAATCAGATAAACTTGGTGGCAGTGCTCACCACAGTCTGTAACTGACATGACTTGAAAAATGTTTCCTAGTAAAATCCCATGAGGTTTTCAATGGCAGATGTCATGTACGTGGTAGTATCACCAAACACCTCGACTAGACAAGTTCGCATCTGTAGAAAGTGCTTCTACTGCGCAAGTGCAAGCTATCCATAGCTGGACACTTCCTCCCAACCGAGGGTATTTCTTCATTTTATAGACTGAGAAACAGAACCACAAAGAAGCTTAATGTCTCAGGTACAATGATTAAATGGTAGCAGGGAGAGGAGAATGCAGACCTGGCCTCTCTGGAGTCCACAGCTCCATTCTCTCAGCCTTACCACCTTGCACCCACGCACAGCTGCTGCCACGTTCCACACTTACCCCTCCATTCTCACCCCAGGAGATGCACACAGAGGCCCTGGGAGATGACAAACAAGGGTCTGTGTTCAGCTGACAAAGAGGGAGATGGGATGAGATGTGTCCCTCAATACAGAGTCTAATTACCCTTCCCCTAACCTGGAGTGCCAGGACCTCTTCAACACCCCATTCTGCCAAACAAATCCCCCACCTCCAGCCCACTCAGACCCAATTTTCTGCTGAAGGCCTGAGATTAGAGTGAACATCCCATGGGACCAGTGGCTAAGTGCACACACCTTGGCATTGTTTTCTAGTCATCTTGCTTGTGGCTCTCCTGTGAATGTTGGGAGAACATCCTACAGAAGAGTCCCTCCATGTCAAGTTCTTGACTGCCACCTGGCAGAATTCTACCTGGCTGCCTGCAGGAGCCTTCCACACCCCAAAACTGACCATGTGACTCCTAGTTTGAATACCCCCAGGACAGGCCCAGCTCCCTGGTATGGCACAGCTGCACGAGGAGCCCCTAAATCTTCTCTGGCTCCCCACAGCCATGCCTCCTTCTCCCCAGGTTGGTCTTGCTGTCCTCCATAGAGGCACCATGTTCTCTGAGAGTCTTACCATATCCCTGCTGCTCCCTCTACCTGGAACTCTCTTCCATTTATCTGAACAATTCATGCCACCTCTTTGGAGAGAATGGTGTAACCTGTGATCTGTAGATTAATGATTAATGGCTGGACTTCCATCTCCCACCCTCATCCATGCCCTGCATGGCTCAACTACAGAGACATATCTGGCTGATGAGACATAAACAGAACTGCATCTGAGGCTGCCTCTTTTCTGCCTCGAGTGTGGATGAGTTGAACCCTGGCCTCAATTTGACCCTGGGCAAGGCACATGTACGTTAACCTTTCTATACCTCAGTTTTCTCATCTGTAAACTGGGACTGATAATTCTGAGATGGACAACTCCTTCTTTCTAATATCTCAGCTTCTGTTTGGAGAAGTCTCCCTGCCTGACGGCATGAAGTGTGGGTAGGGATACTAATCAAGATGCCTGGCCTCCCTGGTGGGGTGTAGACACATGGTACAAGGAGGGAAAGAAAACACTCTCCAAGTGCTGAAACTTTGACTTTTGGACAGAGAAAAAGTCATGGCTCAGTGCTGCCACCAAGCCTACCAGTTCCAGCTCCCTGGGACTCAGGGCTGCGTGGCTCCTGTTCTTCCCAAGGCCTGGTACTGCCTTTCCTCTGATTCTGTGGGCTACCCCATATCCTTCTGATAAATCTCTTTTTATATTAAGGGAGAGTGCATTTCTGCAACTTATAACCCCAAAACCCTATTGTTACAAATCTTCACATCACAGATGATCTGTGAGGATGAAGTACATGAGGCAAATATCCCCAGCTCAGTGCCTGGTGCCTGACACGGGCTCATATCACCTCTTACCCCCAGCTCAGTGCCCAGTGCCCAGCATGGGCTCTCATCACCTCTTATCCCCAGCTCAGTGCCCAGCACACAGCTTGGGCTCACATCACCTCTTACCCCCAGCTCAGTGCCCAGTACATGGCGTGGGCTCACATCACCACTTGCTTTGCTGTGATTGCTTGAGCTAGCTCAGTAGCCTGTGTGTTCTTCCAGCAGTGATTTTACCATGTAACTGTTCACTGACAGCTAACTAGAAAGCCTGAACAGGGTGGCCCCAACTGTGGCCACATTGCCACCACTAGACACCTCTCCTCTGGGGCCTGCTGAGAAGTCTCTCTCTCTGGGTTCTAGGCACAGTTCTAGAAGGTGTGAGTGCCTTTGTTTTCCAGATGGTGCTTCCTGATAACTAGGGGTATCTCTAGCAGGCGAAGGCCTGGAGAGAGGCCCAAGACAGTTTTTTTTTTTTTTTGAGACAGAGTCTCACTCTGTCACTCAGGCTGGAGTTCAGTGGCACAATCTTGGCTTACTGCAACCTCTGCCTCCCAGGTTCAAGCAATTCTCCTGCCTCAGCCTCCTGAGTAGCTGGAACTACAGGCACCTGCCACCATGATTGGCTAATTTTTATATTTTTAGTAGAGACAGGGTTTCACCAGGTTGGCTAGGTTGGTCTTGAACTCCTGGCCTCGAGTGATCGGCCCACCTTAGCCTCCCAAAGTGCTGTGATTACAGGCATGAGCTGCTGCACCCAGCCCGAGACCCAGGGCAGTTCTGACCATTCTCTCCACACAGACTGAAGAGTAGCCATCCCAGGACCTCTGGCACTGTGGCCACGTCACCAGCCCTAAGGATTTATCAATGAGTGGCATTCTGTTCATGGAGCAGGTGACACTGACATCAGAGAGTCATCTGGAAGAGTCACACTATGGACAGATTTCCTAGGAACAGGTGCCATAGAAGAACAGCCATCACCTATCCTTATTCAACATCCTCCACCAGAAATGCCAAGGTCACAACTATTTGTGCTGAATAAGTGAAAATGAATGTTGACAATGTTCTTTTTACTATTAGGCTATCAATAAAATAGAAAAAGCTTCCAGAAAAAATAGGATGTATTAAGGTTGATAAAACTTTATCTTAAACAACTCACCACAATATTTCTTGAGGAATTTCCATATGTGCTGTTCACTTTAACTGTAATGGATTTTTCACAGTATTTTTCTACTAAATCTTCAAAAGAGGGTGTGGCATCACTAGGATCTATAAGCCATGCAGCAATTCTGGGATCTAGCCCTATAAAATCAGCAACTGAAGAGAAAAAGGTCATTCAGTCATCCCAAGAAAAACCAATAGTTGTTTTTCCTGCTTTGACAAAGTTCTTAAGTTCAAACGAATAGTAGTAGTATTGTCATCCTCTCAAATTATAGACCTAAGGACCAAAGTGACTTTCCATTATTCTCCAGAATTTAGAACCCTTGATAAGGCAGCCTCGATGAACCCAAGTCCCACATGGCCCGTCTCTGTGGGTGTCACATTAAAGAGGCAGATTTCAAGTAGCCATAAAGGAGGGACTCCAAGCTCACTTGCAATTTGGATCTCTCAAAAACATGTTAAAAGCTGTCGAAGTCAGAGTCGTGGGTCATGCTACCTGCCTCCCCTCCTCCTTGCTCCTCTTTCCCTCAGGCATCCTCTCTGCCAAGTCCTGCCCTCCTCCAGCCTGTCACTGGGCTGTCTGGCACCATGGAGTCTGGAATCCAAGCCTCTCGAGCAAAAGGAAGAAGGGCGGGAGTTGCCTGAGCACACACGACACCCTCGTCACTGAGTGTTGAACAGGTAGTGTGTGCAAGGCAAAGATACTTTGGCATTCTCCCTGAAGTGTGGAAAATCTACAAGACAACTAATGTGTGGCGCTTTGGTACTGTGGAAGGAACACCAGGCCTGGATTCTGAATCACCCTCTGAGCCTGGGAGGCCACCTCGCCCCTTCAGTGTTAGTTTCTTCATCCAAAAACTGGGGGGAAAGATTACTGTAATTATGTGTGATATACATGAGAAAATGCTTTTTAAAAAGTAAATACAATATTTGCTAAACAAACAAGTTTTTATACCAGAACACTTTAGACATGAAGGGAGAGTCATAAAAGGCTGGGGAGGTGGGGCGGGCTAGAAATCAATAGACAAACTAAATCCTAAAGTGACTGCTTTTTAAGTTACTTTAAAATTTTGAATTGTGCCATACAAAAGTAAGGAGTTTGCCTTTAAATAAAACTATAGTCTTAGATCATATCACATTAAATATTATATGTTCAGGCATCTTTAAATTATACCAGTCTAAGAGATTTATATTTACCAAAGCAGCCAGTATTATGACTTTCTCATTTGATATCTAGGAAGGCTCTTACAGTAGCACATTTGGAGCTCTGGATAAGAGGAGCACATGTCTCCGTCAGCAGCACATGATTTTCTACAACACTGTCTGGTGATGCGGACTGACCCAATAGGACTGTTTCACTCCACTTCCCTTTTCAATGCTTTAATATTCCAAAAGTAATGGTTATCAACATATGTTTTTTAAAATCCTTGGGGAAGCTCTGACAGTATAAGAATGCTCTGGGAGATGGTCCCTATAATCTCTTGCAACTGACAAACTGAAGCCTGCCAGGACAAATCCCACACTAGGGAGAAAATGCCAGTAGCTGAAAAAGAAATGCTAACAAAATAAGATTTAAAACAAACTCAGAAAATTAAGAAAGAGTAAAACCTGTAAAAAAGTAAGTAAATCCGAATAATATACTTAGAAATTAGGTGACTTAGAAAAAGAAAAATTATACAAAGAAATGACAGAATCTAGGAGAGAAAATTTAAAAAAAGAAGACATTTCAGAAATAAAAACTAAACTGGCGCAAGACACAAAAGCAAATAAACATAATAGCTAACTACTTAAAGTAAAAAAAAAAAGAATTAAGGAAAGGGAATTTTTTGTTTGTTTGTTTTGTTTGTTTTTTTGAGATGGAGTCTTGCTCTGTTGCCCAAGCTGGAGAGCAATGGCATGATCTCGGCTCACTGCAACCTCTGCCTCTCAGGTTCAAGTGATTATCCTGCCTCAGCCTCCCGAGTAGCTGGGATTATAGGCACCCACCACCATGCCCAGCTAATTTTTGTTTTTTTTAGTAGAGATGGGGTTTCACCATGTTGGCCAGGCTGGTCTTAAACTCCTGACCTCAGTTGATCTGCCCACCTCAGCCTCCCAAAGTGCTGGGATTACAGGCGTAAGCCACTGTGCCCAGCCAAAAAAGACAGAATATTTTTTTAAATAAAAAAGAATCAAGTCCAACAGAACTTAAAAATAAAATAAAATAAAATTTTAAAAAATCTAAAAGAAATGACGAAACTGAAAATGGATTCTGGATAAAAAATGATAAATATGACAAAAAGATAAATATGAAAGACAGACAAGAAGATTCAACATATGAAATAGGAAATCAAAGGAAAGAAAACAAACGAACACAGCACTAAACACTGTAATTCAAGATGACTTTAGGCCGGGCATGGTGGCTCATGCCTGTAATCCTAGCACTTTGGGAGGCCGAAGCAGGCAGATCACGAGGTCAGGAGAGGCAGATCACGAGGTCAGGAGATTGAGCCCATCTTGGCTAACACGGTGAAACCCTGTCTCTACTAAAAATACAAAAAATTAGCTGGGTGTGGTGGTGGGCACCTGCAGTCCCAGCTACTGGGGAGGCTGAGGCAGGAGAATGGTGTGAACCCAGGAGGCGGAGCTTTCAGTGAGCTGAGATCACGCCACTGCACTCCAGCCTGGGCAACAGAGTGAGACTCCGTCTCAAAAAAAAAAAAAAAGATGACTTTAAACTACATAAAGACATATACATAATCAATACAGCGTAGTATCGACACAGAATAGACCTACAGATCAGTGGAACAGAATCAAGAGTCTAGAAATAAACCCATACATCAGTGGTTGATTGATTTTCAACAAAGGTACTAAGAATGGTGTTGGATACCAACAATGGGTGGAATTGTGGTCCTCAAAAGATAACTCCACCCAGAATCTCAGAATGGGAACTTATTTGAAATAAGGGCCTTTGCAGATACAATTATGGTAGGAATCTTGAGATGAGATCATCTTAAGTTAGGGTGAGCCCTAAATCCAATGATGGGTGTCCTTATGAGAGACAGAAAAGAAGGTGACATATAGAGACATGCAGAGGGAAAAGGCCACATGAGGATGGAAGCAGAGACTGGAGGGATGTGTCTACAAGTCAAGGAGTGAAAAGGACTTCCAGCCACCACCAGAAGCTGGGGGAGAGTCACAGAATGGATTTTCCCTCAGAGACTCCAGAAGGAACTGCCAACACCTTAATTTGGACTTCCAGCCCCCAGAACTGTAAGAAAATAAATTTTTGTTTTAAGCACTTAGTTTATGGTAATGTTACAGCAGACCTAGGAAACTAATACAGACCCCTACCTCACACCATATGCAAAAATTAACCAAAAATGGATCATAAGCCTAACCTCAGAGAGAATATGATTAAACTTGTATGAAAAAAAATGAGTAAATCTTTCTGACCTTGGATTAAACAATAGTTTCTTAGATTTGACACCAAAAACACAAATAACAAAAGAAAACACAAATAAATCGGATTTCCTTAAAAAAAAAAAAGTGTGCTTCAAAGGACATCAAGAAACTAAAAAGACAAGTCACAGATTGGGAGAAAGTATTTGCAAATTGTATATCTGACAATAAACTCATATTAGAATATATAAATAATTCTTACAAATAAACAATAAAAAGACAATGCAATTTTAAAATGGGCAAAATATTTGAACAGACATTTCCCCAAAAAAAGATATAAAAGTGGCCAATAAGCACATGAGAAGATGTCCAATATCATTAGGCATCAGTATAATACAAACCAAAACCATAAGGATGTAACACTTCACATCCACTTGGATGACTAAAATAAAGATACACAAGAACACGTATTGGGCAAGGATGTGGGGAAGTTACAGTGCTATATACAGTGCTGGTTAAAATGGTGCAGCCTTGTTGGAAACAAGTTTGGCAGTTCCTCAGAATGTTAAATACAGAGTACCACATGACCCAGCAATTCTACTTCTTCTAGATATACACGCAAGCAAGTTGAAAATATGTCCACGCAAAGACCTTTACACCAAAGTTCATAGAAGCATTAATCATAACAGCTAAAAGTGAAAACAACTCAAATGTTCATCAACTGATGAATGAACAAAATATGAATATTATTCAGCCATAAAAAGGAATAAAGTACTGATACATGCCACAACTTGAATGAACCTTTAAAACACTAGGTTAAAAACCAACAACAACAAAAAGCTACATCAGGCTAAATGAAATAAGCTAGTGACAAAAGGTTGCATATTGTGCAATTCTATTCATGTTAAATATTCAGAATACACAACTCCAGAGACAAAAAACCACAGATTAGTGCTTGCCAGAGTCTGAGAAAGGGGGGATGGGGAGTGGCTGCTAAGGAGTACAGGGTTTTTTTTTGGGGTGACAAAAATGTTCTGATATTATGTAGTGGTGATAGATGCACAATTCTGTGATTACTTGAAAAACCCCTGAATTGTACAGTTAAAGAGTGAATTTTATGGTATGAAATTATATCTTAATAAAACCGCTATTTTTTAAAGCTATACCAGAAAGCTATTTACAAGGTGTTCTTTTTTTCTTTTTTTTTTTGAGACAGAGTCTTGCGAGATCTCTGCTCACTGCAATCTCTGCCTGCCAGGTTCAGGTGATTCTTCTGCCTCAGCCTCCTGAGTAGCTGGAACTACAGGCGCACGCCATCATGCCCGGCTAATTTTCATATTTTTAGTAGAGATGGAGTTTCACCATGTTGGCCAGGCTGGTCTTGAACTCCTGACCTCAGGTGATCCACTCGTCTCCGCCTCCCAAAGTGCTGGGATTACAGACGTGAGCCACCGTGCCCAGCCAAAGTTTTTTTTTTTTTTTTAAGGGTACATACATATCTTGCAAAATTGACCCAAAACAGCCAACACCAAGACACAGTCTAGTAAAACACTAGACTTTAAAAAAAAAAAGGAAAACAAAACAAACAAAAACCTTTGGACATTCAGACAAAAAGACCAAGTCACTAATTAGGGAAAGAGAATCAGATTTTCACCACACTTTCTGAAAGCACCACTTTATGCCAAAAAACAATAGTATAGCATATTTTAGAAATACAAAGAAAGATGTAAACCAGTGATCTTATATACAGCCAAACTGACCTCCAAGTACAAAGGATTCTTCAGTATGTTTTAAAGGAGATCAATAAGGTTAAGTAAAAACCCTGTCATCCTGAACATGAATTAGAAATATCAGTATGAACTCACAGTATATTTTATCTTAAAAAAAAATACAAACATCTTAGCCTGGTAACAAAAGTCAACCTAATAGTGAGGTACATATCCAGTGACCAGATTCTGGTCTCTAAATGCCATTTTCACTAATGTAACAGGGCTCCTTGAAGAAATGGCTAATTTCAGGTCTAGAGCAGGAAATGCACAAGATGACCTGGAAACATCCTACCATACCACAAATCAAAGAAGATGCCCAGATTACTAGGTTTGTATGACAAAGGCTCACCTAACTCATCAAAGATCATGTGCAATGTGTCAAAACATATCAAATATATTTAAATCCATATGCTCATAATGATACTAAAATGAAAAAGGCTTTTTTTGATCACCTTTTGGTGATTCTATGAAACAATTCATTATTTTGAAAACGGGTAAATAAAGGAAAATAATCAAATTTTATCTTGGCTTTTCTATATGAAGTGTACTTAGGGTAACCAAATAGATGATAAAAGGGGATTTCTCTTTATGTAAGTGTTATAGCTAATAAATGAAGAAAGCATAATAGATCTTAAATATCACCATGTTGCAATTAAGGAACCTAGACAATGACAAGCAGTAGCTTCTAACATCACAAAAAAAGATAAACATCCAAACATTATATACCTCCTGACAAACGTATACAACACTTATGTAGTCTTTCTCTCCCAAATCTAACCTGAATCTGATCAGGCATCTGGATCTAATTGCCAATTTACAGGAAATAGAAGAGAGATAACATATTAAATGAGAAGAAAGAGATGTGCTCAGTAAAATCCAGACTGTGAGAAATTCTACAGGACAAACAATCTGGTTTCTTGAACACCAAAACAACTGCAAGAGTGTAAGACAGAGGAAGGGAGAACATATAGATGAAAAGAGGCTTAACAAATACAAGCACACCTGGCTGGGCGCGGTGGCCCATGCCTGTAATCCCAGCACTTTGGGAGGCCGAGGCAGGCAGATTACTTGAGGTCAGGAGTTCGAGACCAGCCTGGCCAACATGGTGAAACCCCTCTCTACCAAAAATATAAAAAATTAGCCAGGCATGGTGGCACGTGCCTGTAATCCCAGCTACTCAAGAGGCTGAGTCAGGAGAATTGCTTGAACCCAGGAGGCAGAGGTTGCAGTGAGCCAAGATTGCACCATTGCACTCTAGCCTGAGTGACAGAGCGAGACTCCATCTCAAAAACAAACAAATAAACAAAAAGAAATACAAGTTACGGGCTTTGGGCCCCAGTTAAAACAAACTGTAAAAAAACAAAACAAATAAACAAAAACAGTTATAGAACAACTAGGGAAGTGCAAACACTGACTAGACAGCTAATAATAAAAAGAGATTATTGGTAATAGAGTGATGTTACCAAAATGGTAGAACACAAGAAAGCCGGCTTCACTCTCCTTCACAGAAAAAGCAAAAACCAATATACAGCACCAAGATTATCACCAGCAATATCCCAGAACCCAAATATAAGGATGACACAGTTTCCAAGGCCACACAGAAGTGAAAAAACTCCATGCAGACAGTAAGAGAATCAGACTTTATGTCCCTTCCCCAATCTGCCAGTCACCAAACATGTAGAAAAACTTCTCCCAATTCAGTTACTAAACTGAAAAAAGTGAGACTGAGGTGGACAATCAACTTTCCCATCATCTTGGGCCCCCTGGCAGGAGACCCGTCCCTGCCACAATCCACAGGAAGCATCATGAGTGTCTGAAGGGAGAAATATCCCTGAGGACAGCCAGAAATGGGCAGTGGTAGAGACTAGCAGACACTCGGCTCTGTACCATAGACAGAGGAGACACCAAATCAGAAAGGCTGGTCAGTAGGACCATGTTGTAGGAGGTACATCCTACAGGTCCCCTGGGCATGAACTCCCGGCTAGCCTTCCCATACTGCGAGGTATTCCCTTAGGGACTTTCCTCATCAGGGATGGGGAGCGCTCTGAAGTTTGCTAGAGCCGAGGCACACCTGGGCTTAAGGTGCCACCTAGTGCTGAAAAGGAAGCAAGGACCTAGCAAAAACAAAAAGATATTTAACAGGTATATTGACCAAAAATCTCTGAGCAAACATACCTAATAAAAAACCAAAACAAACCAGACAGAGAAGATTGGAACAAAAAAACGAATCCTTCAATGCAAAGAAATAGACGTACATTCACAAGAAATAATAGCAAGTGGGGAACCATGACATTCTCAAACCAGACAAAGCAAGGAGCCAGTGACTGACCTTAACAGGATGGCGACAGTGAAGCTCTTTGATCAAGAATTCAAAATTGCAGTTTTAAGGAAACTCAGTGATCTCTAAAATAACACAGAAAAACCCAGAAATTAATCAGAAAAATTTAACAGAGGTTGACTTAATTTAAAAAATCAAACAGAAATCCTGGAACTGAGAAATATATTTGCTGAACTGAAAAATTCAATAGAGGCTCTCAACAGCAGAATGGATCAAGCAGAGAAAACAATCAGTGGGTCTGAAGATAGACTACTGGAAAAGACACAGAGGAGTAAAAAGAAAAGAGAGAAGAGAAAAGAAGGACACCTATAAGATATAGAAAATTGCCTCAAAAGAGCAAATCTAAGAATTAGTGGTGTTCAAGATGAAGCAGAGCAAGAGCAAGGAATAGAAAGCTTATTCAAAAAATAATAACAGAAAACTTCCCAAATTTTTTGTTTGTTTGTTTTGTTTGTTTGTTTGTTTAGATGGAGTCTTGCTCTGTTGCTCAGGCGGAAGTGCAATGGTTTGATCTTGGCTCATTGCAACCTCTGCCTCTTGGGTTAAAGTGATTCTCCTGTCTCAGCCTCCCGAGTATCTGGGATTACAGGTATGTGCCACCATGCCCGGCTCACTTTTGAATTTTTAGTAGAGACAGGGTTTCACCATGTTGGCCAGGCTGGTCTCGAACTCCTGACCTCAAGTGATCCACCCGCCTCAGTCTCCCAAAGTGCTGGGATTACAGGCATGAGCCACTGCGCCTGGCCCAAATCTTGAGAAAGATATAAATATCCAGGTAGAGGAAGGCCAGAGATCAAACAGATTAAACCCAAATAAAACTACCCTATAATCACCCAAATATAACTACCCTATATTACACTACACATATAATAAACAAGCCCCCAAAGGTCAAGGACAAAGAAAGGACCCCAAAAACAGCAAGAGAAAAGAACAAATAACATATAAAGGAGCTCCAATTCATCTGGCAACAGGTTTCTCAACAGAAGGAGGGAGTGGGATAACCTATTCAAAGTGCTGAAAGAAAAGACAACTGCCAGGCTTGGTGGCTGACACCTGTAATCCCAACACTTTGGGAGCCCAAGGCAGGAGGATTGCTTCAGGCTAGGAGTTCAACAGCAGCCAGGACAACATAGTGAGACCCCTGTCTCTACAAAATAAAAATAAAAAAATTATCTGGGTGTGGTAGAACACACCTATAGTCCCGACTACTTGGAAGGCTGATGCAGGAGGATCACTTCAGCCCAGGAATTTGAGGTTACAGTGAGCTATGATCACACCACTGCATTCCAGCCTGGGTGACAGAGTGAGACCCCATCTCCCTGCCAACCCCTCCCCAATAAAAAGGAAAACAAAACAAAAGACAACTGTCACCCAAGAATTCTGTGCCCAGCAAAGCTATCCTTCACACGTGAAAAAGAGATAAAGCCCCAGACAAACAAAAACTGAGGAAATTCATCACCACCAGACCCATCTTCCAAGATATGCTAAAAGGAGTTCTTCAATCTGAAAGAAAAAAACACGGGCCGGGCGCAGTGGCTCACGCCTGTAATCCCAGCACTTTGGGAGGCCGAGGTGGGCAGATCACGAGGTCAGGAGATCAAGACCATCCTGGCTAACACAGTGAAACCCCATCTCTACTAAAAATACAAAAAAATTAGCCGGGCCTGGTGGCGGGCGCCTGTAGTCCCAGCTACTCGGGAGGCTGAGGCAGGAGAATGGCGTGAACCTGGGAGGCGGAGCTTGCAGTGAGCCGAGATTGCGCCACTGCACTCCAGCCTGGGCAACAGAAGGAGACTCCATCTCAAAAAAAACAAAAAACAAAAAAACAAAACAAAACAAAAAAAAACCACGAACATACAAAAAGAAAACATTTGAAGGATTGAAACCCACTGGTAAAAGTAAATACACAGACAAACTCAGCATACTCTAACACTGAAATTGTGGTATGCAATCCACCATAACTCCAGTGTGAAGATTAAAAGATAAATCTATAAAAAACAGTAATAGCTATGGTAACGTGTTAAGAGATGGGCCATATAAAAACACATAAATCGAGGCAACAAAAAGTCAAAATGTGTGTAGGGGGTGGAATTAAAGTGTAAAGATTTTTTAGTTTTTCCTTTATTTGTTTGTTTCTATTCTTTTCTTTGTAAATAAAGATAAGTTGTCATCTGTTTAAAACAACTTGTTATAACTATAAGATTTTTTTTGTAAGGCTCCTTTTTATTTTTAGTGTATTTATTACTGGTTTTTGTAACCACAAAGCAAAAACCTATAATAAATACACACACACACAAAAAGCTACAAATTAAAAGATACTACCAGAGAAAATCACTTAACCACAAGTAACAAAATGGTAGTAATAAGTCCTCACCTACCAATAACATTGAATGTAAATGGACTAAATTCTTCAATTAAAAGACATAGAATAGCTGAATGGATAAGGAAATAAGACACAACTATTTCCTGCTTACTAGAAACCCACTTTACTTATACAGACTTACATAGAATAAAAGTGAGGAAATGCAAGAATTAATATTGTTAAAATATCAATGTTACCGGCCAGGCACAGTGGCTCACGCCTGTAATCCCAGCACTTTGGGAGGCTGAGGTGGGTGGATCACGAGGTCAGGAGAACGAGACCATCCTGGCTAACATGGTGAAACCCCGTCTCTACCAAAAATACAAAAAATTAGCCAGGCATGGTGGCGGGCGCCTGTAGTCCCAGCTACTTGGGAGGCTGAGGCAGGAGAATGGCGTGAACCCAGGAGGCAGAGCTTGCAGTAAGCCAAGATTGTGCCACTGCACTCCAGCCTGGGCGACAGAGAGAGACTCCATCTCAAACAAAAAAAAAAGAAAAAAAATCAATGTTACATGAAGCAATCAAAGAGTCAATGCAATCTCTATCAAAATACCAACCAATGACATTCTTCACAGAAATAGGACAAAAAGGCCAGGCGCGGTGGCTCACGCCTGTAATCCCAGCACTTTAGGAGACCAAGGCGGGTGGATCACGAGGTCAGGAGATCAAGACCATCCTGGCCAACATGGTGAAACCCCGTCTCTACTAAAAATACAAAAATTAGGTGTGGTGGCGAGTGCCTATAGTCCCAGCTACTTCAGAGTCTGAGGCACAAGAATCACTTGAACCCAGGAGGTAGAGGTTGCAGTGAGCTGAGATCACGCCACTGCAATCCAGCCTGGCAACAGAGCAAGACTCCATCTCAAAAAAAAAAAAAAAAAAAGAAATAGGACAAAAATGCCTAAAATCTGTATGGAACCAAACACCCTGAATAGCCAAAGCAATCATGAGCAAAAACAACAAAGCTGGAGGAATCACCCACACTACCTGACTTCAAATTATACTACAAAGCTATAGTAACCAAGACAGCATGGTACTGACATAAAACCGACACGCAGACCAATGGAACAGAATAGAGACCCCAGAAATAAATCAACACATTTACAGCCAATTCATTTTTGACAGGCTCCAAGAATATATATTGGGGAAAAGTGCTGGGAAAATCACATGCAGAAGAATGAAACTAGACTCCTATCTCTCACCATATACAAAAATCAAATCAAAATGGATTAAGGACTTAAATCTAAGACCTGAAACTATGAAACATCTGGAAGAAAACATTGGGAAAATGCTCCAGTGCATTTGTCTGGGCAATGATTTTTTTTTTTTTACTACAACTTCAAAAGTATAGGCAACAAAAGCAAAAACAGACAAATGAAATTACATCAAGCAAAAGCTGTACAGCAAAGGAAACAATAGAGTGAACAGACAACTCACAGAATGGAAGAAAATATTTGCAAACTATCCATCTGATAGTGGATTAACAACCAGGATATAAAAGGAACTCAAACAGCTCAATAGGGGGAAAACATGATTTAAAAATAGGCAAATGATTTGAATAGACATTTCTGAAAAGAAGATATACAAAAGGCCAACAAGAATATTTAAAAATGTTCAACATCACTAATCATAAGAAAAATGCAAGGAAAATCACAATGAGATATCATCTCACCCCAATTTAAAACGACTTTCATCAAAAAGATAGGGAATAACAGATACTGGTGAGGATATGGAGAAAGGGGAACCCTCATACACTATTGGTAGGAAAGTAAATTAGTACAGCCACTATGGAAAACAGTACGTAGGTTCCTCAAAAAACGAAATAGAACTACCATATGATCCAGCAATCCCACTCCTGGGTATATATTCAAAAGAATCAACATATCAGAGCGATATCTGCATTCCCATGTTACTGCAGTACTATTCACAATAGCCAAAATAAGGAATTAACCTGAGTGTCCATCAACAGATAAATAAAGAAAATGTGGTATTACTATTCAGCCATAAAAAAGAATGAAATCCTGTCATTTGCAGCAACATGGATGGAGCTGGAGATCACCATGTTAAGTGAAATAAGCCAAGCACAGAAAGATAAATATCGCTCATATGTAGGAGCTGAGAAAGCAGATCTCATGAAGGTAGAGTAGATTGGTGGTTACCAGAGGTCAGGAAGGGTAAGGGGGCGGTGGGTGGGATTAAGAGTAGTTGATTAACGGTTACAAATACATAGTTAGGCAGAAGAAAGAAGACCTGGTGTTCAGTAAATCAGTAGAGTGACTATAGTAAACAATAATCTATTGTATATTTCAAAATAGCTAGTAAAGGAAAATTCAAATATTCCCAGTATAAAGAAAAGATAAATGTTTAAGGTGATAGATATCCCATTTACCCGGATTTGATTATTACACATTATATGAATGTATCAAAATATCACAAGTTCCCCCAAAATATGTATATCTATTATGATTCAGTAAAATTTTTAGAAGGAAAAAAAAGAATAAAAGATTATTGGTTATTTTGCTTGGGGGTGGGGAGAGATGATGGTGTTGTCTTAAAAACAGAATCTCACATTTTAGTCATACAATTGAAATATTTAGAGATGAATCACATGATGTTTGGGTTTTGCTACAAAGGATCCAGGAAGTGGCAGTTTGGAAGTATGGGGAGTTATAGAGCAAAAGATTGGCTGGAGCCAGGCGCAGTGGGTCACTTTGGGAGGCCGAGGCGGGGAGATCACAAGGTCAGGAGTTCAAGACTAGCCTGGCCAGCATGGTGAAACCCCATCTCTACTAAAAATACAAAAATTAGCCACTCATGGTGGCGCACACCTGTAGTCCCACCTACTCGGGAGGCTGAGGCAGGAGAGAATCACTTGAACCAGGGAGATAGAGGTTGCAGTGAGCCAAGATCATGCAACTGCACTCTAGCCTGGGCGACAGAGCGAGACTCCATCTCAAAAAAAAAAAAAAAAAAAAATTGGCTGGAAATTGATAATTGTTGAAACTGGGTGATGCCTACTTTTGTATATGTTAGAAATTTTTGACAATAAAAAGGGCTTTTTCCAACATTTATTATGAACATTTTCAAATATATAATTTGAAAAGAATCATACAGTGAACACACATGTCCACCACCTAGATTCTACAATGAATATTTTTGCTATATTTGTTTTACCACTTAGCTGTCCATCTAGTTTTTTTATTTCTCCTGAGACGGAATCTCACTCTGTCCCCCAGGCTGGAGTGCGGTGGCTCACTGCAACCTCCACCTCCTGGGCTCAAGCAATTCTCCTGCCTCAGCCTCTTGAGTAGCTAGGATTACAGGCATGAGCCACCAAGCCTGGCTAATTTTTGTATTTTTAGTAGAGACAGGGTTTCACCATGTTGCCCAGGCTGGTCTTGAACTCCTGACCTCGTGATCCGCCTGCCTCAGCCTCCCAAAGTGCTGGGATTACAGGTGTGACCCACTGTGCCCGGCCATGTCCATCCAGTTTTCAAAAAGTTATTAAAAAAACTTTACTATTTTAGGCCCGGTGCAGTGGCTCACGCCTATAATCCCAGCACTTTGGGAAGCTGAGACAGGAGGATGGCTTGAGGCCAGCAGTTTGAGACCAGCCTGGGCAACAAAGTTGGACTCCATCTCTAAAAAAATAAAAATATATATATATATTTAAAATCTTTACTATTTTAAATAAAAGGTAGGTCCTATATTGTTTTGATGTTAATTACTCTGGACTGTAGTTTAATTCTTAGAAAGTTTATAAGCTATTTGTGGTAACAAGAAATCTCACTGACCATGCTACATAAGTTAACTCTTTCCTATTTTAAATTATGAAAGTAATATATACTTGTAAAAATTCAAATAACCTAGAAACATGGAGGAAAACTTCCTCCCCATGCCTAGGGCCCATCAGGAGGCATATCAGTCTGTGTGGCCAGGTCCTCCAGGAGTTGTGTGACATGGCTGCCCTCACCATTCTCCCATTCATAGGAGGAGTCACAGTTGAAGAGTTAAATTATAGAGAGAATAAAAAATATAACTTACCATGCTTCCAACTGCCATCATTGCCAAAAAACTGCAGCACTATTCTCACAAAATCCTTAGCATTAAAACAAATAACAGGACATTTACATTTCATTGTTTGAAATAGCACGTTCCTAGAAGATGAAAAGAAATTCACTGATTTAAACATTAATTTGGGATTTTCGACCTTGGAAAAATATTATTACTACTCAACTAACAGCTATCACTTAGATAGCACATACACACATTCACTAAAGAATTCCAAGAGGTCACTGTTATTTATCATCTGCGTTTTACAGATGATGAAAGTGAGACACAGAGAGACGAGATAAGGTACCCAAGGTCACGCAGCTGTCAAGTGCTTATCCCTGGGAAACACCCCATTACCTGTAGAATAAGACCTACATTCCTGAGCAAAGTACACCTACTCTGGGCTCTTTAGAGCCAGGCCCCAAGATGACTCTCTAGCCCGTTCTCCCAGAGCTCCCCTCAAACATTCTACCCTCTCGTCGCACTAAATTCCCTTTCCTCCACCACAGGCTGTGCCACGTCCTGCTTTGCTCCTGGGTCACTGTATATACTGTATTCTTGACTACAATTCTCTTCCCACAGTTTTCACAAACTGTTCAAGGGCCATCTTCAGGAAGGTATGCCCTAATTCCCCAGGCAGGGGGCTGCTCCCTCTTCTGTATCTCTTCTGTACTCCTATCCACACATGTAGTACAGTGGGAAGTACACTTGCTGTATTATAATGTGCCTTGAACGTTTGTCTCTCCATTACACCATAAGCACTTTGAATATGGGACTCACAATTGTTAAAATTGACTGAATACTTACCATGTGCCAGATACCACGCTGGACACTTCGCAGCATTGTGTGTGAAGTGATTGTTGCACTGAAACCTCATCACTATCCTATCTGGCATGCACTAGAACCATTTTACAGATGAGAAAACTTAGTCTTGAAGAGGTTAAGCAATTTGGCCAGGGTTAAATGACTAACAAATGGCAATGCTGGGATCTGAGACCATATCTTCCTGCTGCCAGGGTCCAAACTCTAAGCTACCAAAGCCATCAATCCCTCTTTATAGTAAATGTTCATTAACACATTAAGATTCTTTGGTTAGAGCTGAGGAAGAAAGAAATCAAGAGCCTAATGAGCTTTGCACACTTAGCCAAACTGCAGTTAGATTTTGCTTGGACTTGTTCCACAGAAAGACATTTGTAGGCCTTTTGCACTTTGTGTGATTTCACCTTGGTTTCCCTTGAAAAGGGCGACCAGGATGGTAGGGAGGGTAAAGCGCCAATAACACAGCTTCAGATCTTGGCTTGGCTGGACCGGTGAGGAGGGTGTCCAAGAGGGAGTAAAGAGCTTATGAAGGAGAAGAACTGGGGCCATGGAGATCACTTCCCTTTACTGCTCCTTCATCCTTGAAACTCAAGAGTTCTGTGATGAGGTAATCTACCAACTACACTATCTTCCGCTAATAAGAGATTATTTTTATCTTGATAAAACAAACAACAAAAAGAATACCTTGTAAGCTAAATGGCAATTAGCCAGGCGTGGTGGTGCATGCCTGTAGTCCTAAAGTCCTAGCTACTGGGGTGAGGTTGCTGAGGAGGGAGAATCACTTGAGCCTGGGAGGTTGAGGCTGCAATGAGTCATGATCACAACCACTGCACTCCAACCTGGGCGACAAAGAGAGACTCTGGCTCTTAAAATAAAACATGTATTTATGTATATGTATATACATGCACACATACATATATATATTTATATATATAAAAGCTAGATTTGAGGCTTCCTCCTCTGTAAAATGGAGTGAATAAGGTATAACAAACGTACAGAGAGAATGTGAAGGTGAAGGGAGAGTGTGTATGTGAAAGGCCTTGCACAGGTCATTTAATAAATGTTATTAAACATGTTTTTGTGCAAAAAAGTATGTGTGCTAATTTAAATGTGATTTATTTAAATTTATTTTGAATCTCAAAGATATAATCATAGGATTGGGATTATTATTTCCAATTTATGGTACTTGAGGCAATGTATTAATTTGATTGTCCTAGAACTTATAAAAATTAAGCCTCAACATTCATTCATTCAATGATAATATTGAATAAATATTGATTAAGCACTTGCTTTGTAGCATTGTTCTTAGATATTGGGGATACATTAATGAACACACTACTGAACACAAATGAAAGTCATGTGGTGGGGTTGGCAGTGGGGTACCATCTCATACAGGGTGGTCAAGGAAGGTCTGATAAGGTAATTCTGTTTTTTTTTTTTTAGCTTGGTAATTCTTTTTTTTTTTTTTTTAAGACAGGGCCTCACTCTGTCATCCAGGCTAGAGTGCAGTAGTGCAATCACAGCTCACTGCAGGCTCAAACTGCTGGACCCAAGCGATCCTCCAACATCAGCCTCTAGAGTAGCTGGAACTATAGGCACATGCCACTGTACCCGGGTAATTTTTAAATTTTTTGTAGAGATTGGGTCTCACTATGTTGCTCAGGCTAGTCTCAAACTCCAGCCTCAAGCCATCCTCCCACCTCAGCCTGAGCCACTGTTCCTAGCCAAGGTAACTCTTGAGGAAAGACATGAAGGATAAGGTAAACAAAAGCCTAGTTGGTAGAGGAAAGTTCTTTACAGGAAATTTTAGCCACTAAATGTGGAAGAAATGATAGAATTAGAAAAATCACCATCTTACTAGCCGGAATTAAATAAGTGATTTAGATGATCCTAATCAATGGACAAAACCATTAAGGGAAAGTTTGGGGGAGAAGTTTATAAGGAAGGGATCGTGTTGACACCACCTGAACCCACTGCTCCCTCTCAGCACCATGAAAAC
Organism: Homo sapiens; assembly: GCF_000001405.40. Lineage (NCBI taxonomy): Eukaryota > Metazoa > Chordata > Mammalia > Primates > Hominidae > Homo > Homo sapiens. The sequence continues at coordinate 2,196,031 of NC_000004.12, forward strand.
TGGGACAACCCAATTGCATCACTAAGGGAAGTCAGGAGGATACCAGTTAAGTCTGAATTTCAGAAAAATCATGAATAATTATCTGAAAAAAATCGAATATTTTTTAGGGATGTATTCTTCTAGTATAAGTATGTCCCATGCAATATTTGGGACATACGTATACTAAGAAATTAGTTATTTATCTGAAACTCAAATTTAGTGTCCTATATTTTAATTTGCTAAATCCGGCCATCCAACTGCATCACAGATGGAGTATGAAGCTTACAGCTCCACCTAGGAAGTGCTGCGCAAAACAAGCTGGACCCAAATAATCAAGCATTTAGAGCTAACTCCAGTTTACAGAAAATATGGAGAAGAGGAGACAGAACAAGTGAAAGAACTTCATGATGAGGCAAACAAATGAATCCAGGACACGGGACCTCCTCCAAGATAGGGAGAGGGGCTGAGGAACGCTCCAGATTAGAAAAAACTAGGGACATGGCCACCCAATGCTATGTCCTGATCCCAACAAGTCAACTGTAGAAGGACATTTTTGAGACAATCAGGTAGCTTCAAATTTGGACTGCGTACACAACTTGTTAAGTTTAAAAATGGCACTGTGGCTCTGGAAAAAAAAAAAAAAAGCCCATGGTTTTTAGAGTCATGAGAGGGCAAAACAATAGATTGGGAATTTCTTTAATCCCAGTCCTCTCCCCCTTCCCCAGGAAAGGGACAGAAGGAAGTAAGGAAAAACCTTTGATAATGTTGGCCTGGGTGGATGTATATACTACTCTGTACCTTTGTGTTTTCATAGTTTACTTTTTGTTTGTTCAGAGAAAAACATAAAGGAATGAGGCAGTAAACCATGCAGCTATTTGGGAGAATGCTGCAGGGAGGGATGGTGGCACCAGGCCCTTGGGTAGAGGCGCACACCACATGGTCAGGAACGGCAAGGAGGTGGGAATGCACTGAGAGGCCGGGAGAGAGGAGGAGGTGAGGTTGAAGACAGCGGAGGGGCCAGAGTAAGCAGACCTCGAGGGCGAGGGCCTTCATAGGTCCTGTGGCTTTTCTACACTTGATCTTAGCCAGAAGACCAAGAAGCAGTGATGTGGGGTTTTCCTCAGAGTGAAGCACGAGCTGTTTGAGGGTTTGGGACAGGGAAGTGATGTGATCTGATTTATGCTTTAACAGGCCAGCTCTGGGTGCTGCACAGAAAACAGACTGAAGGGGCAGGTGGAAGCAGGAGTCCAATGTGGAAGTTCTTGTGATCCAGTAGGAGGTAACAACTTGTGCCGAGTAACAGCAACGCAGTGGATAAGCAGAGGGCAGATTCTATCTACACTTGAAGGCAGAGCCAATAGGACTTGCTGAGAGCTTGATATGGTTTGTGGAAAGTAGAGAGAAGTCAGAGATAACCCCAGGACTTTTTGCCTAAGCTCATGGAGGGCTGACACTGACTAAGACAGCCAGGCCACAGGAGGCAGGGTCCAGGGAAGACAGGAGTTCAGTTTGGACATGTTTGCCTAAAATGACCACTAGACATCCAAGTGGACAATGTCAACTAAATTCAGAAACATCATCCAGATATTAGGGCTCTGTCCTCACAAGGGCTCTCCATACACTAGACCTGACCAGTTGTTCTTTAAAGAGAAAATTACATAAAAAGAAAATGAAGGGTTCTGTTGGGAGCTGAATGCTATGTTTGTCACACATTCCCCTTCTCCCCAAAAGTTACCTAAAATCACCCAGAGCCCAGTGAGCCTGTATGAAGCATGGACAGGCTAGTAACGGGGCCCAACTTCCTCCGGAGCTGCCTTGATTGCCTCTTCCAGGGTGGCTAATTGGCCTTAAATCAGAGGGCTGGGAAGGCAGTGGATACCTCCATTTGAGGCAGAAGCCCAAGTCATGTGGATAACCTAAGCAAAGAAACAGTGAGGAAGAGTACAAGATCCATCCCAGAAAGGGCTTTTCAGAATCCAGAAGGGACGGCAGGAGCAACCCCGCCTGCTCTAAAATTCTGTGATTCTAAGAGGGCCGGTCCAAAGAGGTGAGACAGGTCTTGCCTCTTTCCACAGACATGGAGCTTTGAAACTAGTCCCATCCTTGGTGGTATTAAGGACAATTTATTGTTTGCAGGCAGTGATAACTTTGTTTTCTAATGCTGTGAATGAATGAACAAGTATGATAAGGAAAATCATCTGGGACTCTGCCAGTGACAGGGGATTTTCAGGGTCTGGGGGTGATGCTTTTCTCCCTAGCTTCTCACTGTGAAGTTGCTTCAAGTCCTGGAGCCGGCTGCTCCCACAGAAGAACGGAACTCCATTCCAGATACTCTCTGGGAGAGAGAGGGCCAGTATTTGCAGAGATTTCTATCACTTGGATCCATTTTATTTTCATGTGCCCATACAAAACTTCTAAAAGTTTAAACTATTAAAACTGGACCTTGAGCAAGTTTCCATTAGTATAAAGCAGGCATGTAAGTAGGGTGTGAGCCCATGTGTGAAGATTTCTTACCGGGCAAATTGTTGATGTGCCTCCTGTTCTTGGTCCCAGATAGCAGAGTGCTCTATTTGAATGTAGATGCATGGATCATCTGACACAAAGCCCTCCAGAACAGGACCACAGGCCGGGGCATCTGGACAGCCATGGCCACCCTCTGCTTGGCGTTTTACTAACACCACAATTCCTCTAACAGAAGAAACGGGGGTCTGTGGAAACACAACAAAATAAATTAAACCCAGACAACATATCTGTTGTAGAAAGACATACATTTTAAAATTAAGCAGAGAGAAAGAGAAAAGGCCTAAAATTAAACTTGTAAATGAATAGTTTTTTAATGACAATTGAGGGCCAAAAGCCAAACCCATGACCTTATGCTCGAAATCTGGTCTCTACCCTGTCCAACATCATAATGGAAGTCTCATCCAGGGCAATATGATAGGAGAAAGGAATAAAAGGCAAACACATCAGAAAGGAAGCATCATACTTTCCCTATTAACAGATGGCATGAATGTCTGTGTAGAAAATCTAAAGGAACCTATAAAAAACGAATCCTGGAGCTAATATGTGAATTTAGCAAGGTTGCAGGAACCAAGATCAAAGCACAGAAATTTAATATATTTTTATATTCTAGCAATAAACATGTGAAAATAAAATTTTTTAAAACGACCATTTATAAAACTCTAAAAAGTGAAATACTTAAGTATAAATGAACAAAATACATACAGGATATGTATGCTGAAAACTATAAAATGCTGATGAAAGAAATCAGAGAAGACCTAAATAACGAAGACATATAATACTCAAGGATTTAAAAACTCAACATAATAATGTTTGTCCTTTATCCCCAAGTTAATCATTAGAACCAAGAAGATCAATAAACCTCAAGTACAAGGAACATGAAGAAAACTACACCAAGAAAAATACATCAACATCATTTGCTTAAAACCAGTGATAAAAGGGGGTGGGTGGCGAGAGAACACATTACATAGATAGAAACAAAGATAAGGATGACAGCAGATTTCTTTGTGGGAAATAAAGCAACTCAGAAGATGGTATATATATACTTTTATTTTATTTTTTTTAGACATGGAGTCTTGCTCTGTCGCCCAGGCTGGAGTGCAGTGGCGCAATCTCAGCTCACCACAACCTCCACCTCCCAGGTTCAAGCAATTCTCCTGACTCAGCCTCCAGAGTAGCTGGGACTACAGGCACACACTGCCACACCCAGCTAATTTTTTTTGTATTTTAGTAGAGACGGGGTTTCACTGTGTTCCAGGCTGGTCTCGAACTCCTGAGCTCAGCCAATCCGCCCACCTTGCTCTCCCAAAGTGCTAGGATTACAGGTGTGAGCCACCACACCCAGCCAACAGTTGAGTAATATTATGAAACTACTGGAAGAAAATAAACTATCAACTAACATTCTTTAACCAGCAAAATGCCTTTAAAAAAATGAAAGGTAAAGCAAGACTTGCATACTACACTGAAAACTATAAAACATTCCTACAGGAAATTAAAGTTTTAAATAAATGGAGATACTCCATGTTTATGGATCAGAAAACTCAATACTATTATATTAAGATGGCAAGACTCGCAAAATTAATCTATAGATTTAACACAATTTATATCAAAATTCCAGCTGGATTTTTGCATAAATTGACAAACTGATCCTAAAACTGACAAGCAAAGGAAGCACAATACCCAAAAGAATCTTGAAAAAGACAAAGTTGGAGGACTCACTCTTCTTGATTTCAAAACTTACTATAAAGCGCCAATAATCAGAGAGAATTAGGAGATCATGGCAGATGGGAGGCAGGACTAGATTGCAGCTCCCACTGGGACAGACAGAGCAGAGTGTGGAGGCTTGCATCGTGAACTTTTGCTCTAGAATGACTACAAGAATAAATCAGGAAAGCAGAAAGAACCCACAGATCCTTTGAAGGAAGCAGATTGCTCCTGCTCCCAGGAGACACCCCAAATACTGTGTTGGTATCCACAACCGAAAGACCCACAGACGGTTCACATCACAGGACTCTGTGCAGACAAGCCCCAGGACAGCTTGGAGCCTGGTAGACTTGCTGGGTGGCTAGATCCAGAAGACAGATAACAATCATTACAGCTCAGCTCTCAGGAAGCCACATCCCTAGGAAAATGGGGAGAGGACTACATCAAGGGAACACCCCATTGGATAAAAGAATCTGAACAACAGCCTTGAGTCCTAGACCTTCCCTCTGACAGAGCCTACCCAAATGAGAAGGAACCAGAAAACCAACTCTGGTAATATGACAAAACAAGGTTCTTCAGCATGCCCAAAAAATCATACTAGCTCACCAGCAATGGATCCAAACCAAGAAGAAATCCCTGATTTACCTGAAAAAGAATTCAGAAGGTTAGTTATTAAGTTAATCAGGGAGTCACCAGAGAAAGGCAAAGCCCAGTTTAAGGAAGTCAAAAAAATGATACAAGAAATGAGGGGAGGCCGGGCACTGTGGCTCACGCCTGTAATCCCAGCACTTTGGGAGGCCAAGGCAGGCAGATCATGAGGTCGGGAGATCGAGACCATCCTGGCTAACATGGTGAAACTCCATCTCTACTAAAAATACAAAAAATTAGCCGGGCGTGGTGGCACATGCCTGTAGTCCTAGTTACTCAAGAGGCTGAGGCAGGAGAATCGCCTGAACCCGGGAGGTGGAGGTTACAGTGAGCCCAGATCATGCCACTGCACTCCAGCCTGAGTGACAGAGTGAGACTCTGTCCCCCTACCACTCCAAAAAAAAAAAAAAAAAAAAAAAAAACGAGGGGAGAAATTTTCAATGAAATAGATATAGATGGCATATATAAAAAAAAATCAAAACTTCAGGAAACAATAGATGCACTTATAGAAATGCAAAATGCTCTAGAAAATCTCACCATTAGAATCAAACAAGCAGAAGAAAGAACTTCAGAGCTCAAAGACAAGGTTTTCAAATTAACCCAATCCAACAAAGACAAAGAAAAAAGAAAAAGAAAACATGAACAAAGCCTCCAAGAAGTCTCGGATTATGTTAAACAACCAAACCTAAGAATAATTGGCATTCCTGAGGAAGAAGAGAAATCTAAAAAATTTGGAAAACATATTTGGGGGAATAATCAAGGAAAACTTCCCTGGCCTTGCTAGAGACCTAGACATCCAAATACAAGAAGCTCAAAGAACACCTGGGAAATTCATTGCAAAAAGATCATTGACTAGGCACATTGTCATCAGTTTATCCAAAGTTAAGACAAAGGAAAGAATCTTAAGAGCTATGAGGCAAAAGCACCAGGTAACCTATAAAGGAAAACCTATCAGATTAACAGCAGAAACCCTCCAAGCTAGAAGGGACTGGGGCCCTATCTTCAGCCTCCTTAAACAAAACAATTGTATCCAACGAAACTAAGCTTCATAAATGAAGGAAGGATGCAGTCCTTTTCAGACAAACAAATGCTGAGAGAAATAGCCACTACCAGGCCAGCACTACAACAACTGTTAAAAGGAGTTCTAAACCTTGAAACAAATCCTGGAAACACATCAAAACAGAATCTCTTTAAAGCATACATTTCACAGGCCCTATAAAGCAAAAATACAATTAAAAAAACAAAACAAAACAAAAAAAACAACGTATACCAGCAACAAATAGTACAATGAATGGAATGGTACCTCACATCTCAATACTAACGTTGAATGTAAATGGCCTAAATGCTCCACTTAAAAGATACAGAATTGCAGAATGGATAAGAATTCACCAACCAACCATCTGCTGCCTTCAAGAGACTCACCTAACACATAAGGACTCACATACACTTAAGGTAAGAGTGGAAAAAGACATTCCATGCAAAGGGAGACCAAAAGCAAGCAAGAGTAGCTATTCTGATATCAGACAAACAAACTTTAAAGCAACAGCAGTTAAAAAAGACAAAGAGGAGACCAGACTCATGCCTGTAATCCCAGCACTTTGGGAGGCCCACACGGGCAGATCACTTGAGGTCAGGAGTTCAAGACCAGCCTGGCCAACATGATGAAACTCCGTCTCTACTAAAAATACAAAAATTAGTCAGGCGTGGTGGCTTGCTCCTATAGTCCCAGCTACTTGGGAGGCTGAGACAGGAGAATTGCTTGAACCTGGGAGGCAGAGGTTGCAGTGAGCCAAGACTGTAGCACTGCACTCCAGCCTGGGTGACACAGCAAGACTCTGTCTCAAAAAAAAAAAAAAAAAAAAAAAAGACAAACAGTAAGATGATATAATAACAAAAGGCCTTGTCCAACAGGAAAATATCACAATCTTAAATATATATGCACCTAACGCTGAAGTGCCCAAATTTCTAAAACAATTAATAGACCTAAGAAATGAGGTAGACAGCAAAGCAGTAATAATGGGGGACTTCAATACTCCACTGACAGCACCAGACAGGTCATCAAGACAGAAAGTCAACAAAGAAACAATGGATTTAAACTGTACCCTGGAACAAATGGACTTAACATATATTTACAGAGCATTCTACTCAACAACCACAGAATATACATTCTATTCATCAGTGCATGGAACTTTCTCCAAGATAGACCATATGATAGGCCACAAAATGAGCCTCAATAAATTTAAGAAAATTGAACTTATATTAAGCACTCTCTCAGACCACAGTGGAATAAAACTGTAAATCAACTCCAAAAGGAACCTTCAAAACCATACAAATACATGGAAATTAAATAACCTGCTCCTGAATGATCACTGGCTCAAAAATGAAATCAAGATGGAAATTAAACAATTCTTCAAACTGGGCCGGGCGCGGTGGTTCACGCCTGTAATCCCAGCACTTTGGGAAGCTGAAGCAGGTGGATCACAAGGTCAGGAGATCGAGACCATCCTGGCCAACATGGTGAAATTCCATCTGTACTAAAAATACAAAAATTAGCCAGGTGTGGTGGCTTGCTCCTATAGTCCCAGCTACTTAGGAGGCTGAGACAGGAGAATTGCTTGAACCTGGGAGGCAGAGGTTGCAGAGAGCCAAGATTGTACCACTGCACTCCAGCCTGGGTGACACAGCAAGACTCTGTCTAAAAAAAAAAAAAAAAATCTTCAAACTGAACAACAATAGTGACACAACCTATCAAAACCTCTGGGATAGCCCTAAACACCTACATCAAAAAGTCTGAAAGAGCACAATCTAAGGTCACACCTCAAGGAACTAGAGAAACAAGAACAAACCAAACCCAAACCCAGCAGAAGAAAGGAAATGACCACGATCAGAGCAGAACTCAATGATATTGAAACAAACAAACAAAATACAAATGATAAATGAAGCAAATGCCAGGCACAGGGGCTCACGCCTGTAATCCCAGCACTTTGGGCGGCAGAGGAGGGTGGATCACCTGAGGTCAGGAGTTCGAGACCAGTCTGACCAATATGGTGAAACCCCATCTCTACTAAATACAAAAAATTAGCCAGGTGTGGTGGCACATGCCTGTAATCCCAGCTACTGGGGAGGCTGAGACAGGAGAATCACTTGAACCCGGGAGGCGGAGGTTGCAGTGAGCTGAGATCGCGCCATTACACTCCAGCCTGGGTAACAAGAGCAAAACTCTATCACAAAAAAAAAAAAAAAAAAAAAAAAAAGATAAATGAAACAAAAGGCTGGTTCTTTGAAAAGATAAATAAAATTGATAGACCATTACCAAGATTAACCAAGAAAATAAGAGAAAAAATCCAAATAAGCTCAATTAGAAACAAAATGGGAGATATAACAACTGACACCACAAAAATGAAAAGATCACTCAAGGCTACTATGAACAACTTTACACACATAAACTCGAAAACCTAGAGGATATGGATAAATTCTTGGAAAGATACAACCTTTCTAATTTAAATCAGGAAGAATTAGATGTCCTGAACAAACCAATAACAAGCAGTGAGACTGAAATGGTAACAAAAAAATTACAAATAAAAAAAGTCCAAGACCAGACAGATTCACAGCAGAATTCTATCAGACATTCAAAGAAGAATCAGTACTGATCCTATTGACACTATTCCACAAGATAGAGAAAGAGGGAATCCTCACTAAATCATTCTGTGAAGTCAGTATCACCCTAATACCAATACCAGGAAAGGATACCACCAAAAGAGAAAACTACAGACCAATATCTCTGATGAACATAGATGCAAAAGTCCTTAACAAAATACTAGCTAACCAAATCCAACAACACATCAAAAAGATAATCCACCATGATCAAGTGGGTTTCATACCAGGGATGCAGGGTTGGTCTAACATACGCAAGTCAATAAATGTGATATACCACATAAACAGAATTAGAAGCAAAAATCACATGATCACCTCAATAGATACAGAAAAAGCATTCAACAAAATCCAGCATTGCTTTATTATTAAAACTCTCAGCACAATTGGCATACAAGGGACATATCTTAATGTAATAAAGCCATCTATTATAAACCCACAGCCAACATAATACTGAATGGAGAAAAGTTGAAAGCACTCACCCTGAGAACTGGAACAAGACAAGGATGCCCACTCTCACGACTTCCTTTCAATATAGTATTGGAAGTCCTAGCCAGAGCAATCAGACAAAAGAAAGAAATAAAAAGCATCCGAATCGATAAAGAGGAAATCAACTGTCACTATTTGCTGATTATATGATTGTTTACCTAGAAAACCCTAAAGATTCCTCCAGAAAGCTCCTAGAACTGATGAAAGAATTCAGCCAAGTTTCTGGATACAAAATTAAGGTACACAAATCAGTAGCTCTGCTATACACTAACAGTGACTAAGCTGAGAATCAAATCAAGAACTCAACCCCTTTTACAATAGCTGCAAAAAAATAAAATACTTAGGAATATACCTAACCAAGGAGGTGAAAGACCTCTGCATGGAAAACTCCAAAACACTGCTGAAAGAAATCACAGATGACACAAACAAATGGAAGCACATCCCATGCTCATGGAAGGGTAGAATCAATATTGTGAAAATGACCATACTGCCAAAAGCAATCTAAAAATTCAATGCAATTCCCGTCAAAATACCACCATCATTCTTCACAGAACTATAAAAAACAGTCCTAGGCCAGGCATGGTGGCTGACACCTGTAATCCCAGCACTTTGGGAGTCCAAGGCAGGTGGATCACAAGGTCAGGAGTTCGAGACCAGCCTGGTCAATATGGTGAAACCTCGTCTCTGCTAAAAATACAAAAATTAGCCGGGCGTGGTGGCACGCACCTCCCAAGTCCCAGCTACTTGGGAGGCTGAGGCAGAAGAATCACTTGAACCCAGGAGGCAGAGGTTGCAGTGAGCTGAGATTGTGCCACTGCACTCCAGCTTGGGCGACAGAGCGAGACTCTGTCTCAAAAAAAAAAAAAAAAAAATCTTAAAATTCATATGGAGCAACAACAACAAAAAAGCCCACATAGCCAAAGCAAGACTAAGCAAAAAGAGCAAATCTGGAGGCATCACAGTACCTGATTTCAAACTATACTATAAGGCCATTGTTACCAAAACAGCATGGTACTGGTATAAAAATAGGCACATAGACCAATTGAACCAAATAGAGAAACCAGAAATAAACCCAAATACTTACAGCCAACTGATCTTTGACAAAGCAAACAAAAACATAAAGTGGGGAAAGGACACCCTATTCAACAAATGGTGCTGAGATAATTGGCAAGCCACATGTAAAATGAAACTGGATCCTCATCTCTCACCTTATACAAACATCAGCTCAAGATGGATCAAGGACTTAAATTTAATACCTGAAACTATAAAAATTCTAGAAGATAACATGGGAAAAACCCTTCCAGAAATTGGCTTAGGCAAGGATTTCATGACCAAGAACCCAAAAGCAAATGTAATAAAAACAAAGATAAATAGCTGGGACTTAATTAAACTAAAAGGCTTTTGCATAGCAAAGGGAATAGTCAGCAGAGTAAACAGACAACCCACAGGGTGGGAGAAAATTTTCACAATCCATACATCTGACAAAGGACTAATATCCAGAATCTACAATGACTCAAACAAATTAGCAAGAAAAAAGCAAACAATCCCATCAAAAAGTGGGCTAAGGACATGAATAGACAATTCTCCAAAGAAGATATACAACTGGCCAACGAATATATGAAAAAATGCTCATCATCACTAATGATCATGGAAATGCAAATCAAAACCACAATGTAATACCATCTTACTCCTGCAAGAATGGCCATAATCAAAAAGTCAAAAAATAATAGATATTGGCATGGATGCAGTGAACAGGGAACACTTCTATACTTCTGGTGGGAATGTAAACTAGTACAATCACTATGGCAAACAGTGTGGAAATTCCTTAAAGAACTAAAAGTAGAACTACCATTTGATCCAGCAATCCCACTACTGGGTATCTACCCAGAGGAAAAGAAGTCATTATACGTAAAGGATACTTGCACGTGCATGGTTATAGCAGCACAATTTGCAATTGCAAAAACGTGGAACCAACCCAAATGCCCATCAATCAAGGAGTGAATAAAGAAACTGTGGTATATACATATGATGGAATACTACTCAGCCATAAAAGTGAATGAATTAATGGCATTCACAGTGACCTGGATGAGATTGGAGACTACTATTCTAAGTGAAGTAACTCAGGAATGGAAAACGAAACATTGTATGTTCTTACTTATAGGTGGGAGCTAAGCTATGAGGATGCAAAGGCATAAGAATGACACAGTGGACTTTGGGGACTCAGGAGGAAAGGGTGGGAAGGGGGTGAGGGATAAAATACTACAAATTGTGTGCAGTGTATACTGCTTGAGTGATGGGTGCAGGAAAGTAGAGGAAAGGAAAGGAAAGGAAAGGAAAAGGAAAAGGAAAATGAAAAGGAAAGGTTTTTAAAAAAATCAATAGAGATCAAATTTAAAAATTTTGTGCTTCAAAAGACACCCTCAATAATTTTTTTTAAAAATATGACAGAAATTGGGAGACGTATAAATAATATATCTTATAAGAGACTTGTATCAGAATATATAAAGATCCAGAATAAAACACAAATAACCCAATTTTAAAATGGGCAAAAAATTTGAACAGACATTTCATCAAAGAAGATATATGAATGGCCAATAAGCACATGAAAAGATGCTCAATGTCACTAGATAATAGGGAAATACAATTTAAAACCACTATGAAATACCACTTCGGAATCACTGGAATGGCTAAAAAAACAGACAACAACATGTGTTGACAAGGAGGTGGAGAATTTGAAACCCTAGTACACTGCTGGTGGAAGGTAAAATGGTACACCCACTCTGGAAAACAGTTTTACAGTTTCCTAAGAAACTGATGGGAGCATACATTGTCAATCACTTACCACTGGAGGGGAAGGAAAGCCTTAAAATCTTGTTTCTAGCTCTCCTATCAAAATCTGACACTAAGAAAATGGGCTTCTTTTATGGTGTCAAGACAGCAAATAAAAACATCACTGTTTACTAACCTGGTCAGCTCCTAGCTGGGTGGAACCATCAGTATACATCACAGTTATCACCAGGGCTGCTGCCTGTTTGAGCATTTCAATCAGCTGGCTTTTTGCCCAATCATCCAAATGCCTAATATCACAAAAATGTTTTTTCAATGCTCCTGAGTTCCCAGAATTTAGGTAGCCTTCGGCGTCATCAGTATCTTCTTCCAATGCCATTTGTTTACTTGTTTTCTCTGACAAATTATTATATGTAATATGTTTTCTTTTAAGATTAATGCTTCCTTTATTTTCATTATTTATATTCTCCATTAGGAAATGCTTTCTTTTATGCCCCTTTTTCTGTAGAACTGAAGCCTCTTGATTATACTGTGGAATTAAACAACTTGAAAGAGTCAATGAGCTGATGCTCTTCTGTTTTTGGTCAGCAGACAGCTGATCTGTGAGCCTGACACTGAAGGACTGAGGAGACAGCTTGGCAGAACCTCTTGATGTCTGACTTCTTAAAGATTTAAGATCCTACAGAAAAATGGAAAATATTTCATTAGAATATGGACTCATAAGACAGATCTATAAACTAAACTAATTTCTGGTAAAAACTTGTCTAAGGTAATATGGAGACACAATCTTCATATTACCTATGATCAAACCTTCTAAGGAAACCCTATAGTGTCTTCTAGAGCAGTGATTTTTCTCAACCAAGGTAGGCATGCATATCTGGATCAAGAGCTCAAAAACCAGCCAGGCGTGGTGGCTCACGCCTGTAATCCCAGCACTTTGGGAGGCCGAGGTGGGTGGATCACTTGAGGTCAGGAATTCGAGATGAGTCTGGCCAACATGGTGAAACTTCATCTTACTAAAAATACAAAAATTAGCTGGCATGGTGGCAGGCGCTTGTAATTCCAGCTACTCGGGAGGCTGAGGCAGGAGAATCACTTGAATTCAGGAGGTGGAGGCTGAAGTGAGCTGGGATTGCACCATTGCACTCCAGCTTGGGTGACAAGAGCGAAACTCTGTCTCGAAAAAAAAGCTCAAAAGCCTCCAACTGGCCCCTGTTCTGGGAATCAGTGCATGTAATGAGACATGTCATGGATAGGATTATGTTGCATATGTGCATAAGAGAGAAGATTAATAATTTACAACTTCCAAGTAAAAGCCATTTGCAGAGAAAAATGAAATCACCAAAACTATTTAACAATATGTTAATCTATCTACTGAAAAAATGTTTTTGGGCCAGGTGCAGTGGCTCACACCTGTAATCCCAATACTTTGGGAGGCTGAGGCTGGCGGATCACAAGGTCAACAGTTCGAGACCATCCTGACCAACATGGAGAAACCTCGTCTCTACTAAGAATACAAAAATTAGTTGGGCATGGTGGAGCATGCCTGTAATCCCAGCTACTCAGGAGGCTGAGGCAGAGAATCGCTTGAACCTGGAAGGTGGAGGTTGCAGTGAGCTGAGATCATGCCATTGCACTCCAGCTTGGGCGACAGAGCAAGACTCCGTCTCAGAAAAAAAAAAAAAAAAAAAAATTAAACCCAGCTCAATAGCAGTTCTCTCATTCCATCAATGTGCAATATGCATTCATAGATCCACAAACTAATCAAGGTGGGGAAAGCAATCCTATCCATTTCATTATAGGACTTATTTACGATAACACTTTATTTTTAAGGTTTCTTTCCTTTTCCTTTTTTTTTTTTTTTTTTTTTTGAGACAGGGTCTTGTTCTGTTGCCCAGGCTGAAGTGCAGTGGCACAATCTCAGCTCACTGCAACTTCCATGTCCCCGGCTCAAGTAATCCTCCCACCTCAGCCTCCCATGTAGCTGTGACTACAGGGGTTCACCACCATATCCAGCGAATTTTTCTATTTTTAGTAGAGATGGGGTTTCACCATGTTCCCCAGGCAGGTCTCAAACTCCTGGACTCAAGCAATCTGCCCGCCTTGGCCTCCCAAAGTGCTGGGATTACAGGTGTGAGCCAACATACCCAGCCAAGGCTTATTTTCAAATTTACTTTATATATATATATAAATTTACTTTATATATATATATATATGGCTTTGAATAACTATATTAACATTACCTTTAAAATAATTTTGAAAGAAAATGTTTTAACACTTGGTCACATGTTATGAAAATTTTAAATTTATACTTGTATTTTTATTGCAGAGAAATATATGGTTTCCAAGAGTAGGCTTTCAAGCATAAAATTACATTAAAAATTCCATGGAGGAGTAAACAAGAAAAGGAATTCAAGGAGAAAAAGAAAAATATAAAATTTCAAACTGTTGAAGATCTTACTCTGTCTTTTTTAAGGGGATGATTGTGGGCTGGGCACAGTGGCTCATACCTGTAATCCTGGCACTTTGGGAGGCTGAGGCAGGAGGACTGCTTGAGCCCAGGAGTTCAAGACCAGCCTGGGCAAAATAGCAAAACCCTGTCCTTTTACAAAGAATACAAAAATTAGCTGGGCATGGTGTCATGTGCCTACGGTCCCAGCTACTCAGGAGGCTGAGGTGGGAGGATCACCTGAGCCCAGGAGGTCAAGGCTACAGTGAGCCGTGGTCACACCACACTGCACTTCAGCCTGTGCGACAGAGTGAGAAAGTCTCAAAATAATAATAATAATAATAATAATAATAATAATAATAATAATAATAATAAAAAAAAGAGGCCGGGCATGGTGGCTCACGCCTGTAATCCCACTATTTTGGGAGGCCCGGGCAGATGGATCACGAGGTCAGGAGTTCAAGACCAGCCTGGCCAATATGGTGAAAACCTGTCTGTACTAAAAATAAAAAAATTAGCCGGGCATGATGGCATGCACCTGTAACCCCAGCTGCTTGGGAGGCTGAGGCAGGAGAATCGCTTAAACCCAGGAGACGGAGGTTGCAGTGAGCCGAGATCGCGCCACTGCACTCCTGCCTTGGTGACAGAGACTCCATCTCAAAACATAATAAATAAATAAATAAATAAATAAATAAATAAATAAATAAAATAGTCCAGGCACGGTGGCTCATGCCTTTAATCCCAACATTTTGGGGGGCTGAGGCAGGCAGATCACCAGAGGTCAGGAGTTCGAGACTAGCCTGGCCAACATGGTGAAACCCCATCTCTATTAAAAACACAAAAATTAGCTGGGTGTGGTGGTGGGCACCTGTAATCCCAGCTACTCAGAGGCTGAGGCAGGAGAATCGCTTAACCCAGGAGGCGGAGGTTGCAGTGAGCCGAGATCACACCACTGCACTCCAGTGCAGGTGACAGAGCGAGACTCCGTCTCCAAATAATAATAATAATAATAATAATAATAATAATAATAATAATAATAATAAGAGGATTGTGGATATCAAGTTGTCAAAGTGCATATTTAATTTTCGTGAATATATTTTAAATGGTAATGTAACAGTAAAAATGTCAATATTAACAATAGAGCAGAAATCATGTACTTTGCAATTTTTTAAACTTGTGATAAGGATTTTAAATTTCAACTTTAAAATATGTCAGGCAGTACAGATAGTTTGAGAAGTCCAGGTATGGGGGCTCATATCTGTAATCCCAGCACTTTGGGAGGCCGAGGTGGGAGGATCGCTTGAGCCCAGGAGTTTGAGACCAGCCCGGGCAACATGGTGAAACCCTGTCTCCACCAAAAATACAAAAATTAGCTGGGCAATGATGGTGTGTGCCTGTAGTCTCAGCTACTTGGGAGGCTGAGTTGGGAGGATCACTTGAGTCCAGGACTCAATTAATTAGCTGGGCATGGTTGCAGAGGTGGAGGTAGAGATTGCAGTGAGCTGTGATCACACCACTGCACTCCACCCTGGGTGACAGAGTGAAGGCCTGTCTCAAACAAACAAACAAACAAAAACAACAAAATTCTTTTGAGAGAAAGGGAGCAAAAAGTTTGCAGACCCCTGCCTTCGGGATCCAAGGAGCACAGTCTGTTCACCACTGAGAGATACAATTTCCATTCATTTACAGAGGGAAGAAGAGAAGAGTCCCTTCTCTGTGGAAGATGCCTCTTCCCTCCACTCCAAGGGCAGATAATCATCCTATGAACCCAGGGGCAAATAATCATCCCATCAACCCAAGAGACAGGTCCTATTATCTCACTTTACTATAGGGCATTTAGGTTTAAATTTAATTAGGTTGGGAGTTGAACACAGGTAGTTTACTCCAAAGTCCATTCTCTTAACCACTATGTTGCCTGCACCACTTTCATACACAAGGTCTTTGGTGATACGACCTCTCTGGCCCACACCACATAACTCACCCATTGTGAATGTTATAGCCCTGCCTTTCTGAAATTCTATTATTTCCACTACCCAAAGTTCCAAGCTTTCTTCCCTTATCTGAAAAATTTCTCAATGTTTTGCCTCTACTCCCTTAAAGGTGGGGATCTTTTTATTTTTTATTTCTATTTTTTAGACACTGAGTCTTGCTCTGTTGCCCAGGCTGGAGTGTTGTGGTGCAATCACAGCTCACTGCAGCCTCAAAATCCTTGGCTCAAGTGATCCTCCAGCCTCAGCCTCCTGAGTAGCTGGGACTACAGGAGCATGCCACCATGCCCAGTTAATTTTTTTTTTTTTGTATTATTTTTTGTAGAGACAGGGTCTCCTTATGTTGCCCAAGCTGGTCTCAAATTCCTGGCCTCAAGTGGTCCACCCTGCTCAGCTTCCCAACGTGCTGGGATTACCTGTGTGAGCCACTGCATCCAGCCTAGGTCGATCACCTCCTAATTATCCAATAGATCTCAACTCAGATATAATTTTCATACTTCAGAAAGACATCCCTGACTCTTCTCCTCAACACCCAGGAGGGCAAAATGAAATAGCACAAAAACTGAGTTAGATGTTCCTCCTATTGTCCCCAGAGCACTCTGAACTAACTTCTCTCATGGCACCTACTTGCCCCTCCCTGCATCCAAATTAAACTATAAGTTCTTGGAGAGCAAGAACGCCTCTTTTTTTTTTTTTAAGGTGTGGTATCTACAGTGCCTAGCACACAGTAGAACACTTAATAAGCATCTATTGAACAAATAAGTTATCTATTTAAAATTACTCATATGTGCAATGATTTACCTTTTTTTCTGGTGATTGAGTCTTCCTGTCTTCAAGTTGTACTGAATACTTAACACTGGACTTGTTTATCACTTCCATAGCTTTTAAAAACAACAAAAAAGAAACATGGGGCATTAAAGAAACATTGATATCTAAGTCACACAGTTAACTAAACACTGAAATAACCTCTATAATCATGCTTATTTATTCATTATTAACTTACTTAAAACAATGTAATAAAATTCACAAGTAAAATGCTTAGTACCATTGCAATAAATATTTATGTAAAGTACCTTCAAGTTAACTGAAGATAACTCTATATAATCATAAAACATTTATTAAAAATCATTATTTGACATTTGCATTTGAATACATGACTCTAAAAACCCAAGGTCAACTTTTATAGAAACCTTAAAAGGATTAAAGGTTTGGGGAAATTCTTAGACTGAATACTGCAGTGGAACAATTGAAGGTTCAGTAAAACATCATTAAAACAAACTTCTAATTTAGATTTTGATTTAATTTCAATAAGCCTGGGCTGAACAGTAAGTGACAGAACCAGGATCCAATCCCAGGCAATAGGATTTGGGAGTCTGTGCTCTTAACCACTGTGACATACATTTCCTCTGCAGGAACAATAACAACCTGAAATGCAAATAGGGGAAAATATTTCACTTACAATATAAAAACATTATACTTAGGATAAATATAACAAAAAAGATACAAGGCCCTCAATGATGAAAATGTAAAATCTTATTAAATGGCATAAAAAAAGATCTGTACAAATGAAAAGACACAGCATTAGGATATAGATCACAAAATGTTTAATTCTTCTAAATTTAAGGCAATTCCAATTGGAGACCCTACAGGGATATTTTAATTTAATAAAATAATTTCAAAGTACGAAAAGACAAGAAATGTAAGCTTAGGCCGGGCGTGGTGACTCACGCCTGTGATCCCAGCACTTTGGGAGGCTGAGGTGGGTGGATCACCTCAGGTCAGGAGCTCGAGACCAGCTTGGCCAAAATGGTGAAACCCCACCTCTACTAAAAATACAAAAATTAGCCAGGTGTGGTGGCAAGCACCTGCAATCCCATCTACTTGGGAGGCTGAGGCAGGAGAATTGCTTGAACCCGGGAGGTGGAGGTTGCAGTGAGCCGAGATTGCGCCACTGCACTCCAGCCTGGGTTACAGGGCAAGACTCTGTCCTGGGAAAAAAAAAAGTAAGCTTAAAAAAGAGAGAGAGAAAAGACCTCTAGAAGAGAACAGACAACCCAGAGACTGATCCCAAGACTTTATATACAACAAAGATAGTATTTCAATTCAATAGAAAAGGATAGATTAATTAATAGGGCTGGTATAACTAGCACCACATCAAAAAGAAAATAAATGCATTGGGAAAACTATTTGGAACAAAAATGACAAAGGGTTAACTGCTATATTATACAACAAGTTCTCATACATTTACAAGATAAGACAAACAATTCAACAGAAAAATGAGCAAAGAATAGGAAGAGGCAATACACAAAACAGAAAACCCAAAGAGGAAACAAATACAATACTCAGGGAAACGCAAATTAACTATAACTGGAAACACAGGGGAAGAGGTAGTCTCATGTATTGCTGGTAAAAATGTAAATAGACTCTTTCTAGAAGGCAAACTGTCAAGACTTATTAAAATTAATAATGCATACATCACTTTGGGAGTTGGGTGGAGAAAGTGACCCACAGGGAGCTCAAGATGGGCCTCTGGGAATGCTAGTTATGTTTCCTGAACTGGGTTTGGGTTTGTGAAATTTTGACCTAAACTAAACTTAGGATATGTGTGCTGTTTTATATATATACACACACACATATACACATACATATACATATATATGTATATACATATACATATATATGTATATACCTCAGCCATATATATATGAGAGACAGAGTGCTCTTGCCTTAACAAAAACAGATAGGAAATAATATCCATCATCTAACCAAATAATCTCTAACCAAATAATCTCACTCTTGGCTGTTTCACAGAAATATATGCAACAGTAAACAGGTTTAAACCAAAATGTTTATAGCAGTATTGCTCATTATGGCAAAGGACTGAAAATAAAGTAGATACCAATCAGAAGAAAACTGAGGAATAAATTACATAATATCCACATCATGAAATACATAGCCACTAAAAAGAATGACCTTGTTAAAACATAGATTGCAGGGGGGAAAATGACTCCAGCTATAGTGGTTGACTGAAGATGATGACCTCATTTTTAAAAATAATGACCAAATCTCCCCGCTTATGCACACGAAGATGTTACGCACATAACACTCGGGTACCCTGGGAGACCACCTCTGTGATGAAGGTTTGCATTTGAAAAGGTGATTGGAGAGTGAAGGAAGCAGAATCCAACCAAGGAAGACAATGGCTAAGATGCAGTCACTCAAAGGCCTGCCCTGAGCTGAGCATGGTCCTACAGATGTGTCTCCCAATGGGTCAAGACAGCTGGGCTTTTATACCCCTGCACAAACTAGTCACTGGACCAGTCACTCCTGGGGAAGGGGTGGGCCCTTGGGCAAAGAAGTTCTTTGCAGCCAGGCAATCAGGGAGGGGCTGTCCCAGGAGCAGGGACAGTGCTTCAGTACTAAAGGGGCATATGGGAACCACAGTGCTTGCTACACTCCACACTGCACTGCTCATAGCCACTTGCTTCAGGGACGTTCTGGGAGCAGCTCCTGTAGGATTCTGGCGGGCCTTTTCCTTGGGAAATTTATAAAAGGAAGGCACTGGGATGAACTACATCTTGCTGCAGCTGGCCTCAAGGTTGCAAATTACATTCATCTCCCTCCTCTACTGCCCATGCTAACTCCTCACCCTTGCCTATCTCCTCTGCTGCTCTAGGTGGCTTAGCTTACCTGATCAGGTAACCCAAACCCTCATCCCTGAGAGGTAAGCCCCTGGCCACCATGCCCTTCTCTGGCCATAGCCCCAGCATTTGCCATCAAATTTGGGCAGGGGACCATGAGGTGGCCAATCACATCACCTGGGTGCTTCCCTGCCCCCAGTTATGTAGTAACAGCTCTACCTCCACCTGACGCCCACGGTCAGCCACCCCAGAAGATGGAAATTACATTCCTTGCCAGCCAGTCTCTTGGCACAAGGAGCTCAAAATGACCAGACAGCAGCCACAGCTGGAAATTAAATGGCGTTCTTCCTGTGCCCCTGCTGGAAAGGTTTTCCCTTTGAGAGTCAAGACCTTTAAACCTTAAGAACCCAGAGGAGTGTGAGGGAGAAATACAGATTTCTAAGTGGGTCACTGGGAGTGATGACTTTCACCTTTTGGTTCCCAGACCCATTTATTACACAAACCAAGGACACTGCACCACGTACTGGTTAGTGATTTGCAGTGCAGACTGCACCCTGGAGGTGACTGCTTCATCACAGGTGTCACCTCCAGGCTGCACACGAGGTGAGCTGTGCCTTCCACAGACCATCCTGCTGCTCCATCAGGCTGGCAGCTTCTTGGTGTGTGGCTGTGAGGGAGACAGTGAGTCCTACTCTCATGTGCCCACTGCTGCAGTTCCTTGGCTGAGCGCAGGATCCTGTGGATCAAACACTCTGTGAAACTTGGGTGATGGAGCTGACTGAATCCATGAGAATGGGAAAGGCAAACCCATGCCTGTAACGTGTGTTGGTTCTGGCCAAGATGAATCACTGTACCTTCTAGGGCACAAGGGGTTCAGTGTTGTCAAATGACTGTTTCCCTCCAAGGAAGGTACAACTGGGGACTCAGTGTTTGGTCTCTGTTGCTGGAAGATTGGATGTTCTGCAGAGAAATAGCTAGGTCAGCTCTGGTGAGGGGGAGCCCCATGCTATGGGCCATGCACAGCATCTACCCACCCCATGATTACTCCATGAGAGAGCCCAGTGTGCCAGCATGGGCGCAGCAGATGGCAGAGGCTAGATGTCAACTGGCCAAGTCATCCTATTAATGTGGTGGTTTGGTGTGTCCCCATGGTGAATGTTCTTGGGTGGGAAGTACTTCGTGACTGTTCCCACAGATCCCTCCACATGCCTTACTCCAGGAACTCCCTGATCTTCCAATCTTTCTCATTCCAGGTACCTGAGCAACCTGTCAAGCCACTAACCGCTGCCCAAGAGTTCCAAATGTGTTAACACTGGGGCCACTTCTCCTTCCACACAAAGTAGATAGTCAAGGGGCACCACCCAACGTTCTACCCATTGGGTTTCCCTTGAGCACTGTCTTCCAGGGCTGCCTAAATCAGGCTGTTCAGAGCCCACCCACCATGAACCAAGCTCTAACTTTTCCTGCCTCCATCAGCTGGTCTTAAGGCTGCCCCCGTCAGAAGTACCAGTGCCAGCACCAATGATGTCATGGGTTCTGGGCCACATGAAAAGCTTGGTTGTGCCTGCTTGTACCTAGTACTAAATGAGCCACTTCCAACTTGCAATGGACAGCTGCATGCCCACCTCTCAGTGGGTCTGACAGAACCAGCTCATGCTGGCAGTTCTGGCTCATGGTCACTTGATGTCACCATGGCCTCACGCTCCATCTCTACCAGGGCCCAGTAGCATGACAGTTTTGTTTTTGAAAAATTTATAATTTGTTTCTGCAGATAGCATTGCCTTGCTCCAGAGTTCTAGGAGTCTGCATTGAGATTCTTCTGTTGGGGCTTTGCCTTAAGCTTCACATGGCATCTTTCCCCACTACAGATACCTCTAACATCACAAGGTCTGTTGGGTTGGAAGTCCAAGTAGCTGAGCCACTTGCTTCACAGCCTAGGCCTCTTACAGGATGCTTTCCTATGCAGTATTCCCAATGTGGAATATGCTGCCTCCACTCCCTAAACCCAGAGATGCCTATCAGGTGTTATGGTTCACTCTTAATGGTTATGTGGTTAACCACGTTGCAGGATGACTCGACCAGTTAACATCTTCATTCTTAATGCTTCATTCTTAAAAATGCAGTAATTTAGCCAGGTGTGCACTTGTAGTCCCAGCTACTCGGGAGACTGAAGCAGATCACTTTGACCCCAAGAGTTTGAGGCCAGCCTGAGCAACACAGTAAGACCCAGTCTCTTGGGGAAAAATAAAAAATAAAAAAAGGTGGCCAGGCGTGGTGGCTCATGCCTGTAATCCCAGCACTTTGGGAGGCCAAGGCAGGCGGATCATCTAAGGTCGGGAGTTCGAGACCACCCTGACCAACATGGAGAAAGCCCGTCTCTACTAAAAATACAAAAAAAAAAAAAAAAAATTAGCCAGGCATGGTGGCGCATCCCTGTGATCCCAGCTACTTGGGAGGCTGAGGCAGGAGAATCGCTTGAACCTGGAAGGCGGAGGTTGTGGTGAGCTGAGATTGTGCCATTGCACTCCAGCCTGGGCAACAAGGGTGAAACTGCCTTAAAAAAAAAAAGGCACTAATTTGTCCTTTACTTGCAAGGGGATATCCTACCTATCCTCAGACCACTGAACTTCCAAAAACTTCATGGTTGTGGTGGGCCCCAGAATATCTGTGTGCTTATCTCCCATGTTTTGGACAGCAAGACAGCTAACAAACTTGCCATTTCTTGCTTATGCTGATTGGCATGATGTCATCAAAACAGTGGGTGGCGGGATAACATAGCACTGGGGCAAGGTGCAAATTTATATTGTCCATTCAGAGTGAATATTTCTGCAGGGATGGAAAAGAATGTGTTCACCAAATCAATAATTGCATTTCATATACCTGAGGCCTTGTTAATTGCATATGCCACATCCAGCCCACCAGCTGTCATTAGGGCTATAACTTGGTCACAACTATTTGTGGTGTCAATTGTTATTCTCCAGGATCTGACTTCTGTGAGCACCTACCTGGTGAATTAAATGAACATATGACAGGGACCACCCTGTGCCCTGAATCCTGTAGGGGTTTAAGGATGGCACTAACTTCTGCCATTTCTCCTAGGTTGCCATATTGCTATACTAATTCACTATCTTTGCTGGGAAGGCAGTTTCAGCGTCATCCACTTGAGCTTACTCACTAGGAGAGCTCTCATCCTCAGGCCAAGGAGCCAGTACCTGAGGGTTCTTCCAACAGTCTGTTCATTCCAAATAACATGTGGGGACTTGGAAAATGGCTTCGGAGTGAGCCCTCCCATTATAGTGTAATCTGGGCCAAGGTTCCATTTATTGCTTGAGTCCTTGCGCCTCTGACGGAGAAACCATGATGATACTTTAGGTCTCCAGGTATCAATATCATATGAATGTTTCAGTATCCCTTTCCCCCTTGTATAAGTTCCCAGAGTAAATGGCCACAGGTTTCCCTGGCGGAAAGACAGGAAAAATAACTGCCATATACACTCACTATGGTGTTGCATAATCCTTCCTCCTGGGGACCTGGCCTCTCCTTCAGTCAGTTGGTTCCAGGTCTGAAGTCACTTTACGAGAACTGTATCTACCCTGCTTCTGACAGGCAGCACCACCTGGCCTCTATGTCAGGATCCTATCTCCCTGACTGTTATCAGGAGGCATCTCCTATTATCAGCCCTGGTCTATAGCAGACACCACTGAGATTCTCAGTGAAGCCGATGCTCCCCACTCCCTCATCAGCTTTCATTATTGCTTCGGTAAATAGAGCATCCAGAGCGCCCTTCTGCAGAACAATGTTACCTGCTGAGTTTCCCAGCCCTCCACAATATGGCCATTCTAGCATGTCCACCTCTCCTGGCTTTTCATGCCTTCTTTTACCATCTGCCCTGGCAGTTCTAATCTTTCTCCTTCACTTAGTATGAACCCTCTCCTACAAGGAACTAAAAGCCATCCTAGCAGTATGTTGGCACCACCTCTTGGAATCTTCATCGGGTTGTCAAATCCAGTGTCTCTGAAGTGATCCCGCATAAATAAACTCTCCCTTATCCAACCTTAGTTCCACCTGCCTTGATCCAGCACCCTCAGACCCAGCCCACCATAGGTACTCTCCCAGGCCTGCTTGTATATGGCCAGTTAGGTCCTGCAGTTCCTTTGGAGTAGAATCTCTTTCGTCCCTGTGCCAGTTATCAACATACTGTCTCCCAGCTACAAATTCGCCTCTCAGCTACAAATTCACCCCTCGTTGCACCCCACGCCCTACAGAAAATACACCTCCTTTGCCACCTGGCACGATGTTAAGCTCCGTCAGCAGAGGGTGCTAGAGGGACGCTGTCAGAGATGAGGCCTCTGCTGTGCTTTGCTTTGCTTTCCTTTCTTCTTGCTCCTGCAGCTCTTAACCAGTGTACTAGACACCCATGAGCAGCCCCACTGGCCACTTCCCAGCTACTTCTGCAGACATTCTAGCCAGCCCTCCAGCAAGTTTCAGTCAATCCCCGTGGGCAGCTTCCTACTGAGTTTCACAAGCACCCCTACCAACTTCTCAGTGAGTTTAGTGATACCCCATAGGTGGGTTCCCACTTGCCAGACTGACTGGCACTTCAGCCAACTTCTTGGCCACCCAGTGGGCTACATCCACAACCTCTGACAGTCTGAATCTCGGCCTTGAGGGGAGAGACCCTGCTAAATTTGTCCCTTCCTTCGGCACCCCACTTCAGCCCTAGCAGGGGAGGCTGCTCCCTGTCTGCTCTTGCTGGATTCTTTAGAGTTTTCTCTAAAGCTATTCCTGGTAGCTACTCCTGCTAGTTAGTAATGCCTTAAACATTCCCTGTTCAAATTACTCTACGGTTTCTGTCCCTTGACTGGACTGTAACAGGCCCAGTACTTTTCGACAGGGTTATTTTGTGACTTAATGACCAGGAGAGGAGGAGGGGGCCGCAAAAAAGAAAAAGCCTGAACAAAACATTTATGAATCTTTTCACAATTTCTTATGAAATGACATACGTATGCATGTGTATAACTATACAAAAAGATCTGGGGAATTATGAACTTTGTTTGTTTTTTCTGTTTCTCCCTCCCCATCCCAAAAACTTCTCCTGAAGTATTATTACATAATGACGGAGCATGTCTTATTTTTCAAGACAGAAGCTCTCCATTGTTCTCCAGCAAAGGTGGGGGGAAGCGCTCAGGGTGGGGCCATTTCTGCAGGTCTCAGAGGTATCTGATACTCAAGATTTATTTTTTAAATAAAATTTATTATTATTATTTTTGAAACAGGGTCTCACTCTGTTACCCAGGCTGGAGTGCAGTGGCACAATCTCAGCTCCCTGCAACCTCCACCTCCCAAGCTCAAGCAACAGTCCCCCTTCCTCAGCCATCCAAATAGCTGGGATTCCGTGCCATCATGCCCCACTAATTTTTTGCAGAGATAACTGTGAAAGGAAAATAAAATCTTGGGAATCCCAAGTCACTAAGCTAAAGGGAAAAGTCAAGGTGGGAACTGCTTAGGGCAAACCTGCCTCCCATTCTATTCAAAGTCAAATTCTATGCCTCTGAGGTTCACCTGAGACAAATGGGGATCTGATTGCTTCCCCTCCCCACTGTTTATGTAAAAATACAGATTCACTAAATTGTGTATTCAGTGGAAGGCTGATCAAGGACTCAAAAGAATGCAACCTTTTGTCTCTTACCTACTTTTTGTTTGTTTTTGAAACAGAGTCTCATCCTATCCTTCAGGCTGGAGTGCAGTGGTGTGATCTTGGCTCACTGCAACCTCCACTTCCTGGTTCAAGGGATTCTCCTGCCTCATCCTCCCGAGCAGCTGGGATTACAGGCACCTGCCACCATGCTCGGCTAATATTCGATTTTTAGTAGAGACAGGGTTCCACCACGTTGGCCAGTCTGGTCTTGAACTCCTGACCTCAAGGGATCCACCCGCCTCAGCCTCCCAAAATACTGGGATTACAGGGGTGAGCTATCGCACCTGGCCCCTCTTATCTAATTCTAACCTGGAAGCCCCCTCTTCGAGTTGTCCCGCCTTACCAGACCGAACCAATTACATCTTACACATATTGAGGTTTCATGTCTTCCTAAAATGTTTAAAAGCAAACTACCCCCAGCCACCTTGGGCACGTCTCAGGACTTCCTAAGGCTGTGTCATAGGCATGTCCTTAACCTAGGCAAAATAAACTTTCTAAATTGAGACCTGCCTGTTATTTTGCATTCACATGGGTTTCGCCATGTTGCCCAAACTGGTCCGATACTCAAGATTTTTTTTTTCTTGGCTCCCTGTGGTATTTCAATCAAGATTTAAATATACCAATCCAAAGGTTCCCATCCTGTATCTCAGGGTCTGGTCCCTCTTTCCTCAGATCAAGACCTTAATCTTGGCCAGGTGGAGGTGGCTCATGCCTGTAATCCCAGCACTTTGGTAGGCTCAAGATGCCCAGGAATTCGAGACCAGACTGGGCAGCATGGTGAAACCCCATGTGTACTTAAAAAACAAACAAACAAAAAAAAAACTAGCCGGGCATGCACACCTGTAGTCTCAGCTACTCAGAAGAATCACCTGAGGTCCGGAGGCGGAGGTTAAAGTGAGCCTGATCAGACCTCCAGCCTAGGTATCACCAAAAAACAAAAAACAAAACAAAACAAAAACCCCTAGCACACCACCAGGGCTGAAAATTCAAGTTTCTCTGGAGCAATCAGGACTAAGTCTTGGGTCTACGGCTACAGGCTGTCACTTTATAGGCTGCCCAGGAAGCCCTCTGGCTTTCACGTTTAGCCTTTAATTGCTTATCACCCACGGCCTTTTTTTTTTTTTTTTTATTTTTCCACAGGATCTATTATTCCCAGCCACAGCCATCCAATTCCATTGTCTTCAACTGCCTTGTACTTCTCAGATGTGCAGTATTGTCCCAGCTGGTGCAGCTGCTCCCACTAGTAAGCCAGACAAACCCACCTTGAGCCAAAATTTTAACTCCACTGCTACCATCTGTATTGCACCCACAACTTGTGATGAGGTCATCAGTGCCAGCTTACCTGCGGGAGACCAAACTCCAAAATCACATGTCTACTTTCTCAGACCACTCCTGCCACCAACTGTAGCAGATCAGGTTCCCTGAGACTGAGATTTGTCAGCAGAAAGTTTACTGGGGAGTGGCCTTGGAGATCAGAAGAATGGAGCCTGGGGAAGCTGAAATGTGATACATTGCAAGAAATGCCTCAGCCAATGCCACCTGACGAGGGGGGTTGGGTTGGCACAGATATATACAAGCCATAATTACAGTCATGCAGGGATATGTTCTGAGAAATGCATCATTAGGTGATTTCATTGTTATGAAAACATCATAGATCAAGGGTCCCCAACCCCTGAAGTGAGGACCAGTACCTGTCTGTAGTCTGCTAGGAACAAGGCCACACAGCAGGAGGAGAGCAGCAGGTGAGTGAGCATTCCCACCTGAGTTCCGCCTCCTGTCAGATAGGCAGCAGCATTAGATTCTCATAGGAGCAAGAACTGTACTGTGAACTGCACATGCAAGGGATAATAGGTTGCGAGCTCCTTATGAGAATCTACCGCCTGACGATCTTAGGTGGAACAGTTTCATCCCAAAAGCATCCACCCGACCCCCATCCCGTGGAAAAATTGTCTTCCATGAAACCAGTCCCTGGCGCCAAAAGGTTGGGGACTGCTGTCATATAGTGAACTTACACAAACCTAGATGGCATAGCTTACTACACTCCTAAGCTGTATGATCTAGCCTGTAGCTCAAACCTGTACAGCATGTACTAGGCTACAAAGCTGTACAGCATGTTACTGCACTGAATACTGTAGGCAACTGTAACACAACAGTAAGTATTTGTGTATCTAAACATAGGTAAAAATACAGTATAAAAGATTAAAAAATGGTACTTATATAGGGCACTTACCATAAATGGAGCTTGCAGGACTTGGCATTTGCTCTGGGTGAATCAGTGAGTGGGGAGTAAGTGTGAAACCTTAGTGCATTACTGTACACTGATGTAGACTTCACAAACACTATACACTTAGGACACACTAAATTTATTTTTAAAAATTTTCTTTCTTCAATAATAAATTAACCTCAATGTACTTTAACGTTTTTTACTTTATACACTTTTAAATTTTTTAAACTTTTGAACTCTTTTATAACATTTACCTTAAGACAAAAACACATTGTACAGCTGAACAAAAATATTTTTTCTTCATATCTTGATTCCATAACCTTTTCTCTATTAAGATATTTAACTTTTTAAAAAATGTTCTTAACTTTCTTAAAACTAAGACACACACACACATTAGCCTAGGCCTACACAGGGTAAAGAGCATTAGTATCACTGTCTTCTACTTCTGTATCTTGTCCCCCTGGAAGGTCTTCAGAGGCACTAATACATATGGAGCTGTCACTTCCTATGATAAGAGTACCTTCTTCTGGATACCTCCTGAAGGACCTGCCTGGAGCTGTTTTACAATTAGCTTTTTTTTCATAAGAAGGAGTATACCCTAAAATAATGATAAAAAGTATATATAGTATCGTAAATATATAAACCAGTAACACAGTCATTTGTTTTCAAGTACTCTGTACTACATATAATTGTATATACAATTATACGTAGTATAGTACAGTGTAGTAGGCTATGCCATCTAGGTTTGTGTAAGTTGACTGTATGACATAGCTATATACTATATACAGAGTGCTATACTTTTATACACCTGGTAGTGCAGTAGGTTTGTTTACGCCAGCATCACAACAAAAACATAATGCAGCTGGGTGCGGTGGCTCATGCCTGTAATCTCAGCACTTTGGGAGGCCGAGGTGGGAGGATCACCTGAGGTCAGGAGTTCAAGATCAGCCTGGCCAACATGGTGAAACCCTGCCTCCACTAAAAATACAAAAATTAGCCAGGCGTGGTGGCAGGCACCTGTAATGCCAGCTACTCAGGAGGCTGAGACAGGAAAATCACTTGAACTGGGAGGTGGAGGTTGCAGTGAGCCGAGATTGCACCACTGCACTCCAGCCTGGGTGACAAGAGTGAAACTCTGTCTTGGGAAAAAAAAAAATGTAATGCATTGTGCTATGATAACAGTACAGCTATGATGTCACTAGGAGACAGGAATTTTTCAGCTCCATTATAATCTTATGGGACCACCAACATATATACGGTCTGTCGTTGACCAAAACATCATTCATTATGCAACACATGACTCTCCAACCATATAAATTATAATCATAGAAAAAAATTAACAAAAATATAAAAGGCACATACTAAGTTGTTAACATGGGTTAACAATAAGGGAGAGGGTTCGACAAGCAAAAAAAACCTTGAACCTTCTCACAATTTTATATTAAAACTATGTATGTATGCATGTATATAAATATGTAAAAAAAAATTTAAGAAAAATGTCTTTGGGAAGCCGAGGTGGGTGGATCACTTGAGGTCAGGAGTTTAAGACCAACCTAACCAACATGGCGAAACCCCGTCTCTACTAAAAATACAAAAATTAGCCAGGCATGGTGGTGGGCGCCTGTAATACTGGCTACTCAGGAGGCTGTGGCAGGAGAATCCCTTGAACCCAGGAGGGGGGGTTGCAGTGAGCCGAGATCGCACCACTGTACTCCAGCTTGGGTGACAGAGCAAGACTCCAACTCAAAAAAAAGAAAGAAAAGAAAAGAAAATTGTGTGGAATTACAGATTTTAGTTTTTTGTTTGTTTTTTCTAAAAAAAAAAACAAACACTTTTCCTAATGTATTACAAAAAGACGCCCCAAAAATGTTGTGGAAAAAATTTATAATACTAAAAAAAAATAGTAGGCCAGGCAGGCACAGTAGCTCATGTCTGTAATCCCAGCACTTTCAGAGGCTGAGGCAGGAGAATCGTGTGAGCCCAGGAGTTTGAGACCAGCCTGGGCAACATAGCAAGACCTCGTCTCCACACAAAAATAAAAAATTAGCCAGACACAGTAGCAAGTGCCTGTAGTCCCAGCTACTCAGGAGGCTGAGGTGGGAAGATTGCTTGAACCTGGGAGGTTCAGGCTGCAATGACCTGTGAACTCCAGCCTGGGCGACAGAGCAAGACCCTGTCTCGAAAAAAAAAAAAGTAAGTTTATCTCTCTCCCATGTTCTGAGGTGAATGGTCTCAGTAGGTGGTATAGCTGTTTTTTAAAGTCACTCAGGGGCCCAGGATCCTTCTAGCATGTTGTTCCACAATCCTCTAGGACACTGTTATCATTTGCAGGGTTGGAGAAGAATCATTTCAGCTCCAACCGATGGGAAGCAAAGAGGCCAGAGAAGCAGGCAGGCTGTCTTGGAGCCTCCCTTGGAAATGGCACCCGCTGAGCTCACAACTCACTGACAGGCACCTGGCCACTTGGTCAAACCTGACTGCAACAAGACTGAGCCATGTAGTGTAATTGTGTGCCTCAGAAAACAAGGATGGATTCAACGTGGTAAGAAATGAGTAATCGCTGCCAAAAAGTTATCTGGAATAATTTAAAATGCCCATGATTATGAAGTGGTTGCCATAAAAGGCAGGATAATTAATGGTTACATTTCAGCAGGGAGAGATTTTAATTGAGAAGTAAATTTTGAGGTGTTGGCAATGTAAGTGGTAGTTACATGGATGTTCTCTTACATTAATGTGTTTTGCATTTTTAGTGTTTTTCATGACAAAGTGTTTCTAAATAAGGATCTATACTTGTTTCAAGAAGATATAACAGTCCAATCTTTACTGAATGTGTATCTTGAGTCACCTCAGTCAGTCTAGCAGATAAGAAAATTAGACCCCAAAATGACAAGTATCACAGGTTTAATACAGTTTGGTGTGACTTAGTGTTTGTAAAAGTAAATATGTGTAGTTTATTTCCATTAATTTCTGAGTTGAAATTCCATATTTATTTGGTATGAAATAGGCTCATGGAAATAAAAGGCTAATTTACAATATTTTTCTTAGAAGAATTTGACATAACAGCTCAGTATTTCACAAGAATCCAGAGTCAATTAAAACTTTAGGTCCAGCATCACTCATCAATAATCCACCAGCAATCCAACTTTAATTTGGATTCATATGATGAAGGAATAAAACTGGTGAGAATCTGTGGTGGAAAGACTCCAAGGTGGCCCTATGATCCCTGCCTCTTGGTATCATGTCCTCACATAACCCCAAACCGCTTTGAGGGTGAATGGGACTATTGATTAGCTTCTAACCAACAGAACACACCAAAGGCAGCAGCATGTATTTGATCACATTATATAAAACTGTAATGTCAGTGCTGCTAGGGAAAGTGAGCTGCCATATTGTAGGTTGCCCACATAGAGGATCACATGACAGGAACTGGGGATGCCTTCCAGACACCAGCCAGTGAGAAACTGAGACCCTTGGTCTGAAAGTCTACAAGAAACTGAATTCTGTCAACAACCATGTGAGCTTAGAAGAGAATGCTTCCCCACTGCAGCCTCAGGAGAGACACCAGACCTGGCTGACACCTGGAGTCCACCCTTGCAGAGGACCTAGCAGAGTCAGGTCCAGGCTCCTGACGCACAGAAACTGTACAACAATAATTGTGTTTTTTAAGCCAATAAGTTTGTATTAATAATGTTATACAGCAATAGAAAATACAAAATCCTTATGAAAATTCCACTATTTTTACAAATCCAAGAGAGAAAAGTAGTATCATATCTTTTTCTATTACCTTCTCAATAACCTTAACAAACAAAAGCCAGAATTTTAACGGGGTATTTTATTTTCAGAGATGAGATCTTGCTATGTTGCCTAGGCTGGACTCGAACTCCTGGGCTCAAGTGATCGTCCCAGGCATTAACAATGTATTTTAGAACAACAATAAGAGCTTATATGAGATGGACTGACTGTCGTAAATTTTTCATCAGAGCCTCATATTATAGCTGCCAGAGGCATTTCATTATTCTTACCGGTTTTTGAAGGGGAGTATATTTCCACCTCTGTCAAGTATGCACCCTCTATTATTCAAAAAAATATGGAATAATGTGATTATGATAGTGTCTTACACTATCAATTGCTAGGCATGTAATTCACACTCAAAAATTCTTACCAGTTTATTAGTGACTTCTACTATAATAAAGTATATAAGCAACAGATGCCTCAATATGAATGGATCAAAACGTTAAGTGCAAATGTATCTTAATCAAGATGTGTTTATAAGAGCTTTTGTGCTAATATTCGGCAATACTCTCAATTATTTCAATGCAATTTCATTACTCAATTATATCTCACTCACTTATACCTTATTTTGTAGAAAGAGAAACCAACCACAAACTATTGGCCCAGGCTTGCAAATTTAAAATAAAAACTGCTTTGCTAGTAGCAAAAAAAAAAAAAAAACACCAACAAAAAACAAAACAAAAAAACACCAAAAGCCCTGATGTTATAAACATTTCAGTGACATTTGTGAGCATATCACTGCTTTCACTTTTTTTTTTTTTTTTTTTTGAGATAGAGTCTCACTCTGTCGCCCACGCTGGAGACCTCAGCTCACTGCAAGCCCCGCCTCCTGGGTTCATGCCATTCTCCTGCCTCAGCCTCCCAAGTAGCTGGACTACAGGCGCCTACCACCACTCCCAGCTAATTTTTTGTATTTTTAGTAGAGACAGTGTTTTACCGTGTTAGCCAGGATGGTCTCGATCTCCTGACCTCATGATCGCCGACCTCGGCCTCCCAAAGTGCTGGGATTACAGGCGTGAGCCACCGCACCCGGCCCCACTGCTTTTACTATTATACCACATCATAAATCCATATACACTGATCCAATAATCCTTGCCACCTAAGAGTTTACATTTCTATAGCAGCACAATACACATATTGTCAAAAACATATCTCTTGTTCACCACACAAAATAGCAAATACTATGTACAGGTTTGATGACCTGAGAACCAAGATTAAAGCATCTCTTTTGAAAATACTAAAATACCTGATCCAGATTCTAAGGGAATGTTTGACAGAAATACCTGGAATAAGGAAGAGAGTGTTACATTTTTAAAGCAATGAAGGTTAAGGGAACACGAAAGTTAGCAAGCAGAAGCTCAGTCTGCACTGAATGAGTGTAAAAGGGGCGGGAGCTGGGCTTCATCTGTCTACATGCATTCCATTTTCAATTCTTAGTCTTTAGAACAATTAACATTCAAAGTATCAAGAGAAAGAAAGGTTCATAAAAATTACTTACTCTCTGTACTCTTTCCCCAAGTCTTAGAATCCACTAAATCACCTGAATGCATAGCAGACATAATCTTCTGAGCAACACTGGAGAGCGGTGTATTACAGAGATCAAAGCCTACCAATGCCTCATAATTTTCCATTTTCACAAAATCCTAAATGTAAGATTAACATAAGATAAATCCCATATATTAATCCTAAGACTATAAAACAGGAAATACAATTATTTTCAAAAATTTATATACCAACTTTCATTTAAAATGTCTATATTCATAACCACAGAAAATAGGCATCAATCATCCAATAATATAGATAGAAAGAAAAAAGCAAAATAGCTAGAGGCTTAATCCAGGTATCATAGTAAATAGATAACTTATTTTCTAGGTGACCAATTTAGAAGCAATCTACTCAAATACATCCTGAGGTTTGAAAAATGTTATTAAATCTTCAAATAGGCTGAGCGCGGAAGCTCATGCCTGTGATCCCTGCACTTTGGTAGACTGAGGCGGGTGGATCACCTGAGGTCAGGAGTTCGAGACCAACCTGGCCAACATGATGAAACCCCGTCTCTACTAAAAATACAAAAAATTAACCAGGCATGGTGGCACCTGTAATCCCAGCTACTCGGGAGGCCTGAGGCAGGAGAATCACGTGAACCCAGAAGGCAGAGGTTGCAGTGAGCTGAGATCATGCCACTGCACTCCAGCCTGGGCAACAAGAGTGAAACTCCGTCTCAAAAAATAAAAAATAAATAAATAAATAAATAAATCTTCAAATAAACCTACCTAGTAACACAACGATTATAAGTAACTTGGGTAATTACGGCAGACACACAACTACCATCCGTGCCTTGATCTGCCCTGCTGGCCCCCTGGGCTGAGCAAGTCAAGGTTTGGGTGGGGACAGTATAAATCAAGCATCTGGGCAGGGGCATGGTGGCTTACACCTGTAATGCCAGCACTATGGAAGGCCAAGGCGGGTAGATCACTTGAGGTCAGGAGTTTGAGACCAGCCTGACCAACATGGTGAAACCCCGTCTCTACTGAAAATACAAAAATTAGCCAGGTGCAGTGGTGCACGCCTACAATCCCATCTACTCAGGAGGCTGAAGCAGGAGAATCACTTGAACCTGGGAGGCGGAGGTTGCAGTGAGCCGAGATCATTCCACTGAACTCCAGCCTGAGTGACACAGTTAGACTCTGTCTCAAAAATTAACTAATAAATCAAGCGTCTGGCCACACATCTAAATATGTGACACTAATTTAAACAGAATATGCTACCATAAACCAGGAAACCAGGTGACATATTTTCCACATTTTTGGAGAAAATAAAAATTTTAAGTAAATTCTCTATTCCGAAATAGAATAGAAAAAAACATATACAACAAAAAAAAAGTTGCTCAGGTGATAGGGAGCTGATAGCAAAATCTTAAACAAAATTTACTGCTACAAAATTAAGGTTTACATAAAATTTTAAATAACATAAACACAATAATTGGCAAAATATTTTTGTTCAATGGGTTTCAAAAATCAAGAAGGTTCATCTGTCATCTAGGTATGCCTGTTTTCTGATGGTTATAGCTAAAAAATTCCATAAAGACCACCCAAAACATGTAGTTTTTAGATTGGCATTCCATATTACGAACAGGTGAGGAATATTCTTAAAGGTATTCCTACAAAGCTCACATGGTATTTACCACAGGCCATGTATAAATTGGGCACTCAAGAAGCATCTGATGTAATAACAGATGAGCTACTTCAAATTATTTTAGAGCAACGCTTAAAATATTTTCTGGCTGCCCAAATACCATTGTTAAATACAATTAGACATTTTTGCTCTTAAACTGATTAAAATAGTATCATACATCTTTTGAGCAACCACTTTTACAGAATTTTGAAATTCAAATTTCATTTGAAAGTCATTTATGATGTGTAAGTCACATTAAAGTCAAAGCACTGCTCAGCTGTCTTGTAGAAACTTTTGAGTCCCCAGAATTCAGACTCTAAAATGAATGCAGGCAGGCCAAGGAAGTCCTAATACTCTGTGGTACAAGTAGGGACATTAAAACAGCCTAAAGGTCTATAGCAGGGAATTATGGAGGAATACAATTTGAGCAGCAGAATTTTATTTGACAGTCAAACATGAGGGGACTTGGCTATTTCACATATTAAGGTCTACAGATTTAAAAATGCTGACTAGAAGTTCTACACATTTTAAAATATTTAATAGCGGCTGAGCGTGGTGGCTCATGCCTGTAATTCCGGCACTTTGGGAGGCCGGGAGAGGGGATCAAGAGGTCAAGAGATTGAGACCATCCTGGCCAACATGGTGAAACCCCTTTTCTACTAAAATACAAAAAAATTAGCTGGGTGTGGCGGTGTGCGCCTGTAGTCCCAGCTACTTGGGAGGCTGAGGCAGGAGAATCACTTGAACCCGGGAGGCAGAGGTTGCAGTGAGCCAAGATCGTGCCACTGCATTCCAGCCTGGAGACAGAGTGAGACTCTATCTCAAAAAAAAATTTAACGGCAGAAAATTTCTATTTCTAAAAAGGAGAGAGATAACTATATTAAAAAATATTTGCATTATGTAATAATGCTTTTTCCCTGTAAGTAAAAAATTACCAGGACTAAGTACCACTAAACACATGCTCAAGTCATAAAAAGCACTGGTATTCTGAATGTACTACATGAGAAAAAAGACAAATTAATATAATAGTTCAATTCATCAAATTAAATGTTCCATTGACCTCAAATTTTAAAAATTTAGTAGTGTTTATTATACACAGTCTTCTAATAAATAAAAGAGGACACGTAATAAAGATTCAGTTTTCAGTAATTTTCAATCTTCAAGACTAACAGCCTTAATCTTTGATTGAGTTTCTAAATTCTCCACAATATCTTTCAGATAATCTTCATCTTTTAAAAAATATACATAGAATTCTCTTTCCATTTGATGTAATTTATTATTTGCCAAAGTTTTTCTTTTTGTCTTCACATCAGCAAGAATATCAGTGAGGAGATGATTTAGCTTATTCAGTTGAGATTCAACTTTATGAAACTGCTCTGTTAACTCCTAAAAAAGGAAAATAAAAATAAAAATTAAAACACTTTATTCCTAATACCAATTATAAAATTAAAATATAATTTACATGGAAAGACTTTAAAGGACTTAATAACTTCCCGCAATTTTAGCAATAAATAAACCTCGATTTAAAATCCATAACAGGTTTAATATAAATTCTAAGTAAGATTAATTGCAACAACTTCTGATAGATAATTTTAAGTGATTCAAAGGAAACTCTTGCTGAAGTGTACTCGATATGTAAGCTGTTCTGTGCATTCATATATTCAACAAATGCTATTGTGCCAAGTACTGTTTTAGAGATTACTGATACAAGAATAAACAAAATCTCCCTGATGGAGCTTATATTCTGCTTAATAAATCAAACCTTGTTTTAGCCTATTCTCTGTTTATTCTGGACAGAAGGTACAGAGAAAGTTGAAATGAAGACCAATAAAAGAGAATTAGCTCAACACAAATCTCCATTTTTCATTTTTTCATATTGTCTTACCAAATAGAATTACACATGACATTCCACGAAAACCATCCTAATCATATAATTTTCCTGCTCAAGAATCTAGCCATGCCGACCCTTCATATTTATTACAGTAAATTCAAATTCCTCAGTGTCTAGCATTTAAACCAGATTATTAACAAGTTTCCATAGCTTTCTAATCAAGCATTCTACTTATAAATTTTAGCCAGTATCACCAAAGAGGTTCTCAGAAAAATCTGTTGCTCTAACTACCCTCAATTTTCCACAGCTTCTAGGCATAGTCCACAAGTATCATAATTATCTGAGGTACTTGTTATGAATACAGATTCCTGTACCCCCCCACTAGACTAAATTACTTAATCTCTGTACAGAGCTAGGAACCTGCGTTTTGATACGCTCCCTGATGATTCTAATGTACAAGTTCAAGAATGACTACTTAAGACCTGTCATAAATGCCAATTCACAGAGGAGTACTTCTTAAAATACATACTTTTGAAAATCAAGTAATTTCGACATTATATCTACATTTAGTGATATCCTCTAAGACAAACTTGGTAAACTTGAATATACTGAGAAACAACAATCTCATCTTTACCTTCAATTAAATACTAAAGATCATACAGTTGCTAAAACAACATTGCTACAGATACTGAAGTTCAGCTTCATTAATAATAGAAACACAAGTTAAAATTGATACGGCATTTTATATCACATTGAGCTAGGGAAAAACACTAATGATACCCACTGATAAGATTAGAGTGAGATTACCATATTTTAGTGATTCTTGGATGCATTTTTTTTTCACATTTTAACATATCTGAAATGAAGATGCATCTTAATCAAGAACATCATATGATTGTTTCTGGCCAGGTACTCTTAAGAAATACTTTCTCATCAACATTCCTGATACACAGTGTGGAAAATTACAGACAACTCTGAGTCAAAAAATAACAGAAGAATTGAACATTGAAATGTGATGCTTTAGAACTACCCTAACCATTTAAATTGACTTATTTTTTTCCTTTTAACATATGCCCAAGAGTGGTATGATAAAAATCTATGTCTACCTACATCTAAAAAGATCTTTTCTAGTAAGTATGAAAAACAAAAATTCTTAATAAGAAAACATTGTGTTGGTTTAACTAAGAGTTTTTCTTTTTTGGCAATTCATAAAATGATGGCGTGCCATATGGTCAATGGTGTCTAGTAGACACTTATATAGTGCTGGTAGCATTATAAACTCCTTTAAAAAGCAATCTGGCCATATCAAAGGCAAAAAAAAGTGTATATACCACCCTGGCACAAAAAACCCCAATGACCCTATTTCCAAGAATGTATCCAGATGAAAGTATCCAACAACAAAAAGCTATATACACAAAGATACATATGATATTGTTCAAGAGCAAACAAAAGAAAAAAAAGAAGACTATCAAAATACCCAGTAACAATAACCAGCTACAAAATTGATGGCACAGTAATTAAATCAAGACAGTATAGTTAACATTAAAAGTTAAGAAAACTATTTAGAGAGTAAAAATGTTTATTTCATCATGCTAAGTAAAAACAAAACTATGGTCTTTGCTGAGGGTCTTTAGAAGTTAGCACCATGGCAGAAGACATGAAGGTCAAAATTAAGAACTACAGGACTGTCCCATTTGACAGCCACTTTGTCAACTAGAACCAGAACATGAACTGCTGGCAAAACTACCTGGACTTCTACCACTCCAAGACGGCAATGACTGCTAAAGGGGGTGATGTCTCTGTGTGCAAATGGTACTGGCATGTGTGCAAGTCCCTCTGCCCCATATCCTTGGTCTTGACCTGGGACAAAGGCACGTTTCCTGGGAAAATCAGAACTGGCTCCACCCCACCTTTCCTCTGTTCTCCATCCTTCTCCCAGGGTGGTAAACGGGGACCTGGGTACATGATGATCCCTACCCTGGGTCCGTGAATCAGGACTTAACTAATAACAAAAACTTACTGGAAAAGTGTAAAGAAAAGAAAACTATATGCCTTACATTACTAAGCAAAAGAAAAATGGCAAAGGAATATTAATATTAGACAAAACAATATCAAGAGAAAAAGCATCACCAGGAATAGTCATTATGTAATGCTAAATGCTTTGATTCACTGCAATTTAAAACGACCAGGATAATTATTCACTGCAACTTTAAACCTGGATATAACTTATAAAATAGACTCAAAATACATAGAGAAAAAAATGATATACAACTACATGGAGAAATTTTCTTCTTTTTTGACACCAAGTCTTGCTCTGTCGCCCAGGCTGGAGTGCAGTGGCGCGATCTTGACTCACTGCAAACTTTGCCTCCCGGGTTCAAGGGATTCTCCTGTGTCAGCCTCCCAAGTAGCTGGGATTACAGTCACCCGCCACCACGCCCGGCTAATTTTTGTATTTTTAGTAGAGATGGGGTTTCACCACCTTGGCCAGGCTGGTCTTGAACTCCTGACCTTGTGATCCACCCGCCTCAGCCTCCCAAAGTGCTGGGATTATAGGCGTGAGCCACCGCACCCAGCCTATGTGGAGAAATTTTCAAATCCACCATCGCAGTGGAAATTTTTAAATCCACCATCGCAGTGGAAATTTTTACACAATTCTCAATAGATCAAGAAGACAAAAATCAGTAATGGGAGACCTTTCAAAAAACAAATCACAGATACCACTTCACACCCGTTGGGATGGCTACTGTTTTAAAAACCACAGGAAATAACAAGTGTTGGCAAAGATGTGGAGAAACTGGAATTGTGCAGCTGTGAGACATATAAGACCATCATAGCAGTATGATCTATAGTAACAAAAACTGTAAATAACCTAAATGTCTGTCAATCTAACAGATAATTTCATTGTGGAATATCATATAATGGAATACTAACTATACAAAAGAGAAAACTATGAATGAACTATATAGCTTTACGTGTATCAACATGAGTGAGTCTCAAAAACATATTAAGCCATTGAAAAAGCAAG
This sequence comes from Homo sapiens, assembly GCF_000001405.40. Lineage (NCBI taxonomy): Eukaryota > Metazoa > Chordata > Mammalia > Primates > Hominidae > Homo > Homo sapiens. The sequence goes on from NC_000004.12 coordinate 2,235,634, forward strand.
CAAGTCATTGAAGGATACATACCTTCAATATACATGCCTTTGGTATACCACCACCAGTATAATAACAGCACATAAAGTTCAACGACATATAAAACTAAATACACAGTCTAGGAATATATATATATGTGTGTATGTGTGTGCGTAATAAAACTATACATAAAAGCAAGAAAATAATGAACAAATTAAGCATGGTAGTCACTCTTTGAGGATGAGAGAGGAATTATATTAGGAGGAGCATGTACCATTAAGTGTACACAGAGGATTTTAAAGCTATAAAGGCAATCCTGTGTTTGCTAAGATGAGTGAAAAAAAAATACAGAGGCGGTTTTATTTATTTTTTAACACTAGTATAAACATTACATATTCTTTTGTGTCTGAAAAATTATATACATTTTTAAATTTCTGTGCACACTCATCAAAACTATCTGAAAAACATATTTATATGTGAACAAAAATTAGGAGATATAGAAATATACTTTATATTAAGGCAATGAAATTGGGGTAATATTTTCCTCATGTTAACATTTTCTTTAATATCTTTTACAACAAGCATTTTTTTAAAAAGCATTTTTAACTACTATGGCAAATACCCACCTGATCACTAAGCAAAAGCTGATTTCCTCCTTGATACAAAGTATCACAAAGCATGTCCACATCCTTATTCCGTTTGGACAGAAAGAAAGAATGTTCTTGAGCAGATACTGCCAACTGATCTTGTACTAAAGAAATATTCTGTTTCAATTTCTCAGCCACTTCCTCAAGGTTTCCATGAGTTAGAAACAATTCTTTTTTCTTATTCTCTCCCTCCAAAACTTGGTAAAGCCTGAAATGTAAAAATTAAAATTATAGGGAAAAATTATCAAGTCAGTATCATTTTCAAAATTACAATCCACTGTATTGGGGCATTTGTGGGGATAGCTAAGTAACAACTTATAAAAATATTGGCCGGGTACAGTAGCTCACGCCTGTAATCCTAGCACTTTGGGAGGCCAAGGCGGGCAGATTGCCTGAGCTCAGGAGTTCGAGACCAGCCTGGGCAACATGGTGAAACCCCATCTCCACTAAAATACAAAAAAAAAGTTAGCCGGGCATGGCGGCATGCACCTATAGTCCCAGATACTCCGGAGGCTGAGGCAGGAGGATTGCTTGAACTCGGGAGGCAGAGGTTGCAGTGAACCCAGATTGCGCCACTGCACTCCAGCCTGGGCGACAGAGTGAGACTCCGTCTCCAAATAATAATAATAATAATTATAATTATAATAATAATATTATTATTATTTGTGTGCCTGCAAAAATCAAGCAACTGAAACCATTCTAACTGTAATACTATTTCAGTACAGAAATATATATTCTAACTACTACATTAGATAAACAGTCTATTACTGAATTCCCAGTTTCCCCACCATCCAAGTTTTAGATATAAAACTCTTCTTAACTTTAACTGCCACTAACGTACTTCAAAGTGCACTTCAGAGATAACCTCCAAAGAAAACACATGTCTCATAGAATATAACTATGATGTAGTAGAAACAACAGGCTATGGCTCATGCCTGTAATCCCAGTATTGTGGGAGGGTTACTTGAGCCCAGGAGTTCAAGACCAGACTTGGCAACATATTGAAGCCCCATCTCTACAAATTTTTTTTTTTTTTAATTAGCCAGGCATGGTGGCACGTGCCTGTAGTCCTAACTACTCAGGAAGTTGAGGCAGGAGGATCACTTGAGCCCAGGAGCTGGAGGTTGCAGTGAGCTATCATCACATCACTGCACTCCTACCTAGGCAAGAGAGTGAGACCTTGTCTTAAAAGGAAAGAAAGGGAAGGAAAGGAAGGGAAAGAAGAGAGAAAGAGAGAGAAAGGGAGAGGAAGGAAGGGAAAGGAAGGAAAGGAAGGAGGGAAGGAAGGAAAAAACAAGCAAGCAAGCAAGCAATGAATTTGAAACGGAAGACCTAGATCTAGGTCTGAGTTTTCTGTTATGTGAAAGCTAGGGCAAATCAATCTCTGAGACTTATTTCCACATCTTAACTACTACACATCTTAACCTACCTATATTACAGGATTGTGGTGGGATTAAAAGAGAAAAACTAAAATTGTAAACCATGTAAAATATAAAAATAAATGTAAAATTTAAACAATGTAAAATGTAAATAGTTACATAAATAGCTATAATAGTAAACTTTTGCTCAGAATTTTTTAAATAGTTATTTTATCAAGTTGTAACAGACTTCCTAAAACTGGTTCAATCCCAAAGCTGCCAATTAGTCTTATAGATGTAACTACACAATTCCAGGGGTATCATTCACATAGATCATAATGTCAGTGGTACCCCCTGAAATTGTGCAATGAGGCAACCCTATCCAGGCCCCTCATTTTATTAATAAGAAAACAAAAAGATTAGATGCTTTTACCCTAGTCCTGGAGAAAAATGAGGAGTAGGAGACAGATTTTTGAGGTCTTAAGACTACTTTAGCCCTCCAATTTTCAGTATCCCTCTGCCATCAATTGCTCAGACATCCAGATGAAGCCTGGGAGCTGGCATTCATTCTCAATGATTCTCCTGACTACACACAAAAATGAAGTCTTCTCCCCTCTCTACTGCTACCTTCTCCAAATGCAGTCAGTCCCCTGCCCAGCAACACCTACTATGCTGAGCTGTATTCAAACTTCCTGCCCCAAATCTAAAATAAGGTATATAAATAATGATGCCTAAAGGGGAATAAACCCATTCATTCCTCCAACTCATCCACTTAAGCTATAAAGTAGCTATTTTCAGATCTAACATAAATGGAAAAGGCAGCAAAAAAACTAAAAATGAAAAAAAAAAGGCATATGAAAATGGAAAAAAAATAGAAAGGCCAAAAGTGAAATGCAAAGAATTGTTAAAAACTTCCAAAATTTTAGCTCAAACTCTCTCTAGTATTTCGCAAAAACAAAAGGAAATATTTACTAAAGAAACAATGAAGCATACGTACCTATGAGTAGAATAATCCTTAGTATCAATGGTATTCCTTGGATTTATCTGTTGAGAAACTGATGGATCTGTTAACATTTCTAATTGCTTGTAGAGCATCATGTTACTTTGACTAAGTTCTTGAACCAAATTTTCAAGTTGACGATATATGTCCCGATGCTTTCTTAATTCAATTTCATATGATAACTGTAGAAGTTCAAATGATGCCTTTTGTTTTATTAATTGATTTAAAACTAACTCTTGTCTTGCTGTATAATAATCTTGTTTAGCAATCTGCAGATCAAAATCTCCCTTTACCACTGGCATATTCAATAACTGGGCATTCTCTCTTACCACAGCAGGTAAACTTCTGTCTTTTATTTGAGTGACCTCTTTTTCAAGTTTCATAATCTCACTGGTCAAGCTAGAAATTTTAGCATCCAAATTTTCTTTGTCCACAGCCTATACAAAGAAAAGCAATTACATTTCAAACTGTATGCCTAAATTTGAAATCATCTTAAGATTATTTTCACTTTCCACTTTAGGTGACCAGATAATAAGCTCAATGAATGAAAACTAATTTAATATTCATATAAACAAAAATTACAGTTTAAAAGGGAAAAATGTGGACTAAGTCAAGGGTATGAATTACTAAATTTTACTGCTATTACTACCATATATATAGTAACGGCTACCAAAATAGAGATCTTATTATACTTCTTTTAATCAGAATCATTATTAATAGGACACTATTCACTGAATCCAAGTATATGTTACTAGTTTTTCTTAAGTTAAAATTACTTCAATAGGTCCTAGTTGGCCAGTTGATTTTAGCACTTCTACGTAATTATTGGATTTCCTATATCATTCAAATGTTTTGTCAGCTATAGAAACTAACTTGGTGCTGATATTCTGATTCAGAAAAGTTACATTTTTACTCAAGTATCTAGCAGTTATATTACCAAGAAAACAAGCTCTCCAAGAGTGCAGACAGACATCTGCAATACATCTATCCATATATTCTCAAAAAGAAATCAGTTTCAGTCTACTGAACCTGGACCTCTGACTTCATTAGCACTATGCTCTGGTTGGAGCAAACGAGGCAGAATACCCATAATAAAGCAATTAGTTTCTAGCCACATCTTAAAAAGAAAATCTCAGTCCAGTCTGTATCTGCATTACACAAATTTAAAATTCGGAATGCAAATTAAAGCACTTTTGTTTAAAATAAATTAGATAATGTGGTAGAGATTATAATTACTATTGCTGCCCTCCATTAACGTATGGAACTATTTGTATGAAACATTGACACAGATCACAAATAAGCACTGAACAAAGAAAATAAAATGTAATCTCTTCTCAGATGCACCATTCTAAAGTACTTTAACAGCAATATTATCTCCTCTATTCCTAACAATAATTACAATGTGAATCCAATCTCATTTCTTATGCTTACCTTGCTGGTTAGGCTGTGAAGACTCTCCTCTGCCCATTTTATACTTGACTTCATGCTCGAATTACTTGCTTTTAAGTGAATTAACTGATGTTGAGCACAAATGTATGCGAGCTGCAGTCTAGCCATCTCTAGTCGTCTCTCCTCAAGGATTTCTTGATTATCACAAATAGATGGTGTCTGTATATCTAAAAGTTGAAAATTGTCTTCATTTGAACTTTCAACTACTTCATGTATACCCTGAAAGAACTGTTTTTTGGTATACAAAGTTAATGCTGCTGTGCTTTGCTCTTCCTGACTTAGGTATTTTTCCAAGGAAAATTGCGATAAAAATACCAGTGGATTTGTCCCTTGACCTAAATTAGAATGTCTGAAGAACATCATCAATTGTGTAACTTCATCAGTAAGAGCCTGAAGTTCATTACTGATCTTAGTGATCATTGCATTTAGAATTCCTTGACTCTGCTTCAGCTTTTTAGTGGCTTCTTCTTCTTTAGCATTTAACCTCAGAGATTTGTGGCTAGTTACTGAAGCCATCAATTGACATTTATTACGTCGCTGAATTTTTAGGTTCTTTAATTTCAGTAGAGTTTGAACCTCATCCTCTAATTTCTCCAGCTCTTTATCATCCAGTCTAGGTGTCTTCAAATCAGAAGTTTTACACGTTTTAAGAGCTTCATCCAATGCCGCCCCTTCTAGAATAGGCTTGCCTGATTTCTGAAGAATGCTAAAAGCTTCCAATTCTCTTTCAGACAACACGTTCTGTTCATTCACATTCCCACAAAACCACTTCAGAAACGATTCATCTTCAACGCCCTCAAACAACCAGTCAAAGTCTTCTCCATTAAGATTATCAGCTTTGGGATAACCAATTTTTTTTAATGTTTCCACAAACTCATTTCCACAACTCATGGTTTTAACTACCCCAATTTTGTTGTATCTGATATGGGTTTACGGTGTTGATTTTTAGAAAATAAATCCAAGCAGAAAAAAAGCTACGTTTTATACCAAGTCCACAGAGAAGGGAAAATATATTTTTAGAATCTATAATGATTCCTCCTAGGGGGGAAGAAAACAAGTATTAGACCACAAATATGACGACAGTGTTTTTAAAAAGAAGACACAGACAAATATCACATGATATCCGAGAGCGGGATAAATGACAGGTAGTCGTAGCTGCAATGTTTGATGATGATAAAGAGAAACAGAAACAATTAGGCTAGTTCTCAGAAAACCGCAACAGTAACGAAAAGTAATTAACAAGAAAGTGGATCTATTTGGATCCATTTTATCTTTTTTTCCAAAGATAAAATGGTTTAAAATGCATTACACTTTATAGAGCAGCATTTGTTTTTAATTCAAAATAAATGGATCCAAACAAACCCAAGCCACCAGGAGGCTAGGCAGCCTCTCTTCCCTGCCCTCCGTACGTAAGAAGACGCAAATAAGCATGGCACATCTTCTGAAGATCAACTAAATATTTACCTCAACGTCTCGCCGGGCAAGGCTCCACCTCCAGAGTCCACCACCGCGACGCGGAGAACAGCAGGAGCAGCAGGGAAGCGCGCGGCCACAATTAAGGGTGCTTCGGGCCGGCCTTCAGCCAGCGCTGAGGCAGCCCCGACGCCAGGGCCGCGCGAACCCCAGAGGCAGCGGCAAGCCCCAGGGATCCGCGGCCCCAAGGCCGCGATACACCAGACGCGCCAGCGGCAAAACCTTCCTTCGGAGGGTCACCCAGCTGTGACACCTAAGCACGCTGACAAAACAAACGCACAAGCCCACCGAATCGCCGTCGACACCGAGCTGCAGAAGACGGGGGTGACAGGCCCCGCACAGCCCCCGCCCCAGCTCCTCGCCCAGCGGACCGGGCCCTGATCCCCGGGCAGCTGCTGGAGCACCTGGAAGGAGCCCCCAGGAGCGCAGGAAAAAAAAGAGGCACCTGGGTGCAGACGGGGATCGCGGCCACTCCTCCAGCCCCACACCCCTGCGCCCAGAACCGAGGCCCGCGTCAGTCACCTCAGGAAGTTCCGCTTGCTTCTCGCAGGAGCCCGCCGCCACCGCCCTCCGTGCCCCGCGCGCCTCGCACTGCCTCACGGGAGCGCCTGGACGCGCGCAAGCGCACAAGGCGACGGCGTGGTCGTGGGGGATGACTGTTTGCGCAGGCGTAGTGTCAAAAGAGGCGGAGTCGGCGAGGCTGGACTATGGGGTGGAGCTGAGCAGGCGGCGCTCGGCCCCCGGCCGCTGCGGGCATCCTGCCTCCTGGGCGGGGCGCAGGGCAGAGAGAGGCGGGGTCTGGGCCGGGAAGGGCGGGGACAGGGCCTGGACAGGGGCGGGGCCTGGGCAGGGGGCGGAGCCTGGGCAATGAATGGGGTGCAGAGGGGTGCAGAGGGGTGCGGTGGGGCGCCCTCTGGGGAGCTGAAGCTGCGGGCCTGCTCTCAACGGAGCCGTCAGTTGTGCTTCAGGCCTGCCCTGCCCCGTACTTCAATCTAGACCCTCTGAAGGCACTTTTGAATGGTACAAAGAGCAGCGCAGGTTGGTGGTTGGGAGACAGGCTGGAGCCCGGCGGTGATAGCGCTCGCCCCCGAGAGAGACGAGTTCCCGGAACATTCACAGCAGCCCGACCAATGCCTGGTACATTTTAAGGGTTAGGGATTGTTCGCTTAGAGTCTTTTACAATGAACTTTATTTTGCAAAAACACTTAATTTCTAATCCCTCACCAGAACACTATGTAAAAGCTGACTTCTGGCCGGGCGCGGTGGCTCATGCCTGTAATCCCAGCACTTTGGGAGGCCGGGGGGGGGGGGGGGGGGGATCATGAGGTCAGGAGTTCGAGACCAGCCTGGCCAAGATGGTGAAACCCCATCTCTACTAAAAAATACAAAAATTAGCCGGGCGCGGTGGTGGGCGCCTGTAATCCCAGCGACTCGGGAGGCTGAGGCAGGAGAATCGTTTGAACCCAGGAGGTGGAGGTTGCAGTGAGCCGAGATCACGCCACTGCACTCTAGCCTGGGCGACAGAGCAAGACTCCGTCTCAAAAAAAAAAAAAAAAAAAAAGCTGACTTCCTCCACAATTCCCTTTTCAAAATGTTAGAAATAAACGGAATGGCCTGAGTTAAATACATCGATATATTTAACTCAAGGAGGATGGTACACCATTTCCAAAGAGGATGGCAGTCAGTGAAAGATGACTGAAACGGGATTGCTAAATTTCATGTGAATCTGGCTGATGCCCTACAGCCCAGTGAAACCAGACCTCTCTATTGGACAGAATTCGTTTGCATCTCTACCAAACAAAAATCCTTTGCCACTCCTCAGTCTTCCACAGGTTAGCAGGGGCTTTGGTCATGGGTAAATATAATAGTACTCCCTCCCTTCAGCGTCAAATGACCCTAAAGGTGGCTTGTTAGACAATGTCCTAGTCCAGGGTGACTAGGTAGAAGTCGTTTGGATAGTTTTTCTTAATATTTTTAAGGAGAGAAATAAGAATGTTCTAAGGCAAATATTGTAATCTGATCGAGTCAAAGATATTTCCTATTCATTCTTCACTTGTTTCACGTTTTTTTCCTCCTCTTTTAAAAGTCAATAAGGCCTAAAATGATCTGAAAAACAAACATGATGGGAAAAAATTCAAAGAGTGGTGCCCAATCTGCAGGCAAGGAAACCAGGGATGCTGGAACGGGGAGGCCTGGTGGGAGGACCCTTGCAGCCCAGGGTTGGAGGTTGGGGGTGTGCATCAGGGGGCAGAGTTGAGCCAGTTTGGACAGGAGGAAGTGGGAGCTGTGCAGGCAATGCCTTCCAGAAATGTTGCTGATGAGGCAAAGACTGGGTGGGAGGAGTGTGACACAGAGAGAGAGATACAGAGAGACAGAGAGAGACAGAAACAGAGAGACAGAGACAGAGAGACAGAGACAGAGACAGAGAGACACAGAGAGACAGAGACAGAGAGACAGAGACACAGAGACAGAGACAGAGAGACAGAGACACAGAGAGACAGATAGAGACAGAGACAGACAGAGAGACAGAGACAGACAGAGACACAGAGAGAGAGAGAGAGGAGAAAGACAGAGAGCGAGCATGCAAAACAACACAAGCTGAGGGGGTGGGAATGCAGGGCTGAGGGGAGGATTTTTTATTTTGTTTTGTTTGAAAATGAGAGGAACTCGGGGATATTTATAGACTGCAAGGAGGAACTCTGAGGAGACAGCATTAAAGACGGCAGAAAGACAAGGGGCTCCTTTATAGAAAGAGATCCCTGGAGGGCAGGAGGGGTGCACTCCAGAGCCCTGGAGGCCGTTCTAGAAACCCACTTTCCTAGTGACTCCTGGGTGGTTTCTTGGGCCACAAATTAATTCTCCATCTGATTTTGAATTGCTGACCATAGTTATTTGTTGGAAAGGTGTTTATGAGACCATAAAAGCCATAAAACCATTAAGTAAAAATTACAACAGTATCAGCCCCTGGAGTACAAATGACAAACACAATAGGTTTAACTATACAGATGTGGAAAGTTTTCTTCAGCTTGCCTTGGGAATTTAAGAAAGCAAGTATGTTACGTGTATTTCCAGGGTAAGCTTTCTTTTCAGCAGTCAAAATTATTTGGAGTTTTAGTAAGGTCAAAAGATAAATGGAACCCAGGAATTAATCCTCCCTGAAAAAGCCCATGAGAATATAATGGACTAAACAGACCTAAAGACAGAGCTGTGAGGATCAAGTGTTTTTGCTGTTTGCTTTTTCTCCTTCCTGTGGAAGCGATTTTCTCCTATTAGTATTAAAAAATATTTTAGGTTTTGGACAGTATCTTTTCTGACTGTTTTTAAACTTTAGAAGTAACAGTCAGATGCTAAAGATTATTTCTTTTAGATGTAGTTTTCCATGAATTTTGTGGGACTCTATTCTGCAAGCAATGGAGAATGGGGGCTGTTTTCAAGCAGGAGAGTGAATTCTCAGATGTGTGTTAGAAGCATAATTCTGCAAGATGAAAAATGACAAAAGGTGGTAAGAGACAAGATACAGGACCACTCTTGCAGCATGTAGGAGAGGAGGAGAGAGCTGGACAGAGAGAGCTGCAGGAGCTGGCAAAGCCTGGGGCCTGATGACTAGCCTGGGTCCGAGACACTCCGGGGTTTCCAGCTGAGTAGGGAGTGGCATTTCTTCCTATTCTTCCCACTAATCCTTCCTGTTAAGAAGAAAGTAGAAGACTATAGGGTTGGGAAAGAGTTTGTTTTCCATCCTGTTGACATTCATGTGACAAAGCGAGAACTCAGTCCCCAGACTCAGGAGCAGGTTTGGGTCAGCACAAGCCCAAAGGAGGTGACAGAGTTCATTCACCAAGGTGGCCACGTGGAGAGGGCCTTTGAAGTGGGGAGGAATGGGAACCACAAGGGCTGGCAGCAGAGCCTGGGACTGGTGGGGTGTCAGAAAGGGCCTCAGGACAGGAAGAGGAGTTGTGAACCCCTGAGGCTCAGCAGGCCAGTGGCATAACCATTTACATTCTAGAAAGATCCCCATGAGGCCAGTGTGTACAGGGCTGACCTGGCCAAGGACTAGGAAAGGAGGAAGGAGCAATGCGAGAAGGCCCTGTGGCGATTAGCCCAGATGATTCCAGCGCCTAATTTGGGTGACCATAATCTCAGCAAAAATGTGGTGGGAAGGGATATAGGGGGCTCAGGGCCCACTTCCCAGAGGAGGCTGTGCCTGAGCTGGTGAATGCAGGGAGCAGGTGGGAGTGGGGGCTGAAGCCAGGGCAGGGGTGGGCCGGACTGAGCTGAAGGACAAAACGCGGTGTTTCAGTTTAATCTGGAGGCCATGGGGACCCAGAGGAGGACTTTAGGGAGGTGAGCAAGGAGACCTTTAAGGTCATTCAGGCTGCCAAGAAGAGGGTGGGTAGGAGGCTGCAGGCAGGGTCCTACTTGGAGGGGGACTTGCTGTAACCCAACAAGCACAAAGATGGAAAACAGAGATGGACTCTGCTGGGAGAATCAAGGGCTTCCCAAAGGACAGGGGTCCTGTCCCAGGTATCCCACCCGCCAGCCTGGTGAGCAGGGGAGGGGTGCGTCTCCAAATCTCAGTGTGCCACCTGTGAGAAGGGCCCAGCATGATGGTACCAGGCACCAATCATACATGGAACTGGGCACAGCCCCTGGCACCTGCATGCCCTCGATAGAAAACGGTAGTGGTGATCCCAAATCCTAATATTTGGGATTTAAATGTCCACATTTACATGAATGGCCAAATCCTGGTGTCTCTGAGGCCCCAGCCACATTCCCAGGAGGAACTGCTTTCTTTCCTGGGGTGCCCCCGCTAATGGCCTCGAGGGCCCTGGGGCCCACACAGGTTCAACGATCCGGACTCTGCTGCTGGGGGTTAGGGGAGCTCAGATTCCTCCCTGAGGCCCCCAGCAGTTACCCTCCATGGCCACCCCACAACCTGCTGGCGGGTCCCACTGGGCCACCTCCAGTGCATAGCTGCCGTGTGCACAGTGTGGCGACCTCACACTCAGGACCCCCCGTATGACCACCCAGCTCCATCAATTCTCCAGCACTCAAGGCAGGCATGTCCTCTCTCAGCTGCCCACTGCTGGGGCCCCCAGGACTCCTCCCTGTGCACCAGGGTAGCTGGGCCCACACCCCCACCAACCCCGGCCCTCGGCAGATCAGAGGTCTCTGCTTCCAAGGGGGTTCCCTCCAAAAGGCCTCCCTGTGGGGGAGCGGGCAGCCAGCCTGGCTTGCTTGGGTGAGAACAAGGCCTCTTCTCCCCACTGCGTGAAGTCTCATCGCCTCACAACCACCCCGTGATGGGCACGACAGGAGCCTGTGTCTCCGTGGTCACCACCAGCACAAGGGGACAGCTGGCTACACCATCTCGCTTCACCTCAGCACGGCAGGTCCCCATGACAGGAAGCAGAAGCCGTGCCCAGGTAGTTCTGGGAACAGGTACAGAGCGATTCTCACAGTGCAGCTCTGAGAGCCAGCAGCCTCTGTGCAGAGGGCTCCTGGCTGGCACGGAGCACCCCAGGGAGCGGGCTGTCCTCGGCCAGCAGGGCCCCAGCACAAGGGCCAGAGGCAAAGTCCCAGTGCCTCTGGGACAAGAGCAACAAGAGCATCCAGTTGGCCAACAGGCCCATGGGGGCGCCCACCTCAACCCCACCTTCACCCAGCTCCAGGCGCCACAGCATCCAGGGAGGCAGCTGTGACGGCGGGCCCGGTGTGGTTGGCGGCACGGGGTGCCGTGCTCCGTCAGGCCTCCCAGGAAAGAGGCTGTGGTAGGGCAACGAGGGCCACGGCCCGAAGGCCACATGGCGTGGTGCCATTGGGCCAGGCTTTCTGCTTGGAGGCCGAGGGCAGGGCGCGAAGCACGCTGACAGTGACAACCACAGAAAGAGCCGGAGCCAGCAGGGTGAGATATAAAAATCTGTATTTATATTACAATGACATAAGGACACAGCACGGCCCACACGGTGGACAGGTGGCCGGGGGCCCCTTTCCCCCTCTAGCGCACGCCCCCCTCACCGGCACCAGGCCCTCGTGTGGCCCCCGACTCTGGCACGGAACCTGCCCTAGTGCCCAACATGGACCTGGGGCCACCCTGCTGGCCGAGGGTCAGGGTCCTCTGTGCAGGCAGTGGGGAGGGGGTCCCAGGTTCCCTGACAGAGGGAGGCAGGGCACGGGGGAGCCTGCCTCACCCAGCGGACAGCACGGGCCGGGGCAGACAGAGCAGGGACCCTAGGGCCACAGACCGGTACAGGGTTCCACCACCCGGGGACACAGGCCCAAGCACCGTGCCACTAAGATGGGGTCTGCAGAGGCAAAGCCTTGCTGCAGCCTCTCCCACTCTGCGAGGATGGCGGGGGTCTGCTATGTGGTTTGCGGGGGTTATCCTGGTATGCGGGAGCTGCCTTCCAATAAGGCTGGGGAACCCAAGCCTGAGTCTGGGTGCTCAGTGGCCGAGAGCACTGGTGTGGGCTGGGAGGGCACACGCAGAGGCTCAGGAGCCCCGGGCTCTGTTCTGCTTCTGTCTGCTCTCTATAGACACGGTGATGGCCTCTTGGTCCCTGCAGCCTCCAGTGATGGCAGCCTGGGCCCCTGACAGGGAGCAGTGGGAGGTTGGAGCATGTGGTGACTCCTAGCACGGGCCCCCACCCAGTGGGCAACCCCTCACCCACCTGCTGATGGCAGGGAGGGGCAGCTGAACAGCACCCCGGGTGGCTGAGACTGCCTCCCAGTCCACGTGGGAACCACGGCCTCAAGAGCCACAGGCTGAGCTGCCGGGAGGGTGGGCTGAGGGGCCACCACTGGTCACCGGGTGGATTCTGCTGGTCAGAGATGAGAGCAGAAGCCCCTAGCTGCCTCAGGCACTGGAGGGTGGGGCAGGGAGCTGGTGCTTCAAGAATTGAGGGCAGGGACACGACCACCTCAGGGCCCTGCAGTGCTGGCTGGGGAAGCAAGCTTTTACACACGGCCCGCCTTGCTCGGAGGTGCCACGGTGTTTGAAATGAAGCCTGGGGGGACAGACTCAGGCAGGCAGGGGAAGCTCCTTTCTGGGCACCCCTGGACCCCAGTGGGGCCGGAAGGAGATGCAGACAGGCCTCCTCACAACCACCCGCAACGCGTTCGGATGCCCCTCAGCTCCAGGCACCATGCCCCCTACAGCCTGCAGGGCAGGTTCTGTGCCAGAGTTGTTTCCAGGGACCCCCTTCCGCCACAGTGGGCCCCCCATCCTGGGGCGTCTATGCGTACGACTGAAAATAGACACGAATTTTCCCCATGATATGGGAATTGGCTACAGATGTACCAGAGGCACGGCAGGCACTGCTATGGGCCAGCCCCAAGGACAGAGGACGTCAGGAAGGAAAGGCGGGTGCAAGCCTCCTGGTGCCAGGCCTGCACCACCCAGCGAGCACAGTCTTCATTGGCTGCCAGTGTCTGAAACCTGGAACCCTCGCCTAGGCCAGGAAGCAGGGGGCTCGAGTCAGGTGACAGGTGAGAATCCATCTCTCTAGTGAGCAAGCAGGCCCCTGCCAGCCACTGGGGAGGGCAACACTGGGGACCAGGTCACAGCCCCTCCGTGCCACCCACAGGGGCCTGGCTGCATCGCCTCCAGGAAGCCCTGGCTGCCGGGAGGGGCTGCCCACAGGAGATGGGAGGACAGCACTAGCTGGGCAGGCCTGGGGCACCCTGAGCCACGAGGGACATGCTGGTGGGAAGGGCAAGGCCTGACACAAGACACAAGGCACACTTTGACGACGTGACGGAGGGACAGGTCCCTGAGACGCTGGGTGGCTCCCACCCCTCAGCAAACAAGGACGCAACAACAGCTAGGAAAATAGAATACAAAAATCTGGTACAGGAAACAGAGGCGGCACACACGGACGTCCCTAGGCCGAGAGTCTTTAGGCTTTCTTCTTTTTAAAAATGGTTTTTTTTTTTTTTCTGGGAAAGCCTCTCTGCCAGCTGAAGCTGCCGCAGCAGAGCTCATGAGAAGCCCTTTCCTAAGGTGGCTCCAGGAGCCCTAACCGGGCTGCTGGGCAGTGCAGCATTTTACTTTTTTGCTTTTTGTTTAAAAAAGGGAGATGAGTAAGCCCCCGAGGACCCAGCGGCTGCAACTTAACCAGCCTCCAGTTCACCCCAGCCCCAGCCAGGAAGAGAAGCCCCTCTCCTGTGCAGACAGGCAGGACTACTGGGTGGGCGTGGGTGAGCAGGAGCTAGAGGGGGATCCAGGCACAGCCCAGGGGCTGTTTGCCAGATGACCCCTGAAGGCCATCATCCCCAGAACATGTGACCTCGGGACGCCCAGGTGTGTCTGCATGTGTGAGCATGTACATGAGTGGGTGTGTCTAGGTGCGTGCGCGTGTGCGTCTGACAGTCCTACCAGAGCAGACGCTGCCCAGCTCGGCGTGGGCTGGGCTGGCCTGCCTGGCCCCGAGAGCCCAGCCCTAGGTTCTGACACCTGCGAAGTGGGAAGGACCTTAACCACCCACCTGCCCCAGGTGCTCACCCAGTTCCCGCCCTTCACAGACCCCTTGTCCACGCCAGGAGCCTATGTGGACTGACAGGTAGGTGGACAGACGGACGGATGGACAGACAGCCTTGCCTTCCTTCCTTCCTCGGTCCACTCCTTTCTCCTGGGATCCAGGGTTGGGGTCTGAGCTCCCTGTGGTGGTCATTAAGCCCCTCACACGGCACCTGCCGAGGTTTGCAGCAATGACGTTTAATACTTCTGGAATGATTAGGAATCTGAGAACAGACCGTGGGCGGCTATGCTGACCAGGGCTCCGGATGTGGAAGCTGGGCCCTGCCTCCTTGCAGGGGACTCTGCCCAGCTGGAAGGGGCAGGCAGCTCGGCAGGCCCTGACCGGCAAGCGGGCAGTGCCAGGCAGCCCAGCAGCAGCTGGAGCTTCCAGAATGGCACAGCAGTGGGCCTGTGGAGAGGCTGGCGTCAACTGAAGGAGAACTGGAGGGCTGACACGCGTGGCTGGCGGGCAGGCAGGCCAAGGAGCAGAGGGCACGGGCCTACGAGAGGGCGGGGCGGCCCAGCCGCCGGCAGTGGGGCCCGAAGCCACTGTCGCCGCCGGTGCCACTCTGCAGGCTGTAGTGGTCGTCCGCGTCACTGCTGCTGCCAACACTGTCCAGCTCACCAGGGCCAAACTCCATGCCCTCTATGTCCACTTCTAGGGAGAATAGAGTGGGGATGGGGTCAGGCCACTCTGAGGGTGCCAGCCCATTTCTCCCTTTTCTGGAAGCAGAAGCTCTAGGCAGAGGGGCAGAAGTGCGGAGGGCGCTGTCTGGGCCCTGGGGCAGCAGACGCCAGGAGGGCTCTGGCTGAGAACCCGGCCTCAGAAGCACCAGTCCTCAGCGGGCCACACAGCCTCTGCATCCCACCCTCCCTGTCCAGTCCCTTCTGCGCTTAGTGACAAACACACACCCCAGTGCAGCAGGGAGCTGGGAGGGTTCTCCCCAGCCCCAGCACCAGGCACCTCCTCTCCACCCAGGGAGCTGCACCACTGCGCACCCGGAGGCCCAGGTGAGGCTGCCCCGCGCCCCACGCCCCACCTTGCTCTGAGTCGTCCGTGGAGACAGCAGAGCCCGTGCTATCTGTGCGCACGCGCTCCACGCTCTGCACCGACAGCTGCTCCAGGCGCCGCTTCAGGAAACGATGCTCCTGCTGCAGCTGCTCCTTGATGCTCAGTGCCCGGCGGTCCTGCTCCTCCAGTTTCTGGGGTCGAGGGGGGCTGTGAGCTCACAGCGGGAAGAGGAGTCCCCCCATCCCCCTGGCCAGGCACTGGGGCACCCAGGCCTGGGCCCGGGAGGTTCCCCATCCCTGCCAAGACCTAGCCAAGGCTACAGGCCACAGGGTGCCCAGTCTCTGCCAGCCCCACAGCCTGAGGTGGGTCCCTCCCTGCCCCAGCCAGGCGGTCACAGTCAGATGCCACCTCCCAGCCCTGTGGTTTCTGTCTACGGCCCAGCTCTAATACCCGCAGCCACCAGGCAGCCTTGGCCAAGTTGAGCCATGTGTGGCAGCGGGTCAGTGCTACCCAATCTTTGGCTGGCACCGTCTCCAGGACAGTCCTGCTTACAGCGGGTCTCCTCACACACTCCCAGCCCTGCCCGCCCCCATCGGGCTGTGGCCTATGCCATGCCTGTCCCTGCAACACCTGTGCCCTGCCCTCTCTAAACCTTCCTGTGGGCCCCACTGAGACACTGCTTGCTCTGTGAGGGCCCCCAGGGCTCTGGTTGTGCCCCTCTCAAAGCTCCTGACACCCCAGCCTGAAGGTGACCATGCCTATGCAGGCAGAAGAGGCCCTCAGAGCAGATAGAGATTTGCCCTGGTTGGTCCAAATGTCACAAGGCCCCCAAACCAACAGGGCTGTCAAAAGTCCTTTGGGGGGCGGTCCCAGGGAATGTCTCCCTGAGCCCAGACCCACTGCCAGCTCCCGCTGCCCCAACCCCACCCTGGCACCCCCATCAGGCTGCCTACTTTTAGTCTGCCTTCTGATGGCACCCAGGAAACCCTGGCCCCCTCTCTCCTTCCAGCAGCTGCCTCTTCACAGCCCAGGACCCCAGAGAGCAATCTGTCCCCCGACCTCCTCCTCTCCATCCCAGTCTATGCTGCGATGCGGCTTCTTATGCCATCAGCACCCAACAAACCCGACACAAGCCACGGAACAGCCTCGACCCCTTGGCAGCTCCTGTTGCTGCTCCTCCACCCTGGCAAAACCCACCAGGCCCCCGACACACACCCGCCAGATGGCTCCCCACCCATCTTCAGGCCCTCTGATCCAAGGGCTGCCCAGGGTCACCTGTGAGCACCCCCCCAGGGCGTGCAGGGACACTGAGGCAGCCAGACAGGGCAGGGTGGAGAGCAAGGCCCACTCACCTTGATGTGCACCTTGGCCCGCTTCAGGAGGCTCAGCGTGGTGTGGCGGGTGCTGTCGGGGCCCAGGGGCACCAGTTGCTTGAGCTGCTCAAGGTACAGCCTGAGTTTGGCTCGTCTGAAAGAGCCAGAGACAGAACCATCAGGCTGGGGTGGGGGAGGGCAGCAGGCAGTTTCCAGGGCCCTGCACAGACCCACCCCCACCATCCACTGCTGCACATGTGCTGAGGGTCCCTCTCTAAGGATCCCCTCCTGGCCTGGTTGGGAACCCCCGTCCCCCACCCCCAGGAGGAGCCCAACACCCACAGCCCCCAGACACCTGGCAGAAGCGCCCAGCTCACCATGGCCTGCAAAGCCTCAGCGCGTCACCGCCAGGCATTTCCTAGGAGCCCCAGCTCGCCCCCCTGCCATCCCCCATCCCCCATCCCCACCCTGGAGTCCACATGCAGGGAGGGGTGGGGTGAGGCGAGGGTGCCTTTCAGGCTGCACCGAGATCTGGAAGGACCCAGACAAGATTCACGTCTCTCTACCTCATCGTGCACAACGTGCTCTCTGTCACTTTTGTGACCATGGAAACATGATCAGCCTAGGTCAAGGGAGGGCCAGGGACCAGGCCCTTCCAACCCAAGTTTCATATCCCTTTGGAAACTGCCTCATTCCAGATTCTGTCCCCGTATCCACAGATGAATCCACTTTCCACAAAACTGGAGCCATGACATCCAGTGGTGCTTGCTTGCTTGTTCACACTCAAGGGTACTTGCTCACATGCCACAATCCTCCAGGACACATTCATCGGGCACCTCAGGAGAGGGGCCCTGGCTTCATCCTAGGCCTGCCCCTGTGGAAACACCGCCTTCCCTGCTGGCCTGCTTGTCTGCGGGGGAGGCTGGTGGAGCTCACGGGGTGCGGGGAGCCCAGCTCACCCAGAGGCATCAACTCGGCCTGGGACCCTGGCCAGGCCCACGTGCACCTGCCTGGCAGTGCAGGGCACCCGGAGGTTTTGTCACTGCCATGTTCAACCACGGACTCACCCATCCCGTGCAGGCCGCAGAGGCTGCTTCCAAATATAGGACACTTTGATTTGGGTAAATCCTTACGAGTGGAATGACCAGGTGAAGGGGCAGGAATATTTTTTGTCTTTTGAAAACCTGCCGCCCAACTGCCCTGCCACAGCTGATGCCTACACACGTGACTTTCCCCACGTGGTGCCAACACTGAGCACCCCAGCCTTGGCATGTCTGCTCCTGCCGTTCCCAAGCCCAGCAAATCTTGTCCCCCTGGGAGTAACGTCGGCAGGGACAGCCATTTCCTCTGGACAGAGGAGGAGCCTGAAGAAGGAGGGGGCTGCTGGGTGCAGCGGTAACAGCCCCACCAGTCGGGAGGTCTGCCTGGAGGTGGCCTGAACAGGGCCAAGATCCTCAACGTCTCCCACGCTGTCTCCCATGCACAGGTGCAGGGAAAGGGGTCCCAGGCTGCCGCTCTGTGACTACCCCAGTGCCTGGAAGCTCAGCCTCCCCACCGCCAACAGGAGTGAGCGCCCTGCCGCCCCCCACCCCAGGAACTGTGTAGGCAAGAGGCCAAAGCGTGCTCTCTCTGCTCAGGGAGGGGTCCTTTCCCAAGGCGCGTCGCCACTGTACTGCAGCCACCACTGGGACGAGGTTTGCAAGTGGGGACGTTGCCAGGGGTCTCCTTCCCTGGTCCACTCTAGCAAATGGCTTTCCATCCCACCATGTAATTACATCAGCACTATATGACCTCTGTAGAACAATTTAAAAATGCAAATCAACAAAAAGGAAAAAAAATAAAAAAAAATTAAAAGTACCCCCGAATTCCACCACCCCAAAACAACCTCATTATCATTTTAGTGTGTTACATATGCACATCATGAATGTTAAGTGAAAAATTAGAATACGGAACCACATAGGTGACAAGTGACCCAATTTTGTTTAAAAAATAAAAGAGCAGACGCACACAAGAGACGACAGAATCAAACAAGGCACAGGGAGCGTGCGTCTCCAGGCGAAGCACCCGGCAATTTTATTTCTTTAGCTTTGTGCTTTTCTGTATTTTCCAGGTTTTCTACGCTTAAAAAAAAACACACACAGACATTGCTGTGACAATCAGAGAAAGACACGTTTGCACAAGAAAGAAAAACACAGCTGAGAGACAAAGAACAAGTAGAAAAATCTTTGCAATACATATAAAAGACAAATGGTTAGTATTTGTGGTATTTTGAGCTCATACACATCAAAAATTAAAAGCAGAATGCCTCGATGTCACAACGGGCGAAGGACACAAACAGGCTGCAGGACACGAGGGCCAACCTAACCTAACGCCCGGCTCCATCTCACCCGAGCCAGGAAATGCACACACAAACAAGGAGGTACAACTTGCACCCTCCGACAGGCTGACATGAGAAGGGATGGCTCCTGCGCCAGCCACTTCGAGGGGTCGTTGATGGTTTGCTGGTGGGAGAGCAAAAGGGGACACAGGTCTGAAGGGCCATCGATACAGTTATCACTGACCGCCAACCAGCATCTCTACTTCTAGGGCCTTGGTCCTACAAAACTATCCCCCCAGATCCACAAAGGTCTGCGCTCACCAAGGCACATCGCAGGACTGTCCGGAAGTCCCTGTGTAAACCAGAGGGTCATCACAAAGAACGCTGGTGGCACAGCCAAGTGTCCTGTGCAGTCATCAGGGATGAGAAGGTGGAGGAGTGTGCCCTGACGCAGGCGGACAGGACTTACGTACGTGGTGTCGGGTGAAAGATCAAGTGAGGAAATGGAGAACAAGGTCCCCTCCTTATCCAAGTCTCATCGGCAATGTTAGTGCCCGCGGGGAGCAGTGGAGGATGTGGCTCAGCCTCTGAGTGCCTGGGATGCGGTCTCTGGGGTGGGGTGCAGGGGAGGTCCGTGAACAGACCGCTTTAGAAATCACGGAACACCTTTCTCGAGAGACAAACAGAAGCCATCTGACCACACACACGCACTGTCCAAAACCCAGTAACAGGTCCACCTGGCCCAAGAGTGTGGGCGCCAGGGCTGGAGGCCACAGAAATTCCTGCCCTGGAGAGCAGCAGTGGCCTGGAGCCAACTCTACAGTGGCTGGTTGCGGGACCCCAGGAAGATCCCCACCCACCCCTCTGAGCCATGAAGCCCCTCAGCCCGGGGCTGCACTGGGCTCCTGCTGAGCCCTCCCCTCCTGAAGCCGCTGCAGTGCCCTGGGCCCCCTGCCAGCACCCCACGGCTGTCCCTGGGCATCCAAAGGGCTTTTAAAACCTCCACTTCCTGAAGGAACCCTGTGTGGATTCAGGAGGCAGAACCCGCCTGCAGGACTAGCACGCTGGGCTGGTATCGACAGCAGCCCCACCTCTGACGCAGCACTTCCCAGCTCCCCCAAAAACCCCCATGCCCAGAGGGGGACCCAGGGCACCGAGAGGGCATGGCTCCACGCCAGCATCCCAGCCAACCAGAGAGCCTGGCTGCCGCTGCCGGGGAGCTGGGGGTGGCCCAGGAGCAAGCGTGCCTCCCACTCCCTCTGCCTGCGTTTTCTAGATGTTGCCAACAGAACTTCCCGAGGTATGTGAAAGCCGTGTGAGGCTGCACCAGCACATGAGGCTGGGCTGCAGGGGGCTCCTGGGGACCTCCTGGACGTGCCTGGGGGAATGTGGGGCAGAGACTCAGCTGAAGACTCTGGACTGGCCTTTGGGATGGGTCCTGCCATTCAGCGGCTGTCAAGGGCCAGGAAAGAAGGCTGGGACCTTCCCCCAAAACACACTAAGATCAGAGCCTGGAGTGGGGCCAGTGAGGTCAGCAGCCAAGAAGGCGAGGCCTCCACGGTCCCCAGGACCCTGGGGTTGGCAACGGCCTCAGACCTGCTGGAGCTGCCTCTCTACAAAGGGATGAGGAGCAGGGCTGGGCAGGCTTGGCTCAGAGCACCCACAGGGGAAGTCCCACAGGCCCTGCCCAGTCCCCAGTAAGGGGACAACTCCGGGCAAAGCGATGTCCAGGGCCTGCCTCCCGGGGATGGCTGGGTGGCCCAGCCAGGGGCTTCCTTCCTTTCTCAAGACAGCACGCAGCCCTTCCTGCAGCCAAGAGCAGCTGGCATCAGGTAGGCTGTGATCCAGGGCCCCAAGCTCCAGGCCTGTAGGTGCTTGGGGCTGTCCACATCCGCCTCTTGGCCAGCCAGAGACAGAGACCCCCTGCACTGGGGTGGGGGAGTCCACAGAGACACCCTGGCTGCCCACACACCCCTCCTCTGTGTCTCAAGAAGGCCCCATGAGGCCCTGGCTAAATGCAGCCTCTGGGAGGAGAGGACAGAGGGCAAAGCCAGGTCAAAGGGCAGCTGCAGGGGTCCCCTGTCCTCCCCAAGGGCTGCCACGCCCTTGCCACCCACCCTCCCCCAATGTCACTGCCCCTTAATCTGTCCCCATTGGGGGGCTGTCCTCCCAGGGACCGCCTCCAGGAAGCCTTCCCTGAACACCCCCACGTGCCTGCCCCGGCTCCTGGGTCCTGGTCAAGGCTAGGCTGGTCTTCTTAGGCCTGGAACAATTCCAGGCCTGCCTGGTTCTCTTGGGCCCTGTACCTGCCCCCACCTCTGTGGCCTCTAGGGAACCCCCCGAAACACACATGACCTGTCCAGGAAGTGCAGTTCCTCAGAGAACACTGCGTTCTGTCCCTGCCCAGCTGCCCGCCCCAGCCAGCGGCCTGAATCCCGGGAGAACGGAAGTTGGTGCTGCTGTGGGGGTAGACATGGTGGGGAGGCGGAGAACTGGCCGAGC
The DNA here is from genome assembly GCF_000001405.40 of Homo sapiens. NCBI lineage: Eukaryota > Metazoa > Chordata > Mammalia > Primates > Hominidae > Homo > Homo sapiens. The sequence continues at coordinate 2,257,188 of NC_000004.12, forward strand.
ACCAAATCTTTCTGGAGGGGACTGTGGGGGGCTCAAGCAGCACGCAGACCTGCCCCACTAGGAAGGGAGGACAGAGCTGACCCATTTCACAGACAGGATCACAAGTCAGGAGAGAGCGAAGGACCAGCATCCCTCAGGGGACTCTTCCTGGTCCTGGCATGGGGGCTCCTGCCTCTAGGGCTGCCTCTGCACTCACCCAGGGCTCCCGCTGCCAGCCCCTAGGCCCCTGAGCTCACCTGCACCTCATCCCCACCAGCAGAGCTGAGCCTGCAGCCCTAGCTGCCTCCGGCTGTCACCAGGAGGAATGAACACCCCGCAGCTTTACTCAAGAGCTCGCCTGAATCCTGCCCTAGGCTGGAGCTTCCCAGGCGGCCAGGGACTGGCTGCCCTCCATCTGCCCCTCGGACAAGACTCTAGCACGGCTTCTTGGAAGGCAGACCCCAGGATGCACAGGGCAGAGAGCCGAACCCTCCTGATTGGAGACCACTGTCCTGAAAGCCAAGGGCCCTGACTGTCACACAGCACAAGGGGCCCTGCTCCACATCTCTCACCCCCACCTGGATGAGCTCTGGAAAGCAGGGCCTGGGCCTCCTGCCATCTCCTGCCTCTAGCACAGAGTGCCTGAAACAGACCTCAGCCTTCTCCTCCAAGTCTGACCATTCCCAAGACAAGGACACAGCCTGGCAGCACGGCTGGCCGTGCCCGGGACAGGGGCAGGCTCAACGCACCACACACCCTCAGTAAAAGGGTGGGCCAGGTGTCGGGCTCATGTGGGGAACTGGGGGGTCACTTACCTGTGCTTTTCTAGCTCGTTGTGTGAAGACCTGTTTAGAAAGACAGAAAGACAGAGCTCACTCTTCTGCCTGCCCACCAGGGCACAGAGAGCAGTGCTCTCCTAGGGGGCCAGGACCTGCAGACAGTGGCTGGCTGTGTCTGGGTCCTGGAATGGCCCAGAGCAGTGAGGCCTGGGGCAGGTGAGCAGTTGCCCACCCAGGGTGGGGGGAACCACATGCTAAGGGTGGGCGCTGGTTGTCAGCTTTGGGTACTCCGTGCCGGGGGAGCCGCAGCTCACGCCCTGGAGTTCTCCATGGGTCAGGGACTTGGTTTGGTGAGAAGCAGCAGCAGGGGCCAGCCTTGCTTACAGGGAGGCCCAGAGCTGCAGGCAGGTCCAGGGCGCCCAGGGCCACCAGCCCACCTAGCAAGGCCCGTGGTGAATCTGGCTGACAGGAGGACCTAGGCCCCCTTCCAGAGGGATGGGGGAGGCCCAGGGAGCAGCAACAGGTCCTGGCGCTGACCCCCACCAGCCACCTGCCTTCCCTGCTCCCCAATCCCTGAGGCCAGCTGTGTCCTTGGAGCCAAAGCAGCCTAGCACCCGGGACAAACAGCAGGTGGAGATGGAGCCCAGAGACCAGGCCCTCAGGACACAGGTGGTCCTGTCCTGACACCACCACTCTCTCGGGCTCACACACCTGCGTGACCACAGCCCACCTTACCAATGGGGACCAGGGACACAGCAGCGTCAGCCAGGTCAGCCCATGAGGGGGCTTCTGAGATGTGGATGCTTCCCAGGCCAGTAGGCACAGGGGGACACTGAGGCCAGCCCTCCCACTTCCCTCAGGGGCTGTGCTAGCAGGATGGGCTGCCCTGGAGGCCCGGGCTCAGCTTCTCTGGGGACAGTGGCCCCACCTGCTGCTCACCTGTCTTGCCCATTCAGACGCGGGCACACAATTCCCAGCACCACAGGGTGTGCCACAGCATCTGCCTGGAGGATAACGAGGCAGGGGGACCTCGCTCCCAGCTCCAGGCCACCTTCCGTGTCCAGGCAGGACCCCACAGGCCAGCCAGGGCTCCCGGGCCTCCCAGGATGCCGCTGCACAGGTGGGCAGAGAGCTCAGACTGCCTCGGGGCACCTCCAGACCCAGCCCTGAGGCCTCTCCCTGCCCTCAGGACCTGGCTCCTTCCTGAAGCTTCTTGCTGACCACTGCCTGCTTCAGGAACTTGGGATCTGGCGTCTCCTGTCCCAACCACTCAGGCCAAGGGCCTGCCCCTCCCACCCGCTGCACCAACAGGCCCTGGGCCTCCTTGTGTAGCCTCAGCAGAGCCTCCAGACCCAGGTCTCAGGGTCCGGGAGGGCCTGTTGGTCACATGGGCTGGACAAGGAGCCTCCGAATCACTGCCAGGGCCAGCCAGGGCCGACCAGGGCCAGCAGAGGCCACAGCCATATGCTCCTCACTGGCCTCACAGAGATAGGCCCCTACGCCAGCGTTTCTGCTTCCCCAGAATAGGCAGGCCGCAGGAATGAGCCGTACTCTCTGTCCTCAGCCCAAACTGCAGCCTGGCCACGTGGGTCTGTAGTCAAGAGGGAGGTCGGGGTCAGCAGGTGCCCTTCAACATAAAAGCCTACCTGCCTACCCCTTGAAGGGTGGCACGGGGCTGGACCCCACCCTGGAGGCAGGGGGCCCTCCTCCAGCAGCCAGGGCCCCTCTTGCAGCTCCTCCTGGGCCCAGAGACCCTTGGGGTCCATCGAGGGGGATGTTTGCAACATGGGTCCCAGGAGCACTCTATCCCTCAGGAGAGGTGGGACCTGTCCCCGCTGAGGCCAGGCCAAGTGCGTTCCCAGCATTCCCGTGACCCCAGGAGACAAGCACACTTCCCACAGAATGGACCCCCCTGCAGGCTGGCCCCAGTGCTCTGCCGCCTCCCTCAACCCTGACACTGTCCTCCGGCCCCACTCCCTACCCTTGCCCCAGCCTCACTGTGCCATGTCCCCTCCCTCACCTTGGCAGAGCATGGAAGCCTCACAGGTGGGGACAAGTCAGGGGCTCAGAGATCCTCTGGCCCCCTGCTCCGCCCAGCTACTTGTCTGGGCTGGCTGAGGAAACCTCCAGGGCAGTGCTGCCCACCCGAGGAAGGGGCCAAGCCGCCAGCCCTGGGCTGCCTCAGGCCCCGGGGGAGCGGGGCTCGGCCCAGAGGAGCCAGGGGAGATGCACCAGAGTTGGGGAGCCCTCTGTCTCCCTCACCAGTGCCCCCATGGTCTCTGTCCCAGCAGAATGTGGACAGCTGGGACCCCATCTCAGGAACAGGCGTCATCAGAGATGGGTGAGTGGCAGGCAAGTAACCAAACCTCTCCTTGCCTCAGTTTCCTTGGCCATAGAGATAAAAATCACATCACCTCTCTGAGCCTGGGGTGAAGATGAACTGGCTGCATGTGTGAAACGCTCAGCATAGAGGCAGTGTTCGGGCAGCCTTGGCCAGGACGCTGGTTGTCAGCTTTGGATTCTCCATGCTGGGGGAGCCCCAGCTCACGCCCCAGAGTTCTCCACGGGTCAGGGACTTGGTTTGGAGAGAAGCGGCAGCGGGGGCCGGGCTTGCTCACTGAGGAGGCCTGAGGCAATGGTTCCCTCGTCACACTCCTGTCCTTCCCCAAACTGTCCCCAGTAGGGGACCAGGGGCTGGGACTCAGGGACGGGTCCCAGCCAGGGCAGCTGGAGACTCAACCAATTCCTCGCCTGGCTCAGGATGCCACAGAAATGGGTCCCTACACCAGCCTTTCGGATTCCCTAGAACAGGTGGACCACAGGAATGAGCCATGCCCTGGGGCTCTGAAGCCCCCTACAAACGCAGCTCCCAGCCTGCTCACACAAAAGGGCTGGGCCAAGGTGGGCCCAGACAGGACCAGGTGTGCTATGGTCCTCACAGCAGCCAGGAGGGTGGAAATCCCCGGGGAGCCCCGGCCCAGGGTCCCCACTCCCCACGCGGGGGACCTGTACGCACCCCAGCTTCAGGGCTTCTGCTGCCTGAACACGAGGTCAAGGTATGGAGGGCGCAGCTGGCACCCGTAGTAACGACTTCATGGGGCCCCTGCCCTGCAGCCTGCCCCCTCCTCCCGCCCCCTTAAAAGGCCTCTGTCTTAAAAAAGAGGACCCCCATACTGGTGGCTGGAGTTTCGCTGTGTCAGGAGGCTGGGCAGAAGCGGTGGGCACCCTGGGAGGAGTGAGGGCCCAGGACAGCGCCTCCACTCGCTTCTCTGTCTAGGCTCCTGGGGGCGGGGGAAGGTGGCCGAGCAGCAGAGTTCGGCTGGCAGAGCCAGTCGAAAGGAGGCCGCCCACCCACCCGCGGAGAGAAGGGGTTAGGGCCGGCAGCCCCCGCAGACCCTGGCTGAGCCTGTTTCCCCAGACCCACGGGGCACCGGCCAGCGCCCGCTGACAACTTTTCTACCGCCTGGAAAAGTCCAGAACAACTCGGGGGCGGGGAGCGGGCGCGGGAGCGGACCCCGGCGGCGGGCGCTGTACGCGTGGCACTGTTTACGCGAGCGGCCCGGGAGGCGCGGCCGCGGGAAGATGGCGACGGCGAGGGCGGGGCCGGCCGGGCGGGGCTGCGGCCGCGGCCTGCGCGCCTCCTCCTCCAGGCTGGCCGCCGGGGCGCGCGGCGGCGGCGCTGAGGGCCGCGGGCCGGGAATCGGGGCCCGGAGAGCACGCTCCGGGCGGGGGCGGGGGTTCGGACCGGGCCGGGCGGGGTCGGGAGCGGGGGGCGGTACCTGTTGTTCGGGGCCTTGCGCACCAGGCCGGCCGCCTTTGTTTTCTCCCTGGCGAAGTCGCCGTCGAAGGGCAGCACCGAGGCGTAGCCGTGCTCGGCCTCTGCGGACACACGGCGCGGTCAGCGGCCCCCGCCCGGCACGGCCCCGCCGCCCGCCCACCGCCGCGGGCGCACAATGGGGTGCGAGCGCTACCTCGATCCCTGCGCTCCAGGTACTCGGCCGCCTCCAGCAGGATCAGCAGGGAGTTCAGCTCCATCCTCCCGCCCGCGCCCGTCCGCCCCGGGACGGCGGCGGCCGCTGCCCGGCCCGCTCCGGCCGGCTCCGCTCGCCGCCCACCCCGCGCGCCCGGCCGCCGCACTTCCAGACTCCGCGGACTCCGGCGCTCGGCCGCCACCCTCCGCCTCAGGCCCTCAAATTGACACATAAGGGAGAGCGGCGGCCCGCAGAGCCAATGGGAGGCGGCGTTCGCGCCCCGGGGGCGGGCGCCGGGCCGGGCTGGGGCCAATGGGGACGGGTCGAGCGCCTCGGGCCGGGCCGAGAATGTTGACAGATGCAGAGCTGGGCTGGGATAGGCCGGCCGCGCTAGTAACAATTTAGAAGCCCGAGCTTAGCAACAGCACGTGGTGGCCCGGCCCCCGCGCTAGCTGACTGGCGGCCGCCGTGCATGTTAAGTAGGCGCCGCGCGCCGATTGGCCAGAGCGGCCTATGTAAAACAGGCACTGCGAGCCAATGGCCGGTGGCGGGGCGCGCGGCCAATGAGGGCGCCGCAGCCGGACGCGTTGCCGAGAGGAAGCGCAGCGCGCGGGGACCGCCCGCCGTCCTGGGGGCCCGTTAGGACGCAGGAGCGTCTCCGCTACGAGAGCGAAGCAGGGCGCTCCGGGGCGTGCGCCGGGCCGGGCCGGGCCGCCGGGTCTGAGCGCGACGAAAGCAGTGGCTGCGTGGGGGGACGAGGCCTCGCGCTCTGCCCGGGGGTCTTGCGTGGGGCCGTGAACGACTCCCCTCCCCGCCGGGCGCAGAGTGGCCCCGGGAAGGGCCGGGACCTCGGAGAGGGACGCAGACGCTCTGATCCTAAGAGCCAGGCGTCTCTGAGGGTGTCAGTGGGGAAACAGGCCCAGAGCGGGCGGGCTCCTCAGATCGCCCAGTGGACGCCGGAGCTGAGGGAGGGCCCAGGTCTGGGGAAGGGACACAGACGTGCGGCCAGAGTCGAGAGGCTCCCCGGAGTGGGGGGCTGCATGCTCTGTGTCTGGCCTGAGGGGCAGGGACGTTCCTAGAGGCAGGCGCTGGCCACCTCTGGCCGAGGACGCCCTAAGTGGGGACGGGAGTGAACCCTTCATCAAATCCCAGCTGGCGGGTCTCCCTAGTGACCCCTGACCCTAAGGCTGGCCCAGACTGGCCTCGGCACCCCCCACCCTCTCGCAGATTTTTTTTTTTTTTTTTTTTGAGACGGCTCTGTTGCCCAGGCTGGAATGCAGTGGCGTGATGTCAGTTCACTGCAACCTCCGCCTCCCGGGTTCAAGCGATTCCCCTGCCTCAGCCTCCCAAGTAGCTGGGACTACAGGCGCGTGCCACCACGCCCAGCTAATTTTTGTATTTTTAGTAGAGATGGGGTTTCACCATGGATGGTCTGGATCTCCTGACCTCGTGATCCGCCCGCCTCGGCCTCCCAAAGTTCTGGGATTACAGGTGTGAGCCACCTCGCCCGACCCATCTCACTGATTTGATTTTTGAGGTTGGTGGCCTGGATGTGCCAAGGGCCAGGCCCCGCAGGCTGGAGAGTGTGGAGGCATAAGGTGGCTGGACCCCTCCAGAAGTACTCAGTGGGACACAGGGGCTGCTGCTGGCAATGAAACTGAACAAAAAATGCAAAACCTCAGCACCAGGACTCCTGTGAAAGCTTCGTGTGCATCTCCCTGTGTTTTGCATGCCCGGCTTGCAGATCAGGACATGGGACTAGACGCTCAGGGATTTGCTGGGGTCTCCCAGAAATCTCAGCAGAATGGAGATTAGTGCTGCCACACACGGCTCAGGGCTATAGGAATGCAGAGGCCAGAGCCTCCTGGCCTGGCTGGTCCTGCTGGGTGTAAGCCTGTGGTGTGGGCTTCAGAATAATGTGTGTTCCCACAGAGCCCTGCAGGACCCAGTGGGGAACTCGGACACTGCTATGAGACAGCCCTGCATGGACATTGAGACAACCCCCTTGATGTTAGCAGGGGCCCTTCCTGTTCCCGCCCCACAGTGACGCCAGGGCCCAAGGCAGAGCCCCTCACAAGAACTCAGCACTGAGGCCCTCCAGGTTTGTCTGCATGGCTGCTCAGAGCTGTGCATGGTAAAGAAAGGTGCCCAAGTCTGGGGAGGAGCAGGGTGTGTTTGGGCTCTGGGGACCCAGCTCTCCACTTGGGGATGAGCATTTTGCAAAGTTGCCCCATCCCTGCTTTGGCCACTGGGTGAGTTGCTGCCGACAGCTAAAGCGGACACCTGGCCTAGTACAAGTGCACCTGCTGGGCATAGTGCACGCCCCCTTCCTGCCATGGGCCAAGAGATTTGTTCTGTGTGGCAGTGGGCAGCACAGGTGCGCAGGTGTGTCTATGGGGAGGCACCTGCATGCTACCCCAGTCTAAGAGATTTTTAGCCTCAATTTAGGCCATTTAAGGACTCACCCTCACCTCCCCACCACACTGAGGACCAAGCACTTCCCTGGTGTCCCTGGGCTCAAACCTTGCCTGGTAGTGTGGGCACCACTGCCTGGGGGAGCAGGAAGGAGTTGGGGTTGGGAGGAGAAGCTGCAGGAGGCGATGGATGACTGAGGGCTGAGCTGCAGCTAGGGAGGGAGGTACTGGAGGCATCGGCCAGCAATGGCAGGAGGAGAGGGAAGGGGAGGGAGCAGCCAGGAGAGGCCTGGAGGTGATGTTGGCCTGGCCCAGATGGCTGCAGGTGGGCCTGGAGCCCTGCCAGGAGAGGTCTGGAGCCCCTGGGGGATAGGGGCACTGGTCCCACCTGCAGTTGGCAGGGTCTCTACACCCACGGGTCTCAACTTGTCCTTCCCAAGATGGGCAGAGGCATCTTGGGTCAGTGCCGGCAGGCACCAGTGCCCATGGAGTCTCAGGGGTGGTTGAGGAGTGGGGAGGACGTGGCTCAGGTCAGCCAGTTGGACCCAAGCCCTGCAGGGCATGGGCCATGTCCCCTTCTGTAGGGCAGGTCCCCCGCAGGGTGTGGCATCTCCAGGGAGCTTTCCATGGGCACAAGCTCCTGCCCAGCCCTGCCCTGCCCTTCCCCAGAGCCAGGACCTGTCCAATGGGCACCAATGAAAGCTAGGAGGGAGGGGGCAGACATCTCCAGCCTCCTTCCCTGGGGAGCCCAGTCCCCCCACCCTACTCTGGGAGGACCTCTCTATGCCACTCTGGGACCCCCAGGGTGCATCTCATTCCTGCCCCATCCTCTGAGCCCCACCCAGCCTTACATTCTCCTTGGGTTGTTCGCCCTCTGTCTCCTTTCCCTCACGACGGCCCTCCCCAGCCCACCCCAGGCAGGGGCTCCCAGGGAAGGGACAGGGCCTGCATGCAGAAGGGCTTCCCCGGTTTTGGGTGGAAGGCCACGGCAGGCTTGTCTTCCGCTGCCTGGATTTCCTGAGTTATCTTGCCCCATCTGCCACAGCCTCAGCTTCCCTGGCTGTGAACGGGGCTGGCAGTGCTGCCTCTTGGGACATATGGAGGACGGAATAGGAATAAAGGATTCCTGGTTTGGCTTGGGAAAGGCTACTGGGCTGACTCCCCACCCGCAGGATCTGTGAGAGTATCTAAGGCCAGCCCCAAAGAGACCTCCAGAAGACAGCTTCCTGGCCTTCCTGCGCCCACTGGGCCCCAACTTCCTTTCACTGGACTCAGGATCCACAAACTCCTCATGGCCACCACACACACATGACTTCTCGGGGTATCTGAGTCTCGGCAGAGCCTCAGGGAGCACCCCTCACACACCCAGGGAGGGAAGGTTGGTGAGGCCCCGGCAGCTGCAGAGCCTCTTTCCCACACTTCCAGGCTGACCAGGCCCTGATCCCCAAACTTGGCCACTGACACCCTGCCCCTCCCACCTTGGGCCTCCTGTCACTGGGTGGGCTGCCAGCAGCCCCCAGGTCCCCTGCACCAGCATTCAGGGCGGGAGGCTGCCCTGCCTCCACTCCGTCAGAATCCTGCAGCACAGTCCCCATCTCCACAGCCCTGAGGGGTGGCAGGTTCTAGGTCAGTGGGGTGGCCCGGGTCAGGGCTGGAGAGCTGTGACCAGCTCAGCACGCACCCAGTCCCCCGAGGCCTTGGCTCCCCTGCACCAAGAGGCCTGGTTGTGTCCCGGCACCAGGGGGAGTCCCTATGGTGCCTCTCCTTGAAGCCACCCTGGATTCTAGTCCTGTCAGCTTCCCTGGGCCTGTTTCCTGGGCTGTAAAATCGGGGGTGACAGTACTTGCCTCTTGGGTGGTTGGGGTGTGTCATGAAGGATGCATGCAAAGCCCTGCACAGCAGTGGGCTGGGCACTAAGGGGTGCCCAGGAAGTGCCAGGAATGTGAACATCAGCTCCAAATCAGCAAGAGCCTCCAACCCCTCGGCCCTGCCCACAGAGAGACAGGGCTTAGGAGAGACAGGGCCTGCCCAGTCTCAGCCGGTCAGTAGCAGAGTCTCGCTGAGAACCTGGGTGGAGCTTTGGCTGCCCGGCTGGCCAGCCACGGGCCCCAGGCCAGGCCTCTTGGGGGCCTTCCAAAAAGTTTGACACTCAGGAAAACACTGTCTCCAGAATACGAAAAGAAGACGGCACAATCAAAATGCATGGAGATGTAATTAAATGTTTATATAACCAAACATAATGTCAGCGTTATTTTTAAATTTAAAATCAGATAATTCTATTTGTGAACAATTGGTGGGGTAGATTTTTTTTCTCACTTTAAAAGGTTTTCCCAGCATGCAGAAGACCCCCAGACAACTCAGACAACTATAAGTTAAATGAATTTCCTATGGCCCAAAATGTCCAAAAGCAAAAGAGGAAATTTTCCTTTCAAACACTTTTACAAGAGAAAAACAAGTTTATGAAAGAGGCCGTGGCTGCAGATTCAAGGCACTTGCTGTGGTGTCTGGGGGTGGCCTTTAAAATTCGGAGGGCCAGGACCTCTGAAGCTGGACAGGCCCTGCCTGGCCCTGCTGCTGTTCCGGGACCCCCTTTCTTCCCTGAGGCCTGGGGTAGAAGAGCAGGTCCTCCTCTCGTGAATGGTAGGGGTGCTGCTATCTGGGAAGGCTTCCTGGAGGAGGTGGGTCTATGGGGCCTGGGAGCACCTCCAGGACTCTGGGGCATGGGGGTAGTGTGGGCGGGCACTTTGAGGCCTGCCTGCCTCCCCTGAGCTCCCACTGCAGAGTCCAGAGGGTGGGAAGAGCAGTGGCTGGGTGCTGGTGGAGGGAGGCATCAGTGCACAGATGCCATAAAGCTGCCTCCCCAGGGTTCTGCCAGCTCCCCGCCTAGCCCTGGTGGTACAGGCGTCCGGCTCCAACCAGGAACACTGGGGGCATGGTCTGTCCTGCCCTTGGTCATTGCTGTACCAGCTAGGGCCTCTCTGGATCTTCCTCCCAGGTGTAGGACCCTGAGGACTAGGGCCTGGCTACCGGGTCGGCCGCGCTGGGGTCTCTGTCCAGACTTAGGGTGCCTGGCCACGGTGGGGAGACCCCAACACCTCAAGTTGCACTGCTTCGAGGAGGCAGTGGAGTTGGGCGGGCCTTGGTGGCCATTAGGGACAACACCAGGACTCCTGAAGATAAGCAAGGGCTGCGGTGGGGGGTGGGGCCGGGTCTGGGCCGCAGGATAGGAGGGGACAGTCCCTGCCTCAGACCGGCTCCCTGGCCCAGCAAGGACGCCCACCACTTCTGAGCCTCCCTGCATTCTCGCCCCAGGCCTCCCCAGAGCCACCTGCCCCTTTGCTCACAGCCTCCTTATCCCCATCAGCCCAGGAACCAGCACAGCCAGTGTGGGTGGGGAGCTTGCTGCCCGAGGAAGGGCCGCTGTACAGGTGAGCCACAGGGGACCCGCCACAGTGCAGGTGGGTGAGGGCCTCGGGAGACGCCTCAGCCTGCAGTGGGCAGGGCAGGACAGGGTGGGGCTTCTCCCTTCTCCCCCACCTCGTCCCACCTCCCCAAGATCAGGTATGGCAATGGTCTCTTTGCCCCAGGCTTCCTCCTGAGCCCCTTGGACACAGGGAGCTTGGGGGATCCTCCCAGTCCTGTGCATAGCCCGGGCAGCGCAGGGAGGCCTGGCCCAGGCAGCCCCAGCCTTTCTGCAGCTGCTGGGACCAGGAACCCGGGTGCTCGGGTGGGGACGCCCCTGCCTCCGCAGCAGCCTTCCCTGGAAATGGCCTCCAGACACCATCCAGGCACCATCGGCCACGGCCAGTGCTTCCTGGAGCCCCTCCCATCGCAGGAACTTCTGTGTCTGCCTCTTGGAGACCCTCCTAGATACGCACAACCCAGTTCTGTCACAGACCTCCTCGAACCTCAGTTTCCCCACCTACAACACGGGGATGCTGCTCCCTCGAGGGGCTGTGGGAGGAGAGGAGACAGCCCTGCTCAGGAAACAACAGCAATGATGGTGATGGTGGAGAAACTGAGGCCCACAGGGGCTGACCCCACAACCAGACCCCATGGCACTCTCCTGCCCCCAACCCAGAGACTGCAGTCCCCAGCCCCAGCTGTGGGTGGGCGACAGGCCATCCCTTTTAGAGCCTTCCAGAGCTGGTTCTGCCTTGGCCCAGCCCCTCTCATCCCCAGGTCCTGACTCTGCCCTTGGGGTGGGAACAGCCCCGTGGGTGGGTGGTGACCACATGTCCTGCCTTTAGTATGGAAAGTCCCGCAGCCCAGAAAACCTCTCATTCCTGGGGGAACAAGAGAGTTGGTCACCCTTTCTGGGGGGATCCTGCGACCCCAGGCTTTCCTGCAGGGCAGCTCTTAGAGGGGCTGCCCTCTCCCCTCCCCCCTGCACAAGGCAGGCCAAGGCTGGTCTGGAGGGCTGCCGGGGACACAGGCCACATCCAGACCTCTGAGGGGAAGACCCTTCTTGGTCTCCGCTCCCTCTGCCACTGCTGACCTGGTGGACGAGGAGGAGCCCCTTGCCTTAGCCCGGAAGGCGGCCACCGTGGGTGCCTGTGAGGAGCCAGGGGATGTGGCGCAGCTTCGTGCAGCACAGCTGTCCGCTGGGGTGGGCGTGGGGGCAGGCAGGCCATCTCAGAGTCCCCCGGATATCCCTTCTCCTCTGCTCCCGAATAACTCAGCCCTGCTCAGACAGGGCCCCACATTCCAAAACACTTTCTCCGTTGCCAGAAAGAAAGCAAGCCCAGTATCTGCCTACCCACCAGTGCCCATCTCCAAAGGGCAGGGTACCCGAGTCCTGTGGGCACAGGCCCATCGTCGAGGCAACCTGGGCTGCGGCCGCCCTCCTGAGTTCTCTCCAGGACACTCCAGAAGGCAGCCGCTCCAGGCGTGATTAGCACAGCCCTACGACCAGGGCCACCAGGCAGGGCAGGCCCCAAGTCGGGGTGGCTATGAGCACTAACCCTGCCCCCCACAGGCCAGAGGGCTGAGCTGAAGATGCCTGTGAGAAGAGGAGCTGGGCAGGTAGATGGGCAGGGGGGGATGGGCATCACAGGGGCAGAGCCCTGGAAGGTGGGAAGGAGCTTGCAGGAAGCAGGGGGTGGCCACTGCTCCTGAGGGCTGGTGGGAGCCAAGTCCCGCCCTTCAGTCGTCCCAAGAGTCCAGGAGCCTCCAGCTTCTTAGAGGACAATGCATGTTAGCACCAACACCATCGCTTTCCAGACAGAGAAAAAAGATCCGCGTTCATGGAAGAAAGGAGAGCGTCTGCAATCCTTAAATAGATTTATGGAAATGGCTTCAAATTACAGCATTTAGAAAATAAATATAATCTCAATACATAATATTTCCTCCATTATATACTCTCCCCCCGACAGAAGCCGTTTCTATGCATATGTACTCCACCAGTAAACAGTAATTAGATTTATCCTAGAAAAGAAGCAGTAGGTGTGTCATCTCCAAAAATAAAACTGCAATCGTCATTGCAATGTGAAGCCTGAGATTTAAGCCTGAGGAGGTGTCCGCTGGGGCCACTCAGCTGCGGCAGCTTGGGTCCCAGGCCACTCTGGGGTCTGAGGAATTGGGCCAGGGTTCCAGAGGGTGCAGAGGGAAGGGGAAGTGGTAGCTGAGCTGGTGGCCCCGGGCGTCCTGGCTGATTGGTAAACCCGACCCAAGGCCCCGAGCAACCTCTGCCTGCGGTGTCAGTGCCTGGTCGGACCCCCATGCCATCAGCAAGGGGACAGTGGTGGGCAGACACCAGGAGCACCCTGCCTGCCTAGAGGACCACTGGGTCAGCTTCCCGCATCTCCCCACTCCAAGAAGAAATGAGATGCATGTTGTTTAGCCAAGTCCTGAGGAAGGATGGTGAGGGGTGAGGGGTGAGGGCTGGGGAACGAGGTGGGCAGCTGATGGGGAGAATGGGTAGCCTGCATTTGACGTTTGGGAGGCACATAGGGAGCCCTGCTGTGCCAAAGAGCCTGTGGAGTGGCCCTTGCTCCGGCTTCCAGATTCACCGCAACAGCAGAGGCGCAGAGTGGCCCCACTCTTGTCCACCTCCATCACCCGCCCCGATTCCCATAGCCCCAGCAGATCTCCGAGGGACCAGTGGGAGGGCCCAGGCCTTCTCCGCCAGGCACCCTGCCCTGAGGCAGCCACCAGGCTCCTCCGGGTCCCCTGCTGGGCAAAGCTGACCTCTTGTTGGCCCCTGCAGCCGGCCCGGGGTCCCTGCAGGGAGGCTAGCGTGGGCAGGACAGAGGCTCTGGATGCTCTGGAGGTCTGGGTGCCCCTGCAGCAGCGGCAGCGGCCTCATGAGACGCAGTGAGACCTGCCTGCAGCGTGGCCCCACCTTCCTGGGGGTTCCTGGCCCGGGTGGGTTGGGGCTGCCCCTGGCACCACGTCACAGGCCGGCCTTGTCGCTGTAGAAGGGCGTGACATGGAACATGTAGCAGTGGGTGCACACTCGGACCGGCTTCACCTGCCCGTAGCGGGGCAGCGGTGCTGAGTGCGAGGAGCAGCGCGAGCAGAAGATCTGGAATGGGGTTGGGGCAGTGAGGGTCTGCGGCAGACCAGCCCCACCCACCCTGGCTCCTCGCCCTCCCACACACCTACCCACCCAGCTCAGGCCGCATTGGTGGGTGGGGACTGCCCAGCCCCAGCTGCCAGGGGTTGTGACCTTCAGGAGGCTGGACTCTATGAGGGGTCCACGTCCTGCACCAAGGCTGCTGCAGGCTCCTGTTCACACTCGCTGTCCCCTCTCTGTGGCTGGCTCTGCAGCAGCCGGGACTGGACATGGGCACCATCCAGGTTCCCGTGGTCAAATGCCTGGAGTCAGAACAGGGCCCGGGACCTCCAGGGGCCTCTGCACAAGACCCCACAGGCCTCGCTGGCCTCCCTGGGCATCGGTTCTGACTTCCAGACCTCAGGCTCTGTCCGTGGACGCCCTTGGATGCTGAGGGACCCTCCGTGCAAGGGGTCTCACCCACCTTCCCACAGCTGCGGCAGTGGTGCTTCCGGCGGATGACGGTGAAGGGTGCTTTGCACGCCGTGCAGAAGCCACAGGCCTCGTCTGGCACCCACTCCGGGGGGTCTGTCACAACAACAGCAGCGTCACATCAGCGACGGCAGGAGCAGGTGGGCTGGGCCGGGACCCTCAACCTACCCTGGGCCCTCCTTTCCAGACTGCCAAGCCGCCTGGCCTCCAGCCAGCCTCCGGGGGGGCGGTCTCCCAGCTCCCACATGCCCGGACAGGGTGGCCTGCAGCCCCTCCCCCAGGAGGAAGGCTCCTGTGGCTCCCACAGCCCCCACTGGTGTCTAGTGCAGTGTCCTGACCCAGAGCCTCCCACACACCTTCAAAGTCCCCATCGCGGGTCTTGGCTGCCAGTTCAGAGGATGACAGGGTCTCCTGGCACAGTGCACAGTCCTCCAAGGCCGCACTCCGCAGAGTCTGGGTGACTAGTGGAGAAGGGGGGCCGTCGGGGTATGGTGAGGGAGGCGGGCAATTGATGCAGGGTCACCTGCACTTGCTGGGCACAGCTGGGGGCTTCCAGCAGTCGGTCAGCTCCCCAAGCCCACTGGCAGTCTCATGGCAGGTGGCACCACAGCAGGTTGGGCGCCGATCCTGGCTGGGGGTCTTCCTGAGCAGGGGCCTCTCCTTTGCACAACATGGGGGCCCAGAAGCCTGTGGCTGCTCCCCCTGACAGGGGCATCCAGCCCTGGAGCCCCTGCATGGCACGTGTGTGGCCAGGACTGCAGCTCACAACCTCCGTGTGCAGAACAGGGCCATGTCACCTGCCGTCTCTGAATCATGATTTCCAGAAGGCAGTCCTGCCAACCTCCCTGGTAGAATGCAGCCTGGCGGTGTGGATTCGGCAGGGCAGAGCTGGGTCGGCACATGGGCTCCTCCCTGCTGGCAAGGGTATGCCCTGCTGGGCCAGGGCTCCAGGACCAGGCGGGCTGCCCCATGTGCCCGGACGCCCCATGAACAGAAGCCTCTGTGGTGAGGGATGGCTCTGCTGGAACAAGTGCCTCAGCTCAGCACCAGAGCACCAGGGGTGGCGAGTAGGGGCTTAGTCCCCTTTCCCACCCTGGATCCTACAGGGACCGAGGGCCAGACTCCCTGTGCCTAACCAGTCCCTGCCTTCTCCCTCCCAGATAACATGTGCGCACGTGTGAGTGGGAGCGTATGTGCACATGTGTGCATGTGTGTGGGTGTGGGTATGCGTGAGTACATGTGTGCACGTGTATGTGCACGTGTCTCTGTGTGACCATGGCTGTGAGAGCATGCCTGTGTGCTTCTGCTGTGTCAAGCATGTGTGATACCTCAGCAGCTCATGGGCAGCAGTGGACTCCTTTCCACCCCCATAGAGAGGCGGGTTCGGGGTGGGCAGCCTCGGGCTGCTCTGAGGGGCAGCTCTCGGTAGAAGAGACGTGGCACCACGGCCGAGTCTCATCCTTAAGAGGGAGGGTTTGGGTTCTCCCAGCCTCCATCAGACGCAGAGGTGCAGTCACCTTGCTGCTGCACATGCAGGGGACAGAAGCCGGGGCTGTGGGCACAAGCCATGGGCCCTGGCCCATCTGCTCGTTTGCAGGGGTGGAGTGACTTCCTGGGCGGGCAGCCCATCTGGGCACTTCCTGGGCCTGCTGCTGTGCCCCTTGGCTCCCCAGCAGGAAGGGCAGCCTGGCACATTTGGAGTGCAGAGGTCAGGGGATCCTGGGGTCGACGATTGCTTGGTCGGGACCCTATCTCCCCAGGGCCAGAAGGTGTGGATTTCTGAGCACCCCTCCCTGTGGGCAGGGACACGGCCACCAGCGCAGGCCTCAGAGCCCGTCCTGAGTGGGCACTCACCCTTCCTTAACTTTTCCTTGTCGTCTGTTTCAGGCTTGGTGGCCATGACCTCAAACAGTGTTTTAAGAATACTTCTCAGGTCACTGGCATAGTTCGTCTGCAGCTGGTCAGCCACACCTGAGGAAGGAAGGCCACAGTAACCACGACAGAAGGACGGATGGAAGGAACTGCGGAGGTCGGTGCTGCGGGCTGGGCAGACCCAGCCAGAGCTCACAGCCCAGGCCAGCGTGTTCTCAGATCAGTCAGGGAGGGAGGAGGCCCAACCCCTTGGGGGAGGATTCCCTTGCAAGAATAAAAACTCGGGAGTCGAGAGAGATCAGGGGAAGGGAGACGACCAGACAGACAGCCCCGCCACAGTCGGTCTGCCGCTGACATTCACACCTTTTATGCACAGGTCACAGCCATCACCACTAAGCTGGCCAGGCTACGCGCTGAGGGACACTTACAGAGCCCCTGCACTGTGCCCACCCCCAGGCCAGTGCTTGTGACTGTCACAGCCACTCAGGCATCCAAATGTGTCTACCTGCAAAGCATGTCCACCCCTCGCAGGCACAGCCCCCCAGCAGCCTACGTGGCTGGGAGCCCAGGGTGGACCCTGCCCAGAGGTGATGCCTAGCGCCTGGCTCTTCTGCCCCCACCCCACTGCCCCCGCCGCCACTCCCTGGAGGAAAACGCCTCCCACCCTCACCCGCAGCTCCCCTCCTCCTCCTGCCTGTGTGGGGTCAGTCCAGCCTTCTCCATGAACAGGAGTGCTGGCTCCTTAGGGGCAGAGTGGGCTGCTGTTTACAGGAAAGTGAGGGGGAGGTTGTACACGCCCCGCCTGACCTCCCCTAAAGCGCAGCCCGTGTGTCCTCAAGCCATGCACCGGTCTCAGGCCCTGACATGACACCTGAAATGCAGACGAACAGGCGGTGGATGAGGTCGTGGCTGCCGTGGAACCTGGACCGGATCTTCTCTCTTGTGGCCTGTGGGGCAGCATGCGTGGCTGCTGGGGCCGCCTCTGGCCCCATCTTGTCTGAGGAGCAGGACCCAGCTGTGGAGCTGCTGCATGGAGAAGGAGATACCGGTGTGTGGGGTGGGGCATGATAAGGGGCCGTGGAGCCCGAAGGTCACTGGTCAAGACAAAAGTCTGTGTCCTCGCAGACGCTCACCCCACAGGCGTGTATCTGTTGCCCAGATACACAACTTTCCTGTAACTTCACCTAAAATGTCCTCAGTGTAACATGCTCACCACATATACCAGGTGGTACAACAGGGCTCTGAGCCAGTCCCGGGCCTTTGATTTCTGCTGGGCCTCCTGGAATTGACAGCTGGTGGCGACTCACCCACTGAGGCTGTACTCCTGGCTTAATATCGACCGACTGCCCCTATGGAAGCGTCAACTCACCTTTCACACCATTTCTAATGGCCTGAGTGTCAGGCAGCCCCCAAAAATATCTCTCCCCACCCCAGCCCCTGAAGCCTGTGAACGTGACCTCATTTGGAAAAGGGGTCTCAGCAGGAGCAATTAAGTGAAGCATCTGGAGATGAAGAGATTGCCCTGAATGATCCGGACAGGTCATAAGTCCAAAGACAAACGTCCTTATAAGAGACAGAAGAGGACACAGACACAGAGGGCAGGAGAGCCCATGTGACCACGGAGGCTGAGACCGGAGACGCGGCCCCAACCCAAGGAACACCTGGAGTCCCCAGAAGCTGGGAGAGGCGAGAGGAGCCTGCCCTGGAGCCTGCAGACGGAGTGAGGTTCTGCCAGAGTTTGCACTTCGGGCCTCCGACTGCGAGACAGTTTCCAGGGCTTAGGCCAGTTTGCGGGGACAGCAGCCTCAAGAAACGAATACAGGATCCCCCCGCCCCCACCTACACTTCCCTGCCTGGAGTCAGAACAGGGCCCGGGACCTCCAGGGGCCTCTGCACAAGACCCCACAGGCCTCGCTGGCCTCCCTGGGCATCGGTTCTGACTTCCAGACCTCAGGCTCTGTCCGTGGATGCCCTTGGAGGCTGAGGGACCCTCCGTGCATGGGGTCTCCATCTTCCCAGCAGCTGCGTCCTCAGCTTTCATCAGATTTGCTACTCAGGGGTTCCACGGTGACCCTATAAATCGTTCACAGCTGGGCCTGTACTAACTCCGGAGGTTCACCTCGCCCAACTCTAGGGGTGCACCCACTGGCCCTCTCATTTTAAACTAATTTATCTCCTATCTTTTTGTCCCATTTTCTGGGAAATTTCCCCCAACTCGTTCTTCTAATTTTACTCTTGACGTTTAAATTTCTGCTATCAAGTTTTAAATTTACTGCTGTTACTGTCGTTTCATGGATGCAAAATCTTTTCTCTACCTAGAAATATTCGTGATAATTTTTTTCAGTTGCCACTGGCATCCTGCACGGCCTCTTTTGGAGGGCTTGGCTCATTTATTTGGCCGTGTCTCATGCCGAGCCTTGCCCCAAATGTTCGGGGATCCTCGTCGACCTGTGCAAAAATAAGAACAGTGTGGGTGCAACCACAGGAGCCTTCACCTTGCTGGTGGGAGCGTCAGCTGGTGCAACCACTTCGGAAAAAATGTTCGCACCGTTTCAGTAAAGCCAGGGCTGTCTACACTCTGGAGCCCGGTGGCCTCTGTTGCCGGCATACACTGGAAACGCGCATCTGCGTCTGTCTGCAGAGATGCAGGGTCTTAGACGCGGTGCTGGGGATTCCAGTGAAACGCTGGGCAGGATCCCAAGTCCGCCAGCAATGGAATGGAAGACCCACCGTGATCTAATCGCCCACCAGCAGAGGCCACGGAGGCGGAGGCGAGCCAGCCACAGCCCCGCCAACGCG
The DNA here is from genome assembly GCF_000001405.40 of Homo sapiens. NCBI lineage: Eukaryota > Metazoa > Chordata > Mammalia > Primates > Hominidae > Homo > Homo sapiens. The sequence continues at coordinate 2,275,990 of NC_000004.12, forward strand.
CACGAATCCCACGTGGCGTGAGTCTTTTCACAGACCGTGGGAAACATGCACAACTGCCTGGTATCTAATTTAGGGACACAGCCTCGTGACGTAAACCCTGCAGAAGCACAGAGGCGTGGCGCACGTGAGAATTCAGGGCAGCGGGCTGCGGCAGAGCGGGGGAGGAGGCTGGAAGCGTCCCTGGAGCTGCACGGGGCCCCCTCCCTCATGGCAATGTGCTAACATAGCTGAATATTTGCCGGAACGTGGGAGCACGGTAGGAGGCTTAGGGGGCCTGGGCCCATGGGACGGGATCCTCTGCTGGGACCCCAACAATGCTCCGTGGCTCTCCCCTCCCAGGTGGTCAGGGTTCCACAGATGAAGCCCCTACCTTCAGCTTGGGGGTGTGGGCCTTGCTGCCCTCTGCCCTGGGAGCTGAATAAGGGAGGGGCCTTCACTGTCCAGGATGTCAGCTTCCACTCGGTACCCCCAGCCTCATCAGAGCCTTACCCAAAGGAACTGAAATTTGGGACTCGGACAGATACTTGCACGCCCACGTTCATAGCGGCCAAGAGACGGCAGCAACTCAGGTGTCTGTTGGCAGAGGCGTGGATAAACCAAATGTGGTCCACCCATACAACAGAATATTATTCAGCCTTAAAAAGGAAGGAAATTCGGATCTAGGCTACAGCCACGGATGAATGTTGGCAAGATCATGCTGAGTGAAACAACCCAGCTACCAAAGGATGCGTCCTGCTTGAGTCTCCGACACGAGGTCCTGAGAGCCGTCACGTTCATACAGATGGAAGGTAGAACGGTGGGCGCCAGGGTGGGCAGAGGGCGGGGAGTCGGGGGGAGTGAGTGATGGGGAAACAGTTTCAGTTTGGGAAGATGAGGACGTTGCGGAGATGATGTTGGTGACAGTTGCACGGCACTGAGTGTGTTCAATGCCACGAAATTGTACGCTTAGGAAGGGCTAAATAGTAAACTTTATGCTACATATATTTTACAAAAATTAAAAATATAAAAAAAAAAGAATTGGGGCAGGGAGAGAGCAGAGGCAAGGGAACGGAGGCGGCAAGTACATGGCAGAAGGCCGGATTGGCGTGGCGCCCGACACAGAAGGCTCAGGGGTATTATTGCCCAAAACCACTGAACTGTGTGATTTAGAAAGGTGAATTTTGTGGTATGTATGTTACATATCAATAAAGGCTTTTTTTTAAAGATCACGCCGGGCGTGGTGGCTCATGCCTGTAATCCTAGCACTTTGGGAGGCCGAGGCAGGCGGACTGCCTGAGTTCAGGAGTTCGAGACCAGCCTGGGCAACACGGTGAAACCCCGTCTCTAATAAAATACAAAAAATTAGCCGGGCGTGGCGGCGTGTGCCTGTAGTCCCAGCTACTCGGGAGGCTGAGGCAGGAGAATTGCTTGAACCCGGGAGGCGGAGGTTGCACTGAGCTGAGATCGTGCCACTGCACTCCAGCCTGGGTGACAGAGTGAGACACCATCTCAAAAAAATATAAATAAATAAAATAAAAATTAAAAAAAAGATCATTTGTGTTTAGATATGGTAGCAATAAACTGAAAGTGAAATGAAGAAAACAATCCTTAGCCCTTTACAATAGCATAAAAAAGATTAAAATACTTAGAATAAATTTAACAAAAGAAGTACAAGAATCATACACTGAAAACAACAAAACATTGTTGAAAAATATTAGAAGACCTACATAAATGGGAAGACATCTCGTGTTCACAGGTCGGAAGACAATATTGTTGAGACGGCATGACTCCCCAAATCGATCTACAGATTCAATGCAATCCATACGAAAGTGCCAACTGCCTTTTTTTCTTGCAAAAATGGACAATATGATCCTAAAATTAATGTGGGAGTGACTCGAGGGACCCAGAATAGCCAAAAGAAAAAAAACAAGTTGGAGGACTCACACTTGTGATTTGCAATGTGGCATGAAAGAGCAGGAATCAAGACTGTGCAGCAGCAGCATAGGACCGACATACAGACCAATGAGACCGAGAGTCCGCAAAGAAACCCATATGCTTATGGGCAGTGGATTCTCAGCAAGGGTGCCAAGACCAACCAGGAAAGAATAGTCTTTTCAACAAATGCTGCCGGAAAACCGGAGACACACATGCAAAAGGATGAAGCTGAACTCTGACCTTATACCACATACAAAAATTCACTCGAAATGAATCATATATCTAGATGTCAGAGCTACAACTCAAAGATTCTCTCTTTTTTTTTTTTTTTTTTTGAGATGGTGTCTCACATGGCTTACCGCAGCTTTGACTTCCCTGGGCTCAAGTGAGCCTCCCATCTCAGCCTCCTGAGTAGCTGGGACCACAGGCGTGCACCACACTGCCCGGCTAATTTTTGCATTTTTAGCGGAGATGGGGTTTCACCACGTTGCCCAGGCTGGTCTTGAACTCCTGGACTCAAGTGATCCACCCACCTCAGCCTCCCAAAGTGCTGGGATTACAGGCGTGAGCCACGGCGCCCAGGCTTAAAATTCTTAAAAGAAAACATTGGAGTAAATCTTTGTGGCGTTAGGCTAGGCCACAGTTTCCTAGACATGACACCTAAAGCATGGGCAACAAAAGAGAAAACAGATAACTGGACTTCATCAAACTGAAGACTTTCTGCTTCATAGGACACCACCAAGAAAGTGAAGAGAAAACCCACAGAATAATTTTTGCAAATCATGTGTCTGATAAGGACATAGTATCTGCAATATAGAAAGAATTTTTACAATCCAACAACAAAAAGACCAAAAAAAAAAACACTACTGAACAAATGGAAAACGGATTTGAATAGACATTTTTCCAAAGAAGATATACAAATGGCTAATAAACACATGAACAGATGCCCAACATCACTGTCAGTCAGGAAATGCCAAAAAAATTACAATTAAATACCATTTTATCTATTAGGACGATTAGAATGTTCCCCCCCCCCTCAAAAAAAAAAAACCCAGAAAATATGAAGTTGTGGTGAGGAAGGTGAGGATGTGAAGGAACTGGAATCCTCCTCTCTTCCTTATGGAAAAATAAAATGGCACAGACACTTTGGAAAACAGTTGAATGGATAGACAAAATGTCTATCTATATAATGGAATAAGTTTTCAGCCACAGAAAGGAACGCAGCACTTATACATGCTACTGTGTGGATGAACACTGAACACATCATATTGTCATCCCAGCCCTGTGGGAGGCCGAGGCGAGAGGATCACTTGACATCAGGAGCTCGAGACCAGCCTGGCCAACTTGGTGAAACCCCGTCTCTACTGAAAATACAAAAATTAGCTGGGTGTGGTGGCGCATGCCTGTAATCCCAGCTACCCGGGAAGCTGAGCAGGAGAATTGCTTGAACCCAGGAGGCAGAGGTTGCAGTGAGCCAAGATCGTGCCATTGCACTCTAGCCTGAAGACAGAGCGAGACTCCGTCTAAAAAAACAAAAACAAAAACACACCCATCGTGCTGAGTGAAAGAAGCCAGTCACAAAAGATCACAAACTGGCCGGGTGCAGTGGCTCACACCTGTAATCCCAGCACTTTGGGAGGCCAAGGTGGGCGGATCACGAGGTCAGGAGATCGAGACCATCCTGGCTAACACGATGAAACCCTGTCTCTACTAAAAATACAAAAAAAATTAGCCAGGCATGGTGGCGGGCGCCTGTAGTCCCAGCTACTCAGGAGGCTGAGGCAGAAGAATGGCGTGAACCCGGGAGGCGGAGCTTGCAGTGAGCCGAGATCATGCCACTGCACTCCAGCCTGACAACAGAGTGAGACTCCTTCAAAAAAAAAAAAAAAAATCACATACTGTATGATTGATTCCATTCACATGAAATGTCTAGAACAGGCGAAACCCATAGGGGCAGAAAGCAGAACCGTGGTCGCAACAGCTGAAGGGGGAGGGGAACATGGTGACTGCTGATGGGGAGGGTTTTTCTTTATGGGGTGATGAAAATGTTTTGAATTAGACAGTGATATTGGCTGTACAGCCTCATGGATGTACCACAAATTACTGAGCTGTACATCTCACAAACAACAGAAGAGAATGTTTTTCTTGTAATCGCCCAGCAAACTCATATGCAAGAAATAGCTTATAAGCTAAATGTCCATCAACAGTGGGTTGACTCAATACATTAGGTCATATCCCTATGGTGAAACAATCTCCAGAAGGATGGTCCACTGGAAATGTTAAAATATGAAATGAAAAATGTAGCATTTAAAAAATTAGAGGCGAGGTGTAGTGGCTCATGCCTGTGATCCCAACAATTATTGGGAGGCTGAGGCGGGAGGATCACTTGAGGCCAGGAGTTCAAGACCAGTCTGGGCAACATGACAAGACCTCTGTCTCTACAAAAAATCCAAAATTAGCCAGGCATGATGGTGTGCACCTGTAGTACCAGCTACTCTGGAAGCTGAGGTGGGAGGATCGCTTGAGCCCAGGAGTTCAAGGGTACAGTGAGCTGTGATCACACCACTGCACTCCACTCCAGCCTGGGCAACGAGCAAGACCCTGTCTCTTAAAATAAATAAAATAATAAAAATAAAAATTAGAGATGTCATATGTACATAAATGACACACTGGGGAAGATACTCAAGGTAAGGCATTAATCTTACACTTACTTGAGTAGTAAGATTACAGGTAAATTATCATTTTCTAAAGTCTCATCGCGGATCAAGTATTGCTTTTGTGATCAGAAGAGATGCCATTTCAAGAAGAAAGGAAAGTGCCTGCTGGCAGCAGATGGCACCCTCGGGCCCTGCCTGTGGCGAGGAACTTGTTTCCCTGTGAAAGGAGAAGCCCATGGGAAGTATTCAGCCCCGCAGCTCCAGCCCCTTGGACCAACACCCTGAAGCTGGGAAGGCTATCTGGACAAGCATCCTGCTACTGAAGCACCCCTGGAGATGAGAAATCAGGGGAAGGGCCCTGACGTTCAACAGAGAGTTGAGTGTGGCATAAGAACAATGGCTTCTACCAGCAGGTTGAGACCGAGGCCAGGCCAAGGCTGGCCGATTGCCCACGGGTAGGTCAGATCGCTGATGGCCATCTCAACCCCAGACACCCTTCACTTGCCACAGGAAAGGCCCTCTCCTGCCTCCCTGCCCTGGTTGGCTGGAAGCTCTGGTGGCGTGGGAGGGGGAATGGGTGGACAGAGAGAGCCAAGGGGCCCCATACAGAGATGTCACAGGTAGAAAAACCAATGAGGTACTGCCCAAGGGAACCGGCTGGGCTTGGAAGGGCCAAAGGGAACAAGAGAGCAGAGTGGGGAGGTAGAACCCAGGATTTCACCGAGAGCATGAGCCTGGGTCCTTCTGGGTCAGCCATTCCTGGGGCCATGTGGATGGGTGTCTTCCTTTGCTTCCTGCTGCTATAACAGAGTACCACAGTCTAGGTAATTTATAATGAACAGACATGTTTCTGGCTCACAGTCTGGAGGCTGGGAAGCCCAAGGTGGAGGGGCCCCATCTGACTAGGGCCTTCTTGCTATGTCACCACATGGAGGAAGGCATCGCATGGGCAAGAGAGAGGGGAAGGGGGCCATGCTCACCCTTTATAAGGACCCCACTGCAGCAATAACAAACCCACTCTTGCAATAACATCAATCCGCTCAGGAGGGCAAAGCCTTCATGACCTCATCACCTCTTTAAGGTCCCCCCTCTCAACGCTGTTGCAGTGGGGATTAAGTTACCAACACATGAACTTTGGGGCACACATTCAAACCACAGCAGGGGGCACTGTTTGGATGCCAGTGGCCCAGGAACACTGCCTTTGGAAGGGTGTTTATCCCCTGTGGCCAGTTGCTGAACAGACAGGGTAGGGCCATGAGGAGGACCTCAGGGGTAGATCAGACACTATGTGTCCCCCAAAAGCCAAGTCTAGTGGGGGAGCCACACACATTAACAATACAGAGCCGAGAAGTGAGCTGGTGCCCAGCGGGTCCATCCCTGTGGTGAGGAAGGGAACAGTACGGGTGAGATACAGCCACAGCTCAAGTCACAGAAAGACAGGGAGCCATGAGAAGCAGAGGCTAGAAGAGTGAAGGGCACCTGCCCTGCCAACAGCTTCCTGTGTCTCACCACAGAGTCTGAACCCTTGTCACTGATGTTCTCAAGTCAGTGGATCAACGTCACTTCAGCATGTTCACCCGGATGTCTAAAAGTCCAGCCACCTTCTGCAGCTGCCAGACACTCCCGCACCGGCTGCCTGAATGTTGCTTCCTGCCACTCTCTTACAGAAGGCAGCAAAAACTCCCTGCAACAGCCCCACTTCGGTTTGAACTACTATGAAATGTCATTCTCTGGTAAAGAAAGGCAGTGCAATTCTAAACAGTCACATCAATACCAAAGGCTGCCCAGCCTGTGTCTTCAGCTGTGTCACAGTTAGGCCACAGGACAGTGGCCAGGTTTCCAAAGTGCTCCTCTTGAACAGCACACAGGGGGGATAAATGGCTGATGTCATCATTGGGGTGGGAAAAGTGGTGAGGGGAGCCTCTGAGATGTTGGGAACATGGAACACGTCTGAATTCAGCAATTGGATAGAGCAGAAGAGGGAAGTTTACTGAACTTATAATTTTAATTCCAATTACTATGGAAAAGAAAGACCATAGCAAAGCCCAAATGAATCTGATGCAGCAAATTTAGCAAGTGAGTATGCAAACAGAAAGACAGGACTTTGCCACCTTGAACCTCTAGGAGTCTGTGAAAGAAGAGAATGCCAACTTTGGAAAGACTAACAGCATCACAGTATGTTTCTCATTATGACATCAGATACATTAATTTTTGAACTCTTGAAACCATTTGCAAAGGCTAATGAAGAGAAAAACAGCCTGTAGTCCCAGCTACGGGGAGGCTGAGGCAGGAGGATCCCCTGAGCCCAGGAATTCAAGGCTAGCCTGCGTAACATAGCAAGACTCTATCTCTAAAGAAAAATAAATAAAAAACAAAAACAAAGAACATCAAGAGTGACTGGTAGGCTCCAGAGGCAAGGTTTAATTGTGCTTGGATGTGGGAAAATTAGCAGCTCGGGCATTTGTACAACCACATACCAATTCTAATGAGCCACCTTGGGCCCTGACGCAAATGGTGGGCTGGCTGCTTCTTGTAAAAGTCATCCATCCATCCACCCACCCACCCACTCATCCATTTACCCATCCATATATTTACCTATCCATCCATCCACCCATCCATTCATCTACCCATCCACCAATCCATGCATCCATCCATCCATCCACCCAACTAATCATCCATCCATCTATCCACCCATGTACCCACCTGTCCACCCACCAATCCGTCTACCCATCATCCAATCTTCCACTCATCCACCCACCCATCTACCCACCCACCCATCCATTTATCCATCCATCCATCCATCCATCCATCCAATCATCCATCCACCCATCCACTCATGCACCCACCCATCCACCCACCCATCCATCCACCCATCCACTCATCCATCCACCCATCCACCCACCCATCCATCCACCCATCCACTCATTCATTTGCCATCCATCCATCCACCCACCCATCCATCTAATCATCAGTCCATCCATCCATCCATCCATCCAACCATCCAACCGTCCATCCACCCATCCATCCATCCATCCATCCATCCATCCACCTGCCCTACAAACATGCACTAAGCACCAACTATGATCCAGGAATTGCACAGTTCAGCCCTAAGGAGCTCACGATTTGATGGCAGAGATCAATAGGTGAACAGTTAATTATCACACACGGAAAGTGTAACAGAGGAACCATCAAGGGTGTTGTTGTGGGAGGTCAGAGGGGAGACTCCTCACTCAGGCTGGAGAGAGGTCTGGAGTGCCAGGGAGGGTTCCTGGAAGGCGCAGCATGAGGACAGCTTGAATGAAAGCCAAGAGGTGGGAAGCAGCCGACAGACTGTAGGGAACCCCCTGGTGATGCTGGGAGAGACCAGGCAGAGGTTGAGGCTAAGCAGAGGCCCACTGGGAGGGCTGGACAGTTCGGACCTTGGCCTGTTGGTCAGTGCCCCCAGAGGATGCTCCACAGAACGCAATTCCCTGTAGGCTACACTTGAGGGAAAAAGAGTTTGAGGAACAGAGCACAGGTGCTCTCTTTCTTGGAGCCCCCGCATCCACATTCATTGACATCAATCGACAGCTCAGGCTCGCTGTGGAGCATGTGGCCACACAAGACCGGATTCACGTGTGTACGCAGTGGAGGGAGTCAGCCAGCCTGCAAATGAGTGTTCAGAAATGAGACCATTTCCCACCGTGATAAAGGCCGTGTCGCCCAGGCTGGAGCACAGTGGCGTGACCACGGCTCACTGTAACCTCAAGCTCCGGGCCCCACATGATCCTCCAACCTCAGCCTCCCAAAGTACTGAGATTACAGGTATAGGCCACCGTGGCTCGCCTGGGGCTTTGAAGACCATGATGGGGAGGAGGAGAGCGCGACGGGGCACAGTGGTGGACAACCCAGCTTTCAGAGGAAGCATTTTGGTGGAGATTTCACCAATGAGATGGAGAGGACCTCAGCAGCAGGAGCCCAAGATGGGCTGAGCACAGCCTCCCAGGAGTCAGAGGTGAAGGCCTTGCTGCCCGGTCACACTGGCCACCAGGTCAGGACAATCCCACAGTCCTGGACGCCTCTGGTTCCCCAGAGGAGTTGGAGCCTGCTGGGACATCTTGTCTCCTCTTATGGTGCCTCACAAAGACCTCCGGGGGGCTGAGTCTGCAATGCACAAGGCCTGGCTTTGACTTCCTCTGTGAGTCCTGGGATCAGGGAGGGCTGAGACACCCTTCCAGGAATCGGCTCTGGAACTGTCTGCCAAAGTCGTACCAGCTCAGCTCAGGCCACAGCGGAAACCAACAGCAGGTAGACCCCTCTTCTTGGCAGGTGCCCTGAGTCTAGTACGGCAAGGATTTAGCAGGGAGGCGCGAGTGTGCTGTTTGGGGTTGAATTGGGGCCCCCCAGCAAGCTCATATGTTGAAGTCCTAACCCCCAATACCTTAAAATGTGACCTTATTTGGAAACAGGGTCATTGCAGGTGTAACTAAAGTTAAGATAAGGTCATCCAGGAGTAGGGTGGGCCCTAAGCCAACTTGACTGGTGTCCTTACCCATGGGGAAAATTTGGGTGCAGGCCCACACCTGGGCAGAACCCCACGTGGACTGAAGGCAGGGACTGGAGTGATGCTTCTGTAAGCCAAGTACACACCCAAGATGGCCAGCAAGCCCCCTGAGGCTGGAAGGCAGCCCAGGACAGATTCTCCCTTATGGCCCCAGAAGGAACCAGCCCTGCTGACACCTTGATCTCGACTTCTGGCCTCCAGAACTGCAAGACAACAAACGCCCTCGTGATTTAACCCACCTTGCCGCGGTGCTTCGTCACAGCAGCCGGGGGAACTAACACGTGGCGCTGACCCCGCCATGGCGCCGGCCCCACTGTGGCTGCCAGGCCTTTGCACTGGTGTCAGCCCTAATAACTTCCAGCAGCAAGTAAGCTGATTTCTTCTGAGCAGGCTGGAATCTCCCTGCTTCCTTTCCTCTCCAGCCCCTTGCAAAGTCATTCTCTCTCGTGGTTTTCCTGTGTGACTCGCCTTCCCAAGGAAGTCAGTCTTCTCACCACAGCTCCTGACTGCAGCTCCACAGCCCCTGGGTTGAGCACAGGCTGGGACTGAGAAGGAGACGAATGCTGTTCCGTGACCAGGGCATCCTCAGAAGGGCCGCTGCCACTGTGGGCCAGAATGAAGGACAGAACCGAGGGACAGGAAGGAGGGCTGGGCCGGTCCAGGAGGGCAGGCGCCCATCCCAGAAACAGCTCAGCGGGAGGGAGGGAAATTGAAGCCGGGATCTCAGGGCTGCCCCGCCCTGGTCAGCTGGCCGGGGTCTGTGGTCCCCACAGGCAGGCACTAGCTTGGTCCGCAGGTCTCTCCTGGATGTGTCACCCGGTCTTGGCGCATTGTCTTGGAGCACCCTCCAATGTCCATATTCCTCCGGTCTCAGGGTGTGGGCACAGGTCCAGGGGTCCTTCCAGACACTCTGGGCCCAGTCACTGCTCCCCCACCCACCTCCAAACCTGCTCCATGCAGGCACTCTAGGGGGTGCAGGGACAGTGGCCTGAGATTTGCTGCTGCAGGACTTCGGTCCCTGTGGGGAGCATGGGGTCAGCGGCCAGAGAAGCGGCGAGAGGACAGCCCCCTGTACGGGCACTGGCTCACTCGCTCTCCCAGCATGGGCTGCATGGTCCCCACCCCTCAGCTTCTCCCTCCCGGCGCCCAGGCCAGCCCTGCTTCCTGCTAATGAGACCTAAGGGACCTCAGCGGGAGGATGCCAAAAAGGCAGCAGGTCAGAGGTCAGCCCCGAGGCCTGCCCTTTGCGGGGGTGGGAGGGGGCATCAGGCGTGGACGGGGACGCTGCCTCCGAGGATGTCAAGTGCTAAGCTCCACACCTGCCACAACTGCATCTCATAGTCTCTTCTCAATCAACAAGAAGCGATGAAATAAACGTCAGCCGCTCCAGACGAGAGCGCAGTCCACAGCACCTGGATTTCAGCCTGGGGAGACCCTGAGCACAGAACCCAGCTGTGCTGAGACAGGCATCTGACGCATGGATGCTGCAGGACCCTTACTCGGCATTGCTTATACACAGCCCAGCTAGCTGATGCAAAGCTGAGACGTGGGCTCTTGGTGGAGCAAATGCGGTCTCCAGTTCACCTATGCCAGGTGGGATTAGGGAAGGAGCTCAGCCCTTGGCTGCTGACTCTCCAGCCCCTGCTCTCTGCTGTGTCCTGAAGACAGGGTGGGGGGTGACGGGAGGGGTGAGGGGCTGGAGGCACAGGATTCAGACGTCACGGTGGGCTGAATGTGACCCCCAAAATGTGAATCTGCGACTGTGACCTTTTTTAGAAAAAGGTTGTTTGCAGATTTAATTAAGTTAAGGATCTTGAGATGAAACCATCCTGGACTATCTGGATGGATACCAACTCCAATAAATATCCTTACAAGAGACAGACACAGCGAGGGGCCAAGAGAAGACGGAGGCAGAGCTTGGAGTGACTTGGCCACAAGGCAAGGAAGTGCCAGGAGCCACCAGAAGCTGGAAGCGGCAGGAGGATCATCCCCTAGAACCTTGGGCTGCAGTGCCACCCCACCAGCGCCCTCATCTCAGATGCCTGCCTCCAGAACTGTAAACCAGCAAATCCCCACGGTTTTAAGCCTCCCAGCTCATGGGTGTTCTGTTACAGCAGCCCCAGACAGGCATCTAGAGGTGGAATCTGTCATCTGATCCTAAGAGCATCTCTCACCCGCTGGGCGACCCTGGGCAGGTTATGTGGTCCAGAGCTTTGCTGCCTGAGCCACAGACACGGACAGTAAGATAGCCACTGACGGGTCAGACAAGTGAGATCCTCTCAGCGGCGTGGGTGCAGTGCAGATGCAGCAAGGGCCTCGGGCCTCACGTGCAGCAGCCGTAGGATGGGCTGAACGAATCCTGGCTTAAGCCCCTGAAGGGCCTCTGAGTTTGCAGTCACTGTTTCAACATCCAGGGAAAGTGCTTTGCGAGGAGGCGTTGATTTGCTGTATTCCTTCCACAAATCTTCCTTTCTCTGCGGTGACTGACGTGGAGGTGGCTGCGGCTGGTGTTCCCTCTACAGAGGCCAGCAGACATCACAGATTTCCAGGACGTCTGGAGCTAAGGGGAGGAAGGGGTGTCCCAGGCGCCCTTGGGATCTCTTTAGGTCTCTGGAAGGGAGACAGCCCCTCCCTGCCCCCGCCCTCCCAGTGCCTTTTGTGATGTGGACACCGCTGTGCGTCAGCAGTGGGGGCTGCAGGGCGAGGGGGGCACTCTGAGGGGGCAGGGGGAGTCACCGTAGGACCCGCAGTTTGGTTCCAAAGTACTGAACATAAGGAGACACTGGATATGGATGTGTGAATGCTCTGAAAATTAGCTATTTTCCCATCTCCTCTAATTTAGCAGCATTGCCTTGATGTCTCTTGGGATTCAGTTAGGAACACGAATTCCTTTATGTTTTTCACACTCCCTCCACCCCCACTCCTGTCTGGCCGGGCCCTATCGAGGTGCAGTGGGCCTCGGAAGGCAGAAGCAACTGGCCTGTGGTCAGATGCCCAACACCCCCACGACAGCAAGGCACAGTCACCATACAGCAGGGAGGGCTTCCTGGAGGAGGCGGCCTGGCCTGAGCAGAGATATGGCCCTACCCAGCCCTGAGTCCATGAAGGCCCGAGGACCTGCATCACCTCCCAGCCATGATCACTGGGTACAGGGCCTCCATCTCCTAAGCCCCCCTGTGGCCCCAGAGCTGGCTCCCAGGAAAACCAACAGGTGACACTAGAACGGAACCTCATCTCTAATGAGGGCAAGTCCTGATCTGTGCAGTGAGGGGGTGGGCCAGGTGAGCACCTGCTACACAGTGGGGGAGCATCGGGCCCTGGGCTGGGTGCTGGGGCCACAGTGGAGCAGCAGCGCCTGCCTCCGAGGGGCTCTGGGCTGGCAATAAGAGGAGACCCCCGAGGGGACCTGGGCACGTGGCTGCTGCTCCAAGGGGAGGTCCTGCCATGGGGAGGGTGTCTCCAAGCTGGGTTGGTGAGTCACAGGTTAGGCAGTGTGAGCTGAAGGCCCTTGGGCATCACCACCTCTGCCATGTGGGCAGGGAACTTAACCTCCCAGGGCCTTAGTTTACTTGTCTGTAAAACGGGAAAGTGAGGCTGGGCACAATGGCTCACGCCTTTAATCCCAATACTTTGGGAGGCCAAGGCAGGAGGATCATTTGAGTCCAGGAGTTTGAGATCAGCCTGGGTAACACAGTGAGACCCTGTCTCTACTAAAAGTTAAAAAAAAAGATAGCTGGGCATGGCAGCACATGCCTGTGGTCCAAGCTACTCGGGATCACTTGAGCCCAGGAATCCTAGGCCGCAGTGAGCCATGATTGCACCACTGCACTCCAGCCTGGGTGGCAGAGTGAGACCCTGCCTCAAAAATTAAATTAAATTAATAAAATAGGAGTGCTAAGGCTGGGCATGGTGGCTCATGCCTGTAATCCCAACACTTTGGGAGGCCAAGGTGGGAGATCACTTGAGGCCAAGAGTTCGAGACCAGCCTGGCCAACATGGCAAAACCTAGTCTCTTCTAAAAATACAAAGGTTAGCTGTGGGGGTGGCAAGTGCCCGTGGTCCCAGCTAGTCTGGTGGCTGAGGCATGAGAATTGCTTTAACCTGGGAGGCAGAGGTTACAGCGAGCCAAGATCATGCCATTGCACTCCAGCTTGGGTGACAGTAAGACCCTGCCTCAATAATTAAATTAAATTAATAAAATAAAACAGGAGCACGATACTGCCCACACAGATTCCTTCGAACAAGGGTGCCCCTCAGCAGGGGTGGAGTAAGTGGGCACTCAGGTCCTGGGTGTGGCCCTGGGCCGCGTAACACAGGCTGTAGCACAGCCTCCCCAAAGTGAGGGGGGTGGTATGTGACAAAGGCTGAGGCCACTGGGCCAGACCTCAGGGCCACAGCCTCCTGCCACCTGCTGTCATCAAAGAGGCCAGCCCTCTGGAGGGTCAGGCAGGGGGTGGGCACGGAGCCAGGTGCAGCCCCACACTGTCAGCAGCCCCATCGCCCCCTGGGGTGATCCTCCTGCCTCGGGTCCCAAAGCAATGGGATTACAGGTGTGAGCCACAGCACCTGGCCTCACCTTCCCATTTTACAGACAAGTAAACTGAGGTGCTGGGAGGTTAAGTTCCCTGCCCAGACGGCAGAGGTGACACAGCTTACCACAGCCTGCGGGGGCCTGTGCATCGTGCTCCAGGACACTTGTGGACTTGGGGCTCAGGAGGTCCCAGAGATGTCTCTGGTCAGTCATCACGGTGGTGTCCAGAAGAACTCGGCGAACCTGAGTTCCCCTGAGCCCCCGATCCTCATCACCCACAGGGGACAGCCAGGCTGTGGCCAGCACTCCTCACCCCAGGGATGCTCTGCAGAAGCTCAGGGGGAGGACAGACACAGACAGACAGTGGACAGGCCCAGGGAGCCGCTGTCCTTGCGGAGGCCAGCCCAGCTCAACAACTGACAGACAGCCAGGCCTCAGCCAGCAGCGTGATGGCAGGCCCCGTCAGAGCCACCCCCCGGTCACCAGGCCCCCAGCCTGTGCCCCAGGGGACTCACGTGCAAGATCTCCTCAGGGGACAAGGCCGCCCATGCTGGCAACCCGGAGCCCAGAGAGAGCAGCCCATATGGGGATGGCCCGGCAGTCCCCAGGACCATGCCACCTGGAAGGTGTGTGACCACAAGCCTGCCTGCCTTCTCCGAGGAGCTGGGGTCTCCTCAGCTACAGAACAGGGTCTCGAACTCTTGGCCTCCCAAAGTGTGATCCTTCAGAGGATCACAATGTGCCTGGTGAGACAGGCAGGTTGCAGGCCCCAAGGGCCACTTTGCCAGTCGTCATGGTGACCCCTCCATGATCCCGTAGCTACCCTGACACTCCTGTCTGTTGGCCCTCTCCAGCTTTGTCCTCTCGTGAGGATGCAACGCTGCTCACTGATGGCCCCCAGGAGATGTCTCCAAAAGCCGGGGGCCATGGGGGCAGGTGCAGCAGAGCAGGACACGACCACACCTGCCCCCTGGCCCCAGAGCAGCTGCTGACGTCCACGGCTCACCAGGTCCTTCAAGAAGTCAGCTCCTCTGGGACGGCCTCACCCCTCTCCTGCTGTGGGGCAGGGGCCAGGCCAGGGCTGGGCCAGGGGCCAGGCATCGCCTTGGGGTGCTCACCTGGCTCCTTGCTTCCCCTATTAAGTCCAAGCACAAGCCGAGCAGTGGTGGGGAGGGGTGGGGGCCATAATCTGGTCCCTCCTGGCCCAGCCCTGCCTGGCCAAGATCTGGACTCTGGGGACACAGTGAAGCCCAGGCCTAGACACAGCCCAGCTCTTGAAAAGATCCCACTATTATTATGGTCTGGGAAACTATCCCTTTATGTTTTTCTTCGTAATTACATAAGCAATACATGTGCACCCTAAAAAAATGAGGAAATGCAGATTAGCGAAGAGTGCCTGCACGTGTGCTCCTGCCCCCGGCACACGAGCGGGAGGAGCTCCTGTCGCCCTTCTCGTCTCGCACCTTGCAGGCGCTTTTGCTGCTTTAAAAAGCTCTCTGAACAGAAGCCACCACAACTGGCGAGTCTCAGAGAGGTGGGTGAAGTCAGCTGAGGACGGCATCCTGGTCTCCGGCTGCAGCATCACCGCGGTTGAAACCCGCTTCCTCTTGCTTTCGGCTCAGTGAAGGTGGGAGGAGATGCTTGGCTTTCGAGAAGGGGCTGTTCCCCCTGGAATTTTCCTGGTCCCATGGGGTGGAGGAAAACGACCCCTTGAGAATGCTTCCTGGAGCCACTGGGGAGCAAGTGGCTGGCACCTTCTCACCTTCTTGGGCTCACGGGGAGGCCCCATCCCCTTCTAGGCTCCCCGAGGAGGGGCCAATGCTTACCAAGCAGGCTCCACTGCAGCCAAAGCCCCCGCTTCCACCCCTTGACGGGCTCCCTGATGCTGCCAGGAGCAGGGAGTAGGGCCGGAAGTGGCCCTGAGTCCCCTCTCTCTCCACCTCAGACACTGCTGTGTGCCTCACTGAGACCTGTCCTGAGGGACAGGGCTGGGGGTCCTGGGGTCAGGAGAGCGGGAACTGAGAGCTGCACCTCAAGGGGCAGCACTACAGGCCTGGACTCTGCCCAGCTCCTTCTCCTGGAGCCCCCCTCGGAATGGCAGCCTGCCACACTTGCCGATGCCCATCCCACTCCCCACACGCCTGGCTGGTGGAGGACATGAACCCTGCCTGGGTGGGCCCCAGCGTCTGTGCCCTGGGAGGCTGAGGCTGGACAGCCACCAGCCAGTCCATGGTGCTGCACTGGGCCAAGGAGCTAGGGTGGGGAGCAGAGGGGGCCGGGCTGCAGGGCAGGAGTTGCAGGGAGAGTCAGGGATGTGAGTGTCTCAATGGGCCAGGCTCCAGCACGTCCTCCCAGGCCTTGCTGCCTTCCAGCCCTCAGTGCCACCTCCTTTCCACTTAGCCTAGAGCCAGCACGTCCCCCAACCAGGCTCCTCAGTCACATCCAGGTGCTCTGGGACACAGCATGGGGGGCTGGGAGGACACCATGCTGCAGAGCCTGAGAGGCACAGGCTGAACCCTGGGATGGGTCCTGCAGGCGGCCGGAGAGCTGGGTTGGAAGGGATGGCCCAGCCATGAAGCGAACAGGAATGCCACAGACATGGAGATGCCCACCTTGAAGGCAGCTGTGGGACTCAGTGAGACCCAGCTGGCAAAGCTCCCTACATCTTCGTCCAGGCAGCCATGGGCTGAACGATGGTGGCTCCATGCCAAAGGGACAGGGAGGGAGGCCACAGCATAGGGCAACGCTAGGTCGAGGGGCAGACAGGGACAGGAATAGGAGGGCACAAGGGGTCTACAAGCAGGTCCCCTGGTTTGGCATGGACAAGGGAAGCCGATTGCAGGGGCAGGGCTGTGGCGAGGGCCAGATCAGGTCATCGAGTGCCTGATAACAAGTCAGTGCCTCTGAGGGGACGTCAGGAGGATGGAGCAGGGTCAACGGATTACTCAACACTGCAGCAAAGAAACTCCATTCACGGAATAAGATGATAATTCAACAGACAGTCTGCTAGAAAGACATTGATTTTGTAGTCAAAAATCTTCGCACAAAGAAAACTCCAGGCCCAGATGGCTTCCCTGGTGAAGTCTGTCTCACATTTCAAGCAGAAATAATGCCCGTTCTACACAAGCTCTTCCAGAAACCCGAAGAGGTGGAGCACTCCCCAGCTCCTCCTGGACAGCCATGCTCCTGCACCAGAAAAAGGCATGACAAGAAGACGGCTGCCTGACAGTCCTCTCAGACAGATGCAAAATCCTACTGAAGTTCAGCAAATCAAAGCCAACAGTAAATTCAAAGGCTAATACCTCATGACCATGTACAGTTTGCCCCAGGACTGCAAGGCTGGCCGAACATCTGAACATCAATCATTGTGACTTATTACATTAATAGGCTAAACAGGAGAACCATGTGATTACGTCAAAGAATGCAGAAAAAGCATTTGAGAAAATCCAACATCTGTTCTTGATTAAAAAAAAAAAAAACCTCTTAGCAAATTAGGAATAGGAGAGAACTCCTTTTTTATTTGAGAAGATGAAGGTCATCTGTGAAAATCCTACAGCTCAAATCACACTTAACAGTAGATACTGAATGCTTGGGAATAAGGCAGAATCATCCTGTTTCATTGTTTTCATTCGACGTTATACTGGAGGTTCTGGCTGGTTAAAAAACACAAGAAAAAGGAATACATATAGGACGTACAATTGAAAACAAGCAAAACTGCTTTTCTTCTCAGATGACAAGATCATCTATGTAGGAAAACTGATGAAATCTTTGAAAAAACCATAACTAATAAAGTGAGTTTAGCAAGATCAATCTGGAAGATTAATCTTCTAGAAGATCAGCCGGGTATGGTGGCTCAAGCCTGTAATCCCAGCACTTTGGGAGGCCGAGGCAGGTGGATCACGAGGTCAGGAGATCGAGACCATCCTGGCTAACACGGTGAAACCCCGTCTCTACTAAAAATACAAAAAATTAGCTGGGCGTAGTGGCAGGCACCTGTAGTCCCAGCTACTCGGGAGGCTGAGGCAGGAGAATGGCGTGAACCCAGGAGGCAGAGCTTGCAGTGAGCCGAGATCACACCACTGCACTCCAGCCTGGGTGACAGAGCAAGACTCCATCTCAAAAAAAAAAAAAAAAAAATCTTCTAGAAGATCTACAAAAATCAGTTATAGCTATATTACCAATGAACAATTACAAATTAAAATTATAAAACAAACCAATTGACAATGGCATCACAAAATATAGAATACTTGAGGATTCATCTGACAAAAGATGTGCAAGACCTGTACAGTTAAAAACCATAAAACTTTGCTGAGATAAATTAAAGGCCTAAATAAATAAAGAGATATACTATGTTTATGAACCAGAACTATTATTAAGATGCTAATTCTTTCCAAATTACTACATAGATTCTACATAATCCCAATCAAAATCCCAGCAGGCTTTTTTTTTTTTTTTGGTAAAAGTTGACAACCCTAAAATTCACATGGAAACAGAAAGGAGACAGAATAGCCAAAACAACCTTCAAAAGAAGATAAAGCTGGGCACTTGCACTTCCAACTAAGGCTTATTATAAAGCTACCATATTTAGGACAGTGTGGCATTGGTGTCAATACAGGCAAATAGATTAATAGAACAGACTGGAGAGTTCAGATGTAAACCCACCCCATGTGGTCAGCTGAAGATAAAAATGCAAAGGCAATTCAGTGGAGAAGGAATAGTCTTTCCCAACAAATAATTCTGGAATAATTGACTTTCCTTATGCAAAACAAAAATTGATCCATGCCTCACACCATATACATGAGTTACTTCAAATGGAATACTGTATAGATCTAAATGTAAAACCTAAAAGCATAAGACTTCCAGAAGAAAACATAGAAAAAAATTTTTGTGACTGTGGGCTATGAAAATAATTCTTAGATATGGCACCAAAATCACAATTCATAAAATAAAAAATTGATAAATTGTACTTCATCAAAATTAAAAAGTTTTGCTCTTCAAAAGATACTGTTAGAATGAAAAGACAAGACAAGATTGGGAGAAAATATTTGAAAATCACATAACAGAATTATATCCAGAATATATAAAGAACTATCAGTACTCAATATGGATAAACAACCCAAGTGAAAGAAACAGCAAAAGATGTCAACAGACGCTTCACCAAACAACCAATGACAAATAGCACATGAAGCGACGCTTGAGTCGATGAGGTGGTGTGCCTGTAGTTCCAGCTAATTGGGAGGCTGAAGTGAAGTAGGAGGATTGCTTGAGCCCAGGAGTTCAAGGCCAGCCTGGGCAACATAGCGAGACCCTGTCTCTAAAAAATTACTTAAAAAAAAAAAGATTTTCAACATTATTATTCCTCAGAGAAATGCAAATTAAAACTACAACGAGGTACCACTTCACACCTATCAGAATGGCTAAAAAGCCCACCATACCAAGTGTTGACAAGGACACAGAGGAACTGAACTCTCATATGCTGTTGTTTATCATATGCCAATCATATTTCAATAAAGCCATTTACAACATTTTTTTGTTTTCGTTTTTTGAGATGGAGTGTCACTCTGTTGCCCAGGCTGGAGTGCAGTGACGCAATCTTGGCTCATGGCAACCTCTGTCTCCCAGGTTCAAGTGATTCTCCTGCCTCAGCCTCCCAAGTAGCTGGGATTGCAGGCACCTGCCATAATGCCCAGCTAAATTTTGTATTTTTTTTTTTTTTAGTAAAGACGGGGTTTTACCATGTTGGCCAGGCTGGTCTCAAACTCCTGACCTCAAGTGATCTGCCTGCCTCAGCCTCCCAAAGTGCTGGGATTACAGGCATGAGCCACCATGCCCAGCATTTACAACAATTTTTAAACCACCAGACCACTTCACCGCCATGCTCACGTTACCGCCTCTGATGCCGTTCCTTCTCTCAGAAAAGTCTTTCCTGCCCACCCTGCCCACAAAGCTCTCTGAGATTTCCTGCTCCCCACCCCCGACCTCCTTCTGCCCTGCTCCCTGTCCCCTCTGCTCCTTCCCAGCACCTCGGCCCTCACAGGTCCTGCCACCTGGGCACCTTTCCTCCAGCCCCTTCCCTTCATTCAGGCCTCAGCAAATGTCAGCGCCTGCAGGAGGCCTCCCCAGATTGCTCTCACAAAAGGAGCTGCCTCACTGGCACCCTTCACCTCATGAAACAATTCTAATTTCTTTCCAGCACTGGCCAGAGGACCAGGTAGGGGGCGTGAGGGAGAGAGGATGGTGAGGGGCTCCTTCCATGTAGCCGCAGCTGCTTGCAGGTGGTGCCCTTGAGTGGATGGTGATGGTGGGGAAGGATCAGGGTGGCAGATGTCGCAAGAGGTGCGGGGTGCGGTCCAGAGGCTAGGGGAGAAGCTGTGGTCACCAGGGAACAGAGGGCCTGTAAGGATGGGCCCTGGGTGGGGTCATGAGGACATGTGGGGGACCTGCGGTAATGACCATCCCCTCAGCCAGGCCTCCCCGAGAGCACAGCCAGGCTGGGGCCTTCTCTCCAGCTCTAGGCCAGCTGTGAATTGGGAGGAGGCCCATCTGCAAGAAGGGTGGCACCTCCTCCCAGGACTTTGCTGGCCTGCGTGCCTACTGCATCCAGGCCACCACTCAGGGCCTTGCAGGGCGATCACTGTCCCTTGTGGGGTTCTGGTGACACAGGCATCACCGAGCTTGCTAAGGTTTCATGCCTGGGGCCAGCGAGAGCAAGAACCCAGCCCTGCCCTCTCACCTGGGCCTGTGCACGGCGGACCAGCCCTGGTCTTATCCCCGACTCACCGTGTCAGCCCAGGAGGCCCCGTCACTTATAAACGATTGGCTTAATGACAGTCATTACACCTAATCTGTTTTTCAAGAGTCTAATTAATTCCAAGTCCTCCTCTATTTTTAAACCCCTCAATCATTCTTGTTTTTCCTGCCAGGGGCATGAAGTGGGTGGAAGGTCTCGGTGTTCCCTGCAGGACCTCGGGACACCTGCTTTAGGGACCAATGGCTGCAGCAGCCTAGCAAGCACCTGCCACCGGGCCCCAGACAGTCTGGGGGAAATGGCAGCCGTGTGAGCCTCCCAGTGAGGGGGAGGGGAGGCCCGCGGGGCGGCACCTGCTGCTCAAGGTCACAGGCACTGGAGCAAGGCCGGGCTGCCTCAGTCCCAGACCTGTCACTCCGTCCCCTTGTCCTGCAGTGGGTCCACTGGGGAGCCCCCGGATCCGGAGAGCCCCCACAGCCCAGCAGCTCAGCCTTCTACCTGGAGGCTGCCTGTGTCCTCTGAGCCCCCAGAAGAGCTCCACACTAGGGCCGGGCCACTGAAGGCTCTGTCAGCCCTGACTGCGCTGCAGGGAGGGAAGCGTGGGCTTCCGGGCCACCGAGGCCACAGCACCGCATGGCCCTTGGTTGAGGCCCCACCCAGGGAAGGGGCTGAACACCTGTCTGCTGGTGGGAAAGCCGAATGGTGGATGTGGGAACGAAGCACATCAGAAGTGCCAGCCCAGCAGCAGGTGACTCCCCACGCAGCGGCGCCTTCACTGATGTGCCAGCTACAACCTGCCCTCCTCTGGGCTGCGCACCGGGAGCCAGGCTGGGGGCCACAGGACCCTCTGTGTCATGGCCTGGAGGGGCCCAGGAGGATTTGCAGCAGCGACCTCACCATGGGGCAGAGGGTCAGCAGGCCCGGGAGAGCTGCAGCCACCTCGGGATAGACCGGCTGCAGGCTCTCCTCCGTGACACCTCTGAGCCCTGTCCTCACACTGGCAGAGGGCAGAGGAGCTTGGTGGAATGACCCCAGGCCACACGGAGGAGTCGCCAGGTGGGGCGCGGTGGGTGGATGTTCAAGCTGGAGGCCAGGACCCACTGTCCGGGAGCGAGGTCATGAAGCGCCACTGCAATGCCTGATGCCACCCGGGATAGCTGTCACCGCCAGAAGAGCGGGGGACAGAGATGTGAATCCAGGAAACAATGAAATCCAGAGGCAAAGCCAAGACTGATCATGGCAAAGATGGCCAGGAACAGCTGCAAGCGCAATCTGGGAGCAAGGTGAGCAGTGACAGTGGGGTGACACGGTGATATAGCGACATGGTTGGCTGTGCTGGGAGGAACGGCAGAGGACGAGCAGTGACAGTGGGATGACACAGTGACACAGTGACACGGCGGGCTGTGCTGGGAGGAACGGCAGAAGACGAGTGGTGACAGTGGGGTGACACGGTGACACAGTGACACGGCGGGCTGTGCTGGGAGGAACGGCAGAGGACGAGCGGTGACAGTGGGGTGACACAGTGACACAGCAGGCTGTGCTGGGAGGAACAGCAGAGGACGAGCAGTGACAGTGGGGTGACACGGTGACACAGTGACACGGCAGGCTGTGCTGGGACGAACAGCAGAGGACGAGCAGTGACAGTGGGGTGACATGGTGACACAGTGACACGGCAGGCTGTGCTGTGAGGAACGGCAGAGGACGAGTGGTGACAGTGGGGTGACACGGTGACACAGTGACACGGCGGGCTGTGCTGGGAGGAATGGCAGAGGACGAGCGGTGACAGTGGGGTGACACAGTGACACGGCAGGCTGTGCTGGGAGGAACAGCAGAGGATGAGCGGTGACAGTGGGGTGACACGGTGACACAGTGACACAGCGGGCTGTGCTGGGAGGAACGGCAGAGGATGAGTGGTGATGCGTGAGGAGTGCATCCTGCCATGTAGCTGGGGCCTGCTGTTGGTCCGTTTTGCATATGACAAAACTGAGGCTCAGGCTGAGCAGTCGGTTCACCAGGCACTGCCTTTCCCCTCACATCTGCGTATGGAGCAGGGCACTCCCCACCATGACTCCAGCGATTCCTCTAAAAGGGATATCCCTCAGTGTCTGTCATCTGTCTGCCACTGCCAAGTTCCGGAAGGAAGGCGCACACAGGCGGGGCATGTGCCACAGGGTTGGGGCAGAGGCTTGGCCACTGTCTGTCCTGAGAAGCCTGTGAGACTCCTACCATTCTACCTAGAGCAACGGCCAGAGAGGATGCTGAGCACGGTGGACAAGTGGCAGGGAAGGGAGGACTCAAGTACAGTCACAGAGGCGCCCGACTGCACGACGGAGCAGGCCTGGCCTTGCCCCCGTGGGACGGACAGTGACAGGCTCTGAGACCTCCCTAAGCCAGCGCCCGGGCAGCCTTGACCGTGTGTCAGGACGGCCACAGCCTCCGTCAGTCCCACTCTGATGCACAGAGGCCCTTGCGCTGGTTCCAGCCTCCTCCCGACTAGTCATCGGGGCTGCAGGATTGATGGCAAAAAACAAAACCCAGGCCACCAGAGATGAGAAGAACATTCCCCGGCCCCACCACAGAGGAGCAGCGCGCCTCGCACCACACGCGATCAACCAGAAAGGCAGAGGAACAGACTTGTTTCTAGAATTTCTATAAACTTAATTACACAAGATAAAATTGAGGACATCTGCAAATCAAAAGACATTCAAAAACAAAGTCAAAGGGCAAGAACAACTTGGAGAAAGCCACCAACAGACCAGACGGAACATTTTCAAGTCCAAAAAGCGTGACATCCCAGCTGAAAAACAGCAGAAAACACAGTCACTTCCCAGAACGAAAAACGCAGGCGCTAACAGAACAACTGCCCAGGTTGGCAGTGATCAGAGGGGGCAAACCTCAGGAACAGCGAAGGGTACTCCGTTTTTCCCCCTCAAGTTGGAGTTGGAAGTGTTGGCGAGGGATGGCACTGCTGGGGGTAATCAGCTCTTTCTGGAAAGCAGTTTGACAGTGAGTGGCAGAGCTTTAAAAGGCTTCATACCTTTGCTGTGGTGATTCTACTTCTAAGGACCAATTCTAAAGAAATAATCCAAGGCTGGGCACAGCGGCCCACACCTGTAATCTCAGCACCTTGGGAGGCTAACACAGGAGGACAGCTTGAGCCCAGACAGGGAGCTGTGTTTGTGCCACTGCACTCCAGCCTGGGCAACCAAGGGAGACCCTGTGGTTAAAAAGAGAAAAGAGAAGGAAGGGAAGGGAAGGGAGGGGAGGGAGGGAGGAAGGAAAGAAAAGGAAGAAAGAAAAAGAAAAGAGAATCCAAGAGGCAGACAAAAAACCATAGAGGAAACTATAAAACCATGTTCAGTGGAAAAAAAAATAAAACTGTTCATAAGATTTGGGGTGATATTTATTTCCTTATTTGTTTTGTTTTTTAAAAAGATAGGGTCTTACTCTGTCACCCAGGCTGCAGTACAGTGGTACAGTCATAGGTCACTGCAGTCTCCACCTTCTGGGCTCAAGTGATTCTCCTGCTTCAGCCTCCAAAGTAGCTGGGACTACAGGCCCACGCCACTGCACCTGGCTAATTTACTTTTACTTTTCATGAGATGGGGTCTTGCTATGTTGTCCAGGCTGGCCTTGAACTCCTGGCCTCAAGCAATACGCCTGCCTCAGCCCCCAAAGTGCTGGGAATACAAGCATAAGCCACCAGACCCAGACTTTCCTTCTTATGTTTTCCAAAGTTTCTACAATGAACAGGGACCACATCTATAATTAGCAAACAGGGAGTCAGTGTTACTTTTTGCAGAAGGCAAAGGCTGGAAATCCACTTCATGGTGTCCCTGGAAGGAACAGACAACCAGCCTGAGTGGACTTTCTGTCATCTAGACAAGTAACTTCCAAGGGTGACTTCGAGAGGACGGAAGGTTCTGGATCAAAGAGGTAAGGCTAGCTGAAGGGAAAATAAGCTTTTAAAAAATGTCAACTTCTCCAAAAGGATTCATTGACCACTGAGAAGGTCGGAAAGAAGCCAGTAAAATGAAAAGAGCTGAAGGGCGTAGGTTCCAGAACATTCACATCTGCAAGGCTGATTCACTGCTGTCTGTCGAGGACGATGTCCGGACTCCCAGGTGACAGCACCTGAGGAAACGCTCCAGAGAGGGGCTCCTCCTGGCTGGGACCCTCACGCCAGGACTCCAGTGGGCCATGTGCCAACCCACCTCCTGCGTGCATCCGTCCCCTGGCTGGTGGCTGGGAAGCCCTGTCCTTCCTCCTGGAGGCTGTCGTCTGCCTGGCCAGAAACACAGGCTCCAGGGGTCTCGGGGGAATCTCACAGGCTGGTCGGCCGCAGCTCCACACATTTCCTTCATTTGCAGTACACGGAGACGCGACTCGCACGTGAGACTGGAAGCCGTGAATCAAGGCCGTGCCCACTGTTCCCTCTGAACCGTCCACGCCACAACCACAGGGGCTGCAGGGGCGTCTGCCGGGCGAGCGGGTCTCACGGCCAAACAGGCCCGGGCTCTTCCAGATGCTCTCAGCTGAGGCAAATACCACCCTCTCCGTCTCAGTCTCTCCCACTGCAGAATGGGAGGCGTAACCAAACACAGCCACACCTGTGCACACGACCGGCCTCGCACAAACGTCACTTAACACCAGCCATGCTTCCTGACACGGGGCTGTTTGAATTTGGGTGAACTTTCTGTGTGTGTGAAGCTGGTCTCCTGTGTCTGTCTGTTTAAAAACCCCCACTGCGCTATCACCCCCGTATTGGTGTGAGGTGACACCTGGGAGGACAGGCTATGTCTCTTGTTCCTTGGTGGGTCTCCGGTGCTTGGCCCAGCCACCCCGGAACATGCTTGAGACACAGATGAGTGGGGGAATGAATGATGCTCCCACGGTGCACACCGCCTGTGCCTTGGATGGGACAGCTGCCATGTGCTGCCGCCCGCTGACCTGATTTCCAGCTACCTCCGGGCACAGTGCTGGGCCCAGGCACTGACCTAAATTGAACCGAACATGTACTGTCCTGATCACCCTGTGATGTGCTTGCTTTCTCGGATCCTCAGCACTGCCAGAAACGCTTCCCTGGAAGATGACACCACCACCTGGGCTCCTTCCCTTTCCTCAGCTGAGCCTCAGCGTCTGTGCTGAGCTGCATAAGGCCTGGGAAGCTGAGGCCGCGTTAAGAGGCTGTGTCCATCATGGGGCACAGAGCTCACGCCAGGAAGGTGGGAGGAGCTTCTGGAGGGGGTGGGCGTCCACTGGCTGTCACCTGGACAACCCCCCACCACCCCCAGCAGCAAAAGATGTGCAGGCCCCAAACCAAAAACTCTCCCACTTATCCTGTCAAAGAATTTCTGATGGTTTCATGTCAAACTCGGAGAAAAACGATCCATTGCCAGTGAACTGGGTCTGAGCCCCTGAGGAAAGCATCCAGTAGTGGGGAAAAGGTGCTCTGCCTCACACGGCCGTGAAGCTCATGCTGCATCTCAAAAACGGCCTCACCCAAAAGAAAGAGGAGAGGCTGTTCGCGCGAGGCTGTTCATCGTGGCACGTCTGTGACAGGAAAAGCCTGGAAACAAGCCCAAGCCAGCACTTGGGCCCGAGTGCACGCCAGGCCAGCCTCGCATGAGGCCCTGCCCCGCAGTGAAGGGAAGCAGGACATCTCTAGCAAGCACTGGAGCGGCTCGGGCAGAAGGCCAGGAGAGCGAGGTGGGGGCGAGTGCTTGTAGCAGGAGGCCCTTCACCAAATACGGGGATGGGGGATACGCGGGTGTGTATCTGAACATCCACTCATGTGCCTTTGCTTACATTTTTGAAAATTGAAGAATATACTATAAAACATTCTTCAACTGTTCCCTTTGGGGGCAGGGGAGAAAAAGGTTCCTTCAGACAGACTTCTCTGGGTCTATCTTATTTATAGATTTGACTGGGAACCACACAAATATAAAGTTGAATCAGCTGTCAATGGCAAGTTCTACACACATAATGCTGAATGAGACCAATGAACCTGCTGTGAGGAAATGGTGTCCAGTGGCCTTAGAGACATCAGCTGACTGCTGACGAGTGGGGCATGCCCTAAGGACAAAACAAAGACAATGACCAGTGTAAGGAAGGACTTGGGAAACTGGAACCCACATCCACAGCTGCCTGGATGCCAACTGCAGCCACGTTAGAAAGTAGTCTGGCAGCTCCTCAAAATGCCACACACAGAGTGACCACATGATCCGCAATTCCGCTCACAGGGATCCACCCAGATGAGCTGAAGACCTGTGTCCACACAAAAACTTGGACGAAAATTTTCATCACATCCATAACCTAGAAACAACACATCCACCATCCACTGGTGAGTGAAGAAATGAAAGACGGTCTCCCCATGCAGTGAGCGTGATTCAGTCATAAAAAGGAACGGCGTGTTGCCGTGTGCCTCTACATGGTGGCCCTTACAGACGTTACGTCTGGTGGACGAAGCCGGACCCTGGAGGTCACACACCACAGATGTTTCTCGACTTAACCCATCGTATCCTAAGTCAGAAATGCATCTGACCCTCCTAGCCTTCAAAACGCGGAGGACGGTTCCTGCCGCGCCCTCGTTAAGCCGAGCCATCGTAAGTCTGGAACCACCTGTACGTGAATGTGTTAACAGGAAATGTCCAGAAGAGGCGAACCCATCGATGGAAAGTGACTGAGGCTCCCAGGGCCTGATGGGGAGTGGGGAGGGACACCGGGAACCAGGCCCAGCCCACCCAGCCCGCAGCACAGGAAAGAGCTGCAGGGAGGCCCTGAGTCCTGAGTGGGCAGCGGAAAGGAAGAACGGCCTGACCGTCACGGGACCCTGGTCACTCCCACTCCTCCAGCGAGCTCACGACCTGGGAGGACCGAGCACGGGAAGAAGGAGGCGTCTGCCCGCCACCAAGAACCCCCTTCCCCAGTGTGAGGACCCTCTCCTGGGCCTGCCTGCCATCCTTCAACGCAGCCCCTCACTCCTGCATCTGTGCCCCCCACCTTCATCCCCATCTGCTGCCCGGCTCCCACGGCTCCTGGTGGGGGCTTTTCTGGTCTCCAGTTGAACCTCGTCCCCTCCCTGTCCTCCGTCTCTCTTCCAGTTAGCGAGGCCTATAGACACGGCCACAGCCAGAGTGGGAGCCCTGTAGGGCAGGGTCCTGGCCAGGGGGTCAATGGCCCTGACAACGCAGCCATGAGTGACCCTGGGCTGGGCCCAGCCCCTGCCTTTCCCTCCCTGTCTCCAGAGTGGGGGATGGGAGCCCATGAGAAGAGATAGGAGACCTCCCCATCTCCCCCCAGTGCAGGGCAAGGAGGAGAGAGTCCTGGGAGGGGCAGAGGCCCTGGGAACACCCCTGGGAATTTGCCCATGGGTGGTCTCAGCACCCCTCATGGCCCCAGTCTCCGCGCCCACGGCCACGGGTCTGCGTCTCGTTTCAGCCCGGTGTGAGCCAGGCAGCCACAGTGGTCAGCAAAGAGAAGTGGGCAGTGCGCTCGGATGCGGCTCAGGGCAAGGGGCCCGGCGCTGGCACAGCCCGCTCCCACTGCCCCGCACAGGCACGCGGCTCACACCAGGGGCGGGATGGGCCGGGGCTGCGGCAGGTGAGCTGAGGGCTTGGCACTGCGCCCATGTCACCTGACAGGCACCCGGAACATCAGAAACAGGGAAGCGGGCCCGCTGGCGCACATTTTCTGGTGCATGACGCCCCACAGGGCAGGTGCCTCTGCAGCCAGCTCCTGCCCCTGCCCCTCCTCACACACAGACCCCACACTCGGCCAGGGCCCAGCACCTGCCGGTGGCCAAGATGGCTCAGGTAGAAACACTGCAATGCTTGGAGAATGCGCCAGCACCTGCCCCCCAGTGCAGAGAGGACAAACCCAGTCTCTGGGCCAGACTGGCTCTTACCTGGAGCCCGACAGGGCCTGAGGCGCCTCGTGAGCCGAGGGGCTCCCAGCATGCAGCTCTCTGGCCTCTGGCTCCTGCTGACCTGCAACCCCAGCCTCTCCTTGCAGCCCACTCGCTGTGTCCACCTGGGAACCTGAGGTGTGAGGCAGGCACTTGTCGGAAGTGGGGGCTTTGGGCTCCCGCCCGTTGGAGGCATCTTCTGAGGGTGGGGGCGCCTCCTCCTGTCTCTCAGGGGCCCTGTCGCTGGCCTTGGCTAAGCCGGCAGCGTACGAGGCACCAATGACGCCTCCCGGGCTGCACTTCTCCCGCAGACGCTCCACCACGTCCTCCCTGCTGTCCCCGCAGCTCCCACAGCACACGCAGGAATGCAGAAGGCAGTTGGTGGCCCCAGTGCTAAGCTTGTGGGGGCCGCCATCCATCCCCTCGGCCACGGGCTCCGAGGCGGCCTCCTGGGTGGCGACCGCAGAGTCCAGGGAAGTGGGCGATTTGGGGTTGAAGATGACCGTGGCTGAGAGCTTCATGCCCCCTGTCCGGTGGGCGATCATCTCAGCCGTCTCTGCGTCATCCGCACCCACCTCCCAGCCGTCCAGGTGCAGCCGCGAGTCCAGGCAGCTGCAGGAGCTGGTGCCCGCGAGGCTGGCCCCATCTGTGCCCTCGGCCTCGAGATTGTTGTTGCTCAAGTCCTCCTCCTTTTCCGAGGCGGGCAAGCTGATCCCCGCCGCTCCGCCTGGCCCACCCTGCCCTTTCTCCTGGGGGTCGGCCCAGGTACTGCCTGCCCACCCAAATGGGCCAGCTGGGGACTCGGGCCTGGCCAGGGCTTCTGCCGTCCCCTCCACGTCATCCATGAAGAACACGCGCTCCTCCTCGTCACTGCCTGACCGCAGGCGCGGTCTACCTGGAGAGGCCTCCCCGCCTGGGCTGCCCTCCGCTCCTGGCCTGTGAGCTGGGGACTGGCAGGCAATGGGCGGTGAAAGCAAAGAGGACATCTCGTCCCCCGCCCTGTGGACCATGCGGCTGAGCTGCTCCAGCTCCTGGTCGTCGTACTGCATGGAGCAGGCCAGCTCTGCATCCGGGTCTTTGGCCTTAGCTGAGAGTGGCCCCTCAGGGGGGAGAGGGGCAGAGAGGGCAGGCGCCAGGGCAGCGGGTCCCTGCACGTCTGCGCGGATGGGGAACTCCACGTCTTGGGAAATGCAGAGGTTCCGTTCCAGCGTGTGCAGCTCCTCCTCCGTCAGCGTCTGCAGCAAATCCCTACGAATCAAGACAAAACCCAAGGGTGAGGGTCCCAAAAGCCACACCAGCCTCCTTGGCCAGGAGTGGACGCAGCACCCTGGAGTCTGCACCAGCAGAACAACAGCCAGGCACTGAATGCTTGCAACTGAATTCTCAAGGCACCAGCACGTCTCCTCCACCACGGAACAAGGCTCCGGTCTCGCCGGCCAGGACAACGGTGTTCAAGGTGGCCGGCTGGGATTCTAGTACAGTTTCTTTTTTAAAACAAGATTCTGGAAACTTTTGCTGAAAAGAAGAAAGCCCTAATTGTTAGGCATGTGTTAGCTGCATGAATAAAAACTCTAAGGAGTGAAAAAATACATGCTGGTTTACACATAAACCTTCATCCTTTCATTCCACAAATACCATTGGGCACTGGCTATGCAGCAGGAGCTGGGTACCAGGACACGAGGAAGAAGGCAGGCATGCTCCTGCCCTTGTGGACTTAGCCTGCAGTTGGGTGAGGCAGATGATAAACAAGCATTTATACAAACAATGACTGAACTACAATAATGACAGCTGCAACCAAAGACAATGCAAGCCATGAAGGAGGGTGCAGCAGGGCACCTGGCTGAGGCCGGGAAGGCTTCCTGGAGGAAGAAGCATTGAGGCCGAGACCCAAAGGTGCAGTTAATTCAGTGATGCTGAGCAGGAAGCTCCTGGAGCAGGCTCCTACAGGCCGACTGTGGGCTGCTCTCTGCTGCGAGAAGCTCCGGGTGTGTCTGTGGTCTGAGTCCCACATGGGACATTCCAGCACAGCCATGGCTATTGTGAGGAAGTGCGCTTTGCAGAGCTGGGCAGAACTTTCATAAGCTGAATCCACCCATGTGAATAGCACCCAGATTTAGAAGTGAAACCCCAACCAGGCCCCCGGCACCCTGGCTCTCGCATGACACCATCCTGACTCCATAGGCCGAGGCACGCACCTGCTCTGCTTCTCTGAGGAAATGGGAATTCTCAGTCTACACTCTCTTGTGGCAGGATTTGTTTGCTGATGTTATATTTGTGTAGAATCTCCAGATAAAATATAGGACACCCAGTTAAATTTCAATTTCAGATAAACAACAAATAAGTACTTTTAAAATGTCATTAGAAATAGTTGTAAGTGTACTCCAAATGCTGCCCATTTGGGACATGCACTAAAAAGAGTTTTTTGTTTATCTGAAATTCTAACTGAACTGGGCTTTCTGCTGTTGTATTACTAGATCTGGCAACGCTATTTCGTAAGATTCACCCATCATAAAGCACGTTGCCATAGGTCATTCATTCTTGTGGCTGCACCGTCTTCCATGGGGTAAATATACGTAGTTCCTTTATCTGTTACACCCGACAGGTTTTGGCTGCTGTGACCCAGCATCTTCGTGTATCTCTCTTGAAGAACATACGAGGGCATTTCTGCTGAATGCACACATGGGGTGGGACTGCTGAGCCTGACAGAGGGGAGCAGCCGGGATCCAGGCACACCTGCCCACAGCTTGGCTGACAGCATGGCTTGCCCCAGGCCCTCGAGAGCACTACTGTCTTTAACTGAATCCTTCCTGGTGAGTGAGTAATAGTATCTTATCTTATTATGGCTTTCCATTGTTTTAGCCTGATGACCAATGAAGTCGGTCACAGTTTACTTATCAGCCCTTAGATTTTCTCTATGTAAAGTTCCTGTTCAAGCTTTTTGCCCATTACTAATTGGGTTGTCTGCCTTTTTCTTATTGATTGAGTTCTTTATATATTTTGGATTTGAGTTCTTTATTAGATATATTCTCCAACTCTTTGGCTTGCCTTTTCATTCTCTTAATGGTGCTTTTGAGGAAGTTTTAAATTTTAATAAAGTCCAATTATAACATTTTTTCTTTATGATTAGTGCTTTGTGTCCTGTTTAAGAAATCTCTTCCCACTCTGTGGTCACAAAGATGTTCTCCTTGATATTTTCCTCTAAAAGCTTTTTATTATTTTTTAAGTCATGGTCTTGCTCTGTGGCCCAAATCTGGGATGATCATGGCCCACTGGAGACTCAAACTCCTCAGCTCAAATTATTCTTCTGCCTCAGCCTCCTGAGCAGCTGGTACTACAGGTGCAGACCACCGTATCTGGCTAATTATTTTTAATTAAAAAAATTTTTTTTAGAGACAGGGTCTCACTATGTTGCCCAGGCTGGTCTTGAACTCCTGGCCTCAAGTGATCCTCCCGCCTTGGCCTCCCAAAGTGCTGGGATTACGGCATGAGCCACCATGCCTGGATTTTATTGTTTTACTTTTTATATTTATATCTACACTCTGTCTGGAGTTGATTTTTGTGTACAGTAGTGGTAAGAACCCAGACACTAATAGATAACCATATGAGACATTTTTCCTCATGTGGTCTTCTATTGACTCAGCCCATTTATTGGAAAGAAAAACAACCATTCCCGCTGTTCTGTAATGTCACGTTGCCTTAAATCAGAGACCTATATATGCATTGGTCTGTTCTAGACTTTCTGTTCTATTGAATGGGTCTCAAGTCCATCCTTGTACCATATCTGTCAGGATTACTATAGCTTTACAATAGAAGATGTCTCCAATTTTCTTCTTCTTCTTCTTCTTCTAAGAAATGGGGTCTTGTTCTGTCACCCAGGCTGGAGTTCAGTGATGTAAACACAGCTCACCGTAGCCTCGACCTCCTGGGCTCAAGAGCTCCTCCCACCTCAGCCTCCCAAAGTGTTGGGATTATAGGCATAAGCCACTGTGCCTGGCCTTTGTTCTTTTTTTATGAAGTACACACAGCAGAAAAGCATACATATGTTCACCTGGAGACACACACAGGGGTAGTCACAGCAGCACTATTTGTGGAAACTACCCAAAGCCCATTGAGAGTAGAACAGACAACGTTCTGCTGCTGCTTGGCTATTCCAGGCCCCTTGCATCTCCACATGCATTTTAGTATTAGTTTATCAATTTCTACAAGGAAGGAAGGAAGGGAGGGAGGGAGGGAGGGGAGGGGAGGGGGAGGAGAGAATGCAGAAAGAAAGAGAAAGGAAAGAAGGAAAGCAAGAAAGGAAGGAAGGAGAGACAGAGAGAGAGAAAGAAAGAAAGAAGACAGAAAGAAAGAAAGAAAGAAAGAAAGAAAGAAAGAAAGAAAGAAAGAAAGAGAAAGAAAGAAAAGAAAAGAAAAGAAAAAAGAAAAGAAAAGAAAGAAAAAAGAAAAGAAAGGAAGGAAGGAAAGAAAAGAGAGAAAGAGGGAGGGAGGAAGGAAGGAAGCTAGCTAGCTTCTGGGATTTTGATTGAGACTGCATTGAACTCATAGATTAATTTGAGACCAACTGATATCTTCATAACATCAGGGGTTCCTCTCTCTGAATGGAATTGCTGTCCAGGGCTTTAAAAATTTATGGTAATAACATTTTATAACTTTCAATGGAGGTCTTGGACATCGTTAATTTGATTTATGCTTACGTATTTGATATTTACTGGCACTACCATAGGTGGTATTTGCTATGGTTTAGGGGTGGTTTGTCCCCATCAAAACTCAGGTTGAAATTTAGTTCCCAATGTGGTGGTGTTTAGAGGTGGTGTCTTTAAGAGGTGATTAGGTCATTAAGGAGATTAATGCATTTCTCATGAGACCAAATTAGTTACCACAAGAGTGGGTTGTCATGAAGTGAGGTTGCCTCTTGTGTTTGGCCTCTTTGCACACGCCCCCTTCCCCTCCTGCTTCTCTGCCACGTTATGACAGAGCACGAGGTCCGCACAAGAAATTAACCAGATGCAGCCACTTGATCTTGGACCTCCCAACCTCCAGAATCATGAGCTAAACGAACCTCCTTGCTTTATAAATTACTGAGTCTTAGGTATTCTGTGATAGCAACACAAAATTGACTAAGACAGTATTTTGATTTCATTTCGCATTTATTTATTGCTGGCATACAGAAAGACCACTTATTTTTGTATATTGATGTTTCACCTAGTGACCTTGCTAAATCTACTTATTATTTCTAATAGTTTGAAGATGCTCCTGAGTTTCCTAGGTACTTGATCACGTTATCTACATAAAATGGCAGTTTTAGTCCTTCATTTCCAATGCTGTGTAACTTCCTAATTTTCCTTCTATTTTTGCCTTATTGCACTTGCTGGGCCAGAAAACAATGTTAAATGGAGATAGTGAATAGTAGACATCTTCTTCCCAATCTCAGGGAAGTGTGCTGCAGTACACACACAACAGACAACACACACACAGAGATACGCACGGACGAAATCTGTTTCTATATCTATCTGTGACCAGGTTAAGGAAATTCCCTCCTATTCCTAGTTTGCTAAGAGATGCTTTTCTTGTTCTGTTTTGTTTATTGCTAAGAGATGTTTTCACCATAAAATTGGTGTGAAATTTTTTCAAATGCTTTTCTTGAATCTTTCAAAATTATATGATTTTTCTTCCAATTTTTAAAATTAATGTGGCAAAACATCAATTTGATTTCCATATGTTAAGCCAGTCTTGCATATCTGGAATACATTTCTTTTTTTTTTAATTTTGAGATAATGTCTTGCGCTGTCACCCAGGCTGGAGTGCAGTGGCCTGATCACAGCTCACTGCAGCCTCTGCCTCCCTGGCTCAAGCAGTCATCCCATCTCAGCCTCCCAAGTAGCTGTCAGTACAGATGTGTACCACCATGCTCAACTAATTTGTAAATTTTTTGTAGAGATCAGGTCTTACTATATTGCCCAGGTTGGTCCCAAACTCCTGGGCTCAAGCGATCCTCCTGCCTCAGCCTTCCAAAGTCCTGGGATTACAAGTGTGAGCCACTGTGCCCAGATATATTTCTCTTGGTCATGATATATCTTATTTATATATGGTTGATTTTCATTTGTCTGTATCTTTTTAAGGGTATTTGCATCTATGTTCATGAGAGATTGGTGTAGTTTTTGTTTCTTGTAATATCTTGGTCAGGTTTAAATGTCTAGATTATACTCTTATTGAAAAACAAAAAAAAGAGTTAGGGCTGGGTATGGTGGCTCATGCCTGTAATCACAGCATTTTGGGAGGCCAAGGCAGTCAGATTGCTTGAGCCCAGGAGTTTGAGACCAGCTGGGGCAACACAGTAAAACCCTGTCTCTACAAAAAATACAAAAATTAGTTGGGCATGGTGGTGCATGCCTGTGGTCTCAGCTACTCAGGAGGCTGAGGTGGGAGGATCGCTTGAGCCTGGGAGGCAGAGATTGCAGTGAGTCTAGATTGTGCCACCACACTCCAGCCTGCATGACAAAGTGAGAGTTTGTTCAATAATTATAAAAAAAGTTAGAAAATGTCTTTTTTTCTATTCCCTGAAAGAATTTATATAAGATTTGTGTTATTTCTTCTTTAAATGTTTAGAAGAATACATAAGGAAAGCCATCTGTGTCTGATGTTTTCTCTGTGGGAAGGTTTTAAAATAATGAATTCAACTTCTTTAATAGATATTGGATTAAAAGGTTTTCTATTTCTTCTTCTGTTAGCTT
Source organism: Homo sapiens (assembly GCF_000001405.40). Lineage (NCBI taxonomy): Eukaryota > Metazoa > Chordata > Mammalia > Primates > Hominidae > Homo > Homo sapiens. Next base: position 2,311,020 of record NC_000004.12, read on the forward strand.
TGATTAATTGCTTTTTTGAGGAATTTGTCCAATGCAAATTGTCAAATTTAGTGATATAAAGTTGTTTATAATATCCTCATATCATTTTAATATCTGTAAGGTCTGTGGTGATGTCTCCTTTCCATCTATATTATTAGTAATTTATGTTTTATCTTTTTTCTCTTGAACTAGTCCAGCTTGGAATTTATCAATTTTATTAATCTTTTAAAATAACTAACTTTTGGGGCCTGGCATGATGGCTCACGCTTATAATCCCAGCACTTTGGGAGGCCAAGGTGGGCAGATCACAAGGTCAGGAGTTCGAGACCAGCCTGGCCAACACAGTGAAACCCTGTCTTTACTAAAAGTACAAAAAAATTAGCTGGGTGTGGTGGCAGGCATCTGTAATTCCAGCTACTTGGGAGGCTGAGGCAGAAGAATTGTTTAAACCTGGGAGGCAGAGGCTGCAGTGAGCCGAGATCGCACCACTGTACTCCAGCCTGGGTGACAGAGCTAGACTCTGCCTCAAACAAACAAAAAACCTAACTTTTGGGTTTGTCTTTCCCCTACTATACATTTGTTTTGCATTTCATTGACATCTGTTCTTATTTTTATTATTTCTTTTCTCCTGCTTTCTTGAGGTATGATAAACTTATTATTTCCTAGCTTCTTTAGACAAAATTTTATATAATTGAATTTCATCCTTTATTCTGTTCTAATTTATAGCATTTAGTGCTATAAATTTCCTTCAAAACACTGCTTAGGCCTCATCTTAATTTTCCTTTTTGTTTTTTTAGAAATGAGGTCTTACTCTGTTGCTCAGACTGGAATACAGTGACAGGATCATAGCTCACTGCACCCTCAAACTCCTGGGTTCAAGCAATCCTCCTACCTCAGCCTCCCAAGTAGCTGGGACTATAGGCGTGTGCCATGATGCCCAACTAAGTTTTTTATTGTTGTTTTAATATGTTAAAGAAAATTAAAGGGGGCAAATTAGATAAGAGGATGAAGAATTTAAACAGATAATTGGAATCAATACAAAAAGAAACAGCCAAGTGTGGTGGCTCACACCTGTAGTCCTAGCTACTCAGGAGGCTGAGGTGGGAGAATTGCCTCACTCAGGCTGGTCTCGAACTCCTGGGCTCAAGTGATCCTCCCACCTCAGCCTCCCAAAATGCTGAGATTACAGGAATGAGCCATTGGGCCTGGCCACATGGATATATCATATCTCTATTATCATGTAGTTAAAACTATTTTTAAATTTTGGCCAGGCACAGTGGCTCATGCCCAACAGTTTGGAAGGCCAAGGCAGGCAGATGGCTCGAGCACAGGAGTTCAAAACCAGCCTGGGCAACATAGTGTGATCCCATCTATATTACAAAAGAAAAAAAAAGAAAAATTTCCATTGACTTCTGCAATGAACAAGGAATTATTTAGAAGTGTTTTGGGGCCGGGCGCGGTGGCTCACGCCTGTAATCATAGCACTTTGGGAGGCCGAGGCAGGTGGATCACGAGGTCAGGAGATTGAGACCATCCCGGCTAACATGGTGAAACCCCGTCACTACTAAAAATACAAAAAATTAGCCGGGTGTGGTGGCGGGCGCCTGTAGTCCCAGCTACTCGGGAGGCTGAGGCAGGAGAATGGCATGAACCCAGGAGGCGGAGCTTGCAGTGAGCGAGATCGCGCCACTGCGCTCCAGCCTGGGCGACAGAGCGAGACTCTGCCTCAAAAAAAAAAAAAAAAAAAAAAAAAGAAGTGTTTTGGGCCAGGTACAGTGGCTCACACCTATAATCCCGGCACTTTGGGAGGCCAAGGCGGGCAGATCACTTGAGACCAGGAGTTCGAGACCAGCCTGGCCAACATGGTGAAACCCCGTTTCTACTAAAGATACAAAAATTAGCCAGGCATGGAGGCGCATGCCTATGGTTCTAGCTACTCAGGAGGCTGAGGCACGAGAATCGCTTGAACTCAGGAAGCGGAGGTTGCAGTGAGCCAAGATCATGCGAACTGCACTCCAGCCTGGGTGACAGAGTAAGACTCTGTCTCAAATAAATAAATAAATAGAAGTGTTTTGCCTAATTTATCATGTAATTGGGGATTTTTCCAGGTTTTTCCAGGTTTTTTTTTTTTTTTGATACCTGGCTCACTAAAGTCAGAGTACATATTATGAATACTTTCTGTCTTTGAGGTTCACTGTGGGTTTCTTTACGGTCTGTCATATAATCAATTCTGATAAATGGTCCACATGCTTTTTTTTTTAATTAATTAATTTATTTATTTAGATAGGGTCTGGCTGTGTGGTGCAGGCTGGAGTGCAGTGGGATGACCTTAGCTCATTGCAACTTCTGCCTCCTGGGCTCAAGCCATCCTCCTACCTCAGCCTCCCAAGTAGCTGGGACCACAGATATGTGCCACCACACCCATTTTTTTACATTTTTTGTAGAGACAGTGTTTCGTCATGTTGCCTGGGCTGGTCTCAAACTCCTGGGCTCAAACAATCCATCCACCTGGGCCTCCCAAAGTGCTGGGACTACAGGTATGAACCACTGCACTCAGCCTCCACATACTTTTAAGAAGAACATAAGGGTGGGCCCGGTGGCTCATGTGTGTAATCCCAGCACTTCGGGAGGCCGAGGTGAGTGGATCATTTGAGGTCAGGAGTTCAGGACCAGCCTGGCCAAAATGGTGAAACCCAGTCTGTACTGAAAATACAAAAATTAGCCAGGCAGTAGTGGCACGTGCCTGTAATCAGGAGAATTGCTTGAGCCTGGGTTGCAATTCAGAGGTTGCAATGAGCCGAGATCGCACCACTGCACTCCAGCCTGGGCGACAGAGTGAGACTCTGTCTCAAAAAAAAAAAAAAAAAAAGAACGTGAATTCTGGCAATTGTTGGATGTAACTTACACATGTAAGTCAGGTCAAGTTTATTAGTTTTGTTATTGAGATTTCTTACATTCTCAAGGGTTTTCCTGTTAGTTCCATCAGTTATAGAGAGGTAAATTAAAGTATCCTGCTGGTTTTGGATTTGTCTATTCCACCTTATATTTCTGTTATTTGCTTTACATAAGTTTTACAGCTATGTTATTCAGCCCATATATACAGATTTGGGATTGTGACATCTTCCTACTGAATTGCCTGTTTATCAGCATGAAATATTTCTCTTTATCTGTAGTAATCTTTCTTGCCTTAAAGTTTACTTTGATAAATATAACTACAACAACTTTCTTTGGGTGGTGTCTGCATGGTTTATGTTGTCTATTTACTCTCAACCTTGTTCACGTACTTGTGTCAGGACTGGGTCTCTCGTCAGCCAAGTACAGCTGTTGTTGCTGCTGTTTCAACCCAGACTGGTAATCTTGGTTTTACACTTAGAATATTTAGTCCATTTGTATTTAATGTAATCACTGATGTGGTTGGGTTTGTATCTTTCATCTTACTATTTTTTTCTATTTGGTCCATTTGTTGTATCTTCTCTTTCTCTGCTCTTACCTTATTTTGGATGTTTTTCCTTCTATGAATTTGCTAGTTATTCATCTTTATTATTTTAGTGTTATCCTAATATTGTAATAGTGATCCTTGACTGATCACATTCTAATATAAATAATTTATTCAATCACATTTCCAGTACAACTTTAAAATTCCATTTACCCCTTTCTGTCTTTTCTGCTACTTGTATATCATGAATTTTAGTACTATGTACAATTTAAACTCCACAGACACTATAATTATTTTGTACAGTTAATATTCACTTATGTTAACCCACATCATGTTCTTCAGTCTCTCTTGCATTACTTTTTTTAAGACAGGGCCTCACTGTCATCCAAGCTGGAGTGCAGTGGCACAATCATAGCTCACTGCAACCTCAAACTCCTGGGCTCAAATGATCCTCCCACCTTAGCCTCCTGAGTAAGATGGAACTACAGGCATGCCACCATGCCCAGCTAATTTTTCTTTTTTTTAACTAGAGAGCCTCACTATGTTGTCCAGGCTGGTCTCAAACTCCTGAGGTCAAGGAATCCTCCTGCCTTGGCCTCCCAAAGTGCTGGGATTACAGGCAGGAGCCACCGCACCTGGCCTCTCTAGCATTTCTACATTTCCATCTGATACAATTTTTTTTTCTGAAGAACTCCAATTAATTGTTTTATGTGCAGGTTGCTGATAACAAATTCCTTCAGTTCTATGTTTTGGAATAATTCATGAAGGCAAAATATCACCTTCATTTTTGAAGGATATTATTGCTGGTTATAAAATGCTGGTTGTCAGCTATTTTCCTTCAGCAGTTTTTTTTGTTTTGTTTTCTTTTTGAAACAGAGTCTCACTCTGTTGCCCAGGCTAGAAAGCGGTGGCGTGATCTCTGCTCACTGCAACTTCCGCCTCCCAGGTTCAAGTGATTCTCGTGTCTCAGCTGGGATTACAGGCGCCCGCCACCACGCCTGGCTGATTTTTGAATTTTTAGTAGAGACGAGGTTTCACCATGTCGGCCAGGCTGGTCTCCAACTCCTGGCTCAAGTGATCCTCCCGCTTCAGCCTCCCAAAGTGCTGGGATCACAGGCGGGAGCCACTGTGCCCAACCTCCTTCGGCAGTTTAAATATACGTTATTTCACTGCTTGTCAGCTTCCATTGTTTCTGTTCATTTGTTGAGAAGACAGCTATCCATCTTATGTTCGTTTCAAAGTAGTATGTCCTTTTTCTCTTGCTGCTTGTCAAATTTTTTGTCTTTGTTTTTGGCAATTTCACTATGATATACCCAGGTATGCTGGTTGGTTTTTTGTTTGTAGTTTTCTTGCTGAATCTGTGGCTAGAGATTTTTGTCTTTTGGAATTTGGGGAAATGTTTAGCCATGACTTCTTTGAATATTACTTCTGCCCCTTCTCTCTTTTCTCTCTTTCTGGGATTCCAATTATGTTTTTTAGGCCTTTTGAGTTTGTTACACGTGTCTCTTATGCTCTATTCTGGTTTTCTATTGTTGTTTCTTGTTGTTTTTCCCCTCTTTTTTCCTGCCCGAGCTTCAGTTTGGGTCTCTTCTATTAAGCTATCCTCAAGCTGACTACTTCTGTGTTCTGCTGGGTCCGATCTGCTATTAAACCCATCTACTGCGTCCTTATTGTCAAATTGTGAATTTTCTTAGCTTTAGAATGTCATTTTTTTCTTCCTTCCTTCCTTTCCTTTTTTTCCTTCCCCTTTCTTTCTTTCTTTAGAGATGGAGTCTTGCTATGTTGTCCTGGCTGGAGTGCAGTGGCTATCACACTGCACTGTAATGGTGCAATCCCACTACTGATCAGCATGGGAGTTTTGACCTACTCCATTTCTGACCTGGGCAGGTTCACCACTCCTTAAGCAACCTGGTGGTTCCCTGCTACAGGAGGTCACCATATTGATGCCAAAGTTTAGTGCAGACACCTGATCAGCATAGCACACTAGGATTTAGAACTCCTGGGCTCAAGTGACCCTCCGGCCTCAGCCTCCTGAGCAGCTGGGACTACAGGTGCATGCCACCACACTTGGTTGTGTCTCTCTGTATAGATTCCAATTCTCTGTTAAATTCTCTATCCTCTTATCTAATTTGCCCCCTTCTATTTTCTTTAACATGTTAATCAGCACTGTGTTCACATTCTTGGGAGTAGTTATCTGGATCATCAGAACTCTGCATCCACTTTCTGGCTCTTCTCTCAACTATCAGATATATTTTCTTGTCTCTCTTTTTTTTTTTGAGATGGAGTCTCGCTCTGTAGCCCAGGCTGGAGTGGAGTGGTGCAATCTCGGCTCACTGCAACCTCTGCCTCCCAGGTTTAGGCAATTCTCCTGCCTCAGCCTCCCAAATAGCTGGGACTACAGGTGCGCACCACCATGCCTGGCTGATTTTTTATATTTTTAGTAGAGATGGGGTTTCACTGTGTTAGCCAGGATGGTCTCGATCTCCTGACCTTGTGGTCCACCCACCTTGGCCTCCTAAAGTGCTGGGATTACAGTATTTTCTTGTTTCTTTAACTTTTTTTTTTTTTTTTTGAGACAGAGTCTCACTCTGTCACCCAGGCTGGAGTACAGTGGCACGATCTTGGTTCACTGCAACCTCCACCTCCTGGGTTCAAGCGATTCTCTGGTCTCAGCCTCCCAAGTAGCTGGGATTACAGGAATGCACCACCATGTCTGGCTAATTTTTGTATTCTTGTAGAGATGGGGTTTTGCCATGTTGGCTGGGCTGGTCTCAAACTCCTGACCTCAGGTGATCCGCCCACCTTGGCCTCCCAAAGTGCTGGGATTACAGGAGTGAGCCACTGTGCCCGGCCAACATTTTAAGCAATTTTGGATTATATGACAGACATTGGATATAAAAGAATCATAAAGGTTACAGATGACACCTTTTCCACCAGAGGGGACTACCCCTTTCTCTGTTAGGCTGACCGCATGAGGTCCATTGTTGCATTCCCTTCGGACACGGAGTAGGTTGAGGTTTGGCTGCGCTTAGGCCTGGTTACTGCAGTTCTGAGCCTGCTGCACTCTCTGCCTTCTCAAACCCCAAAGTCTGCAGGAGACCGAGTTCTGTCCTTCCAAGTTCCAGCTCAGCCTCCAGCCACATGCAACTTCAAAATCTGGCAAACGTCTCTAGCAGTGTGCTCACGGCATGCTTTTTGTTTGATTGTTTTTTTTTTGAGACAGAGTCTTGCTCTGTCGCCCAGGCTGGAATTTAGTGGCGCAATCTCAGCTCACTGCAAATTCCGCCTCCCAGATTCAAATGATTCTCCTGATTCAGCCTCCCAAATAGCTGGGATTACAGGCGTCCGCCACCACGCCCAGCTAATTTTTATATTTTTAGTAGAGACAGGGTTTCACCATGTTGGCCAGGCTGGTCTCAAACTCCTGACCTCAGGTGATCCATCCGCCTGGGCCTCCCAAGGTGCCTGGATTACAGGCATGAGCCACCGCGCCGGCCTCAAGGCATGCTTTTGTTCCTAAGCACCTGGAAACTGCAGGAAGCCTGTTGTCAGGGGGCTTTCTGCCTGGATTTCCTGCTTCCCCAGGACTGGCAGGCGTGCTGCTTGAATGCCCCCAAGCTGCCAGCCTGTTTCACCAGCCCTTGATTAGATGTTCTTTCCCCAGCAGAGCTTCTCTGCCTGGGAAGCCTGGGCCCTGGACAAGCCTGGAATCATCAAATCTTCCCTGGGGAAGAACAGCCAAGTAGACTGCAGCTCACCTCCAAAGGCTCCCTTCCCCAGGCTCTTAGTTCACCCAGTCCTTACTTCCACAGTTCAGGTACCTTTAAAAGCAGGATCTTTTGGCTGGTCGCAGTGGCTCACGCCTGTAATCCCAGCACTTTGGGAGGCCGAGGCGGGCGGATCACCTGAGGTCAGGAGTTCAAGACCAGCCTGACCAGCATGGTGAAACCCCGTCTCTACTAAAAATATAAAAATTAGCCGGGCATGGTGGCGTACACCCGTAATCCCAGCTACTCAGGAGGCTGAGGCAGGAGAATCTCTTGAACTTGGAGGCGGAGACTGCAGTGAGCTGAGATCACACCACTACACGTGGACAGTAACGGATAAGTCCTCAAACCCTGACGCTGGAGGAGATGCAGGCTCATCTGTGGATTCTCACTGTTTTCCCTGGGTGGGCGGGGGGCACAAGCAGCAGTTCCATCGGGGCGGCAGGGCCAGCCTGTGGGTGCACACCTGGGTCCCCGCTGCCTTACCCATGGGTGAGGTTCCCACATCAGGGCCCCTGGGTGGGCAGCAGAGGCACGTTCCACCCACACAGCTTTCTGCAAGGTGAGGTGACTCATACCTGTAATCCCAACCCTTTGGAAGACCGAGGCCGGAGGAAAGCTTAAGCCTAGGAGTTCAAGACCAGCCTGGGCCACATGGCGAGACCCCATCTTTACAAGAAAATTGTTTTTAATTAGCTGGGCATGGTGGTCCACCTGTAATCCTAGCATTAATCCCTCGACAGCATTCTGCCTCCAGCCCGTTCAGCTTCATCCTCCTCTCCATCACCCATGCAGGCCAAGGGCAGATATGCTCCCAGGACGTCCACTCCACTCCTGTGTGGCCGGTGCCCCCTTCCAGCCCCACACCGCCCAGGAGGCTCCTTCTCCAGCCACGGCCCGGCACCTGCGCCACCTTTCCTGTAAGACCCCCATATGTGGGGCAGGGGGTGCATGTGCCTTCCTGGTGTAGGTGGCATCTGTCTCCTCTCCTCACTGTGGTCTCCTCCACGTCACCCAAGGAAGGATGAGACTGCAACCTCCAGGTCCAGGGCTCACATCCCCCCAAGCAGGAGGAAAGCAGCGACAGCCATCTCCCAGATGAAACATGGACTGAACCAAGCACCCCTGCCCCTGAACCCACTGACGCCAAGGACCACCTGCCAAGGCCCCAAGAGCTCACAACCCCATCTGCAAGGGTGACGAGGACCCCATAGCCCACGGGGTCACTTTTCACTGTCTGGACTCACAGCACCTCTGGCCCTCATGGGGCAGAGTTCTAGGCTTCTGGGTCCCCGAAGGAAACCTGGTTGCAGTGATCAGGGGCCGTGGTAGGAAATACCAAGCTGTCCCAGGCCACAGAGCCAGGGTGGCACATGGAGGACATGTGCCATGGGCTTCACGTGGCCCCCGTCCCTCCAGGAAGCCACGGCTGGGCTCTGTCGGCTCAGGCCACCCAGCAAAGCCCTTGGCCCATATGAAGGAAAGGCGTCGTGTTTTAAAAGGGGGTCTCCCATGTGGACACAGACGTAAACCAGTAACTAAAGACAAAGGGCACAGGTGGAGCACCAAGACTCCAACAGAAGCAAGCGCTTTGGGGACGGTGGGGACGGTGGGGATGGTGGGGATGGTGGGGACGGTGGGGACGGTGGGGATGGTGGGGACAATGGGAATGGTGGGGACAGCAGGACACTTAGCTGTTGCTGTACCATGTCAGGAAGTGTGAGGTTCACTCCCCCAGCTCAGCCCAAGAGAGCGCCCACCCCATGCGATGCCCAGGCAGGGGCAAAAGCCAGGACTCTGTGACCCCCATGGGTCGTTTGTGACCCCTCCCTAGGGAATATTAACCAGCCCATCCTTCCTCACAGAGAGGAGGAGGACCTGGAGGCGGCGGCTAAACATGACTTCAGCGCCCACCTGTGGCCCTCCTGTCCCCCTCCCCTCCCCCACCTCCTCTAGCTCCATCCCCACCTTATTTTCCGCAGCAACGTGTGGAAGGGCCGGAACAGCTCGGACATGTCTTCCACCTTGCGGTCCAAGTTCAGAGGTCCGTCCGCATAGACCACGAGGCCACTGCATTTGAGACACAAAAGCCAGGATGTCAGGCCCTGTGGCCCCCTGGGTGCCGCGGACGGCCCAACTTAACCACCTGCGAAAACCACGCCCGCTGGGACTCTGCAGCGCCACTGTCCCAGCACGGCCGCCGCCTCATGCTTTGCCTTGTGTGATTGCATTGTAAATAAGTTTAGAAAAAAGCAGTGAGAATTATTACCCAGACTTCATCCTCTTTTGCAGTTGATTAGCTTGTGTTCATTGGAGGGGTCATAAAGTAATCAGAAAAGTGTATCTGCACACATCAGTGCTGCAATCAGATAAATTAGCCTCAAGGTTTGTTACCAAAATCTACCTTCTTGCAAGTAATAAAAACTGGATTTGTGGTTAAATTTATCTGCAGAGCTTTATGAGAACTGGACCTGGAACCATCTTCTCCAAAAGCAAAACCAGCTGGAGGTGCGAGCTGAGGCCCGCACGGGTTCCCTTCCTGCAGCCTGGCCAACGCTCCACAAGCCACGAGACCAAAGCAGCCTCCCCTCATCCCCCACACAGGACCCACCTCCCTTGTGGTGCCCACCATGCCCCGAGAAGCTCCCCTCCCCAGGACTGGGGCCGCATGTGGCTGAGGCCGGCTTTCCTCACTGTCCCTCCCCCAGAGTCCGGCTCAAAGCCTGCTGAAGGACAAGCTTCCCAGATGCCACCTCCAGTGGCACCCACTCCTCTCCACGCACCGTCCAGCCCTGCCAAGCTCCGAGTGTGCCTTGATCATCCATGTCTCAGCCCGTCTCTCCTTGAGGGCACCCATCCCAGAGGACCTTCTCTGGGTGCCTCCTCCTGGGTCTCTTGGGACCAGACCATGTCTCAGGTGCCTGGGGAGCATCCACCCACGAATTCGTCCCCTGTCCCTCATCATATTCTTCCTCATCAGAGCACAGACAAGGGCCATGTGGGCCTGTCTGTGTAAATGGAGCACCACCGGCCTGTCTCTTTCAGCAGACGTGACACCAGGGTTAGGTCCAGCCAACACCGAGTCCCTGGGAGCACAGGGACAGTCTCCTTGTCTAACACACCCAGCTCAGTGAGAAAGGCTGATGAACAGAATTGAACAAAGGGAATGTTTTTCCCTAAAAATCGTTGGGTTTCATGTGCAAAAAGAAGATTTGAAAGTCACAGGAAAAGTATGTGCAGTGCTGCCTCCGGGGCCCCTGTGGAGTGGCCAGCTCAGCTGGGCAGGGGGCTGTGTCTTGACCACCTGTGGGTGAGGGGACAGCACAACCAGCCTTCCATTCTGCTTGGTCTCCTTTGTGGCTCTTACATGAGCTGCCTGTCCTGATTGAACGAACAGTATTCAGGGGACAATTACCCAAATAGAGCCTTAACTTTATGGGTGAATCAGGCAGTCTCAGGACAAAGGCAGAGTGAAACAGAGCAGGGAAGGGGGCAGCCCTGACTCCAGTGGCCAAGCCTCAGGGAAGCCATCCACAACCACAGTAGAGCTCCCTCCCCTGCTGAGCATAGGACTCAGTCCCGCAATGACCTGTGTACCCAACGTCTGCCCCTCTGGAAACCTCGCTCCTGCCTGTGCCGGGCAGCAGCGTGGCCGAGGGAGGACCCAGCTGCCCCCCAGGGCAGTCAGCAGGAGTGGGGGGACAAGGCCCACCCATGAGAGCTGCTGGCCCAGGACCTCAGAAAAGAACTCGTTCATCAGGAGGCTCAGACCCCAAGGCTGCTGCGCCACTTCCTCCTGGGAGCCTGCGGGGACCCAAGACCCCCTGGGCTGTGTCCCCACATCCAGCCGTGTGTTAGCTTTCGCGTGCTGGACGCAGGGCCGTGCACTCCACAGTGGCTGAGCCCTGCTGCTCAGCAGCTCTGCAGGTGCCCGAACGACAGAGAGAAGGCCCGTGGGACAGGAGATCAGGCCCAGGTGCTGAAGTAACGGGGTGTGGGGGCCAGAGGTGGGGAGCGGCCCCCGGGCGGCTGCCAGAGACTCAGCATTTGTCTCTGCACCTGGCCTGGCACTTGCAGGAATCCGGCTGAAGAGGCTCAGAATGAGGCCTGGGAATGAGCTATTGCCAGAAACGGTGGGTCCAATGCAGCCGCTGCCCATGGCTACAGCCCGACAGGCCACCCAGGCCTGCGTCCATGCTGCCATGAGCAGGGGTAAGCAGCACCCACTGGTGAGCCTGGCAGGCTGGATCCTGGGGTCTCGGTGTGGCCAGGGGTGTGGGGGCACTGTGAGGGGCTTGGCCCAGGTCCAGCTAAGGTGAGCAGGAGAGAGGACGCCCCGCACAGTGGAGAAAGCTGGGCCCTGCTGGAAGTGGGGGTGGCCAGTCTTCCCTTTTCTTTTTTCAAATAAATTCATATAACGAACAACTGTTTTAAAGGGTATGATTCTGAGGCATTTTCTGCATTCACGGTGCTGTGCACCCATCACCTCTCTAGTTTCAAAAGGTTTTTATCACCCCAGAAAACACCCTTTTAATAATCACCACTGACTTCCTCACCTCAGCCACTGGCAATCCCTCATCTGCTTTCTGTCTCTATGAATTGGCCTATTCTGGGTGTTTCATATAAATGGAATCACATAATACGTGACCTTTGTGACCGCTTTTCACTTTGCACCACGTTTTCAAGGCTCACCATGCTGTGGCACGTGGCGAATGTTCCCGCGCATACATTTCTTCATTCACCCACGGGTGGAAGTTTGGATTGTTTCTGCCTTTGGGCAATTATGAATAATGCTGCCATAAACATTCGTGTAGAAGTTTGTTCACGGACATATGTTTTCATTTCTCTTGGGTATATGCCTAGAAGGGTATGTGGTATGACCATATGGATCATATAATTCTATGTTTAACTTTTTAAGGAACCACCAACTGTTTTCCGTAGCAGCTGTGGCATTTTACACTCCTGCCAGCAATCCAAGGGTTCTGACTTCTCCACGCTCTCCCCACGTATTCTTTTCCATTTTTTTGATTACAGCCATCCTGGTGGGTGTGAAGTGGCATCTCATCATGGTTTTGACTTGCATTTCCTTAGTAACCAACGATGTGGAGCATCTTTTCATGTGCCTGTTGGCCATGTGTATATCTTCTTAGAAGAAATGTCTATTCAAGTCTTTCCTCATTTTTAAATTGGGTTGTTTGTCGATTTGTTGTTGAGTTGTAAGGGTTCTTTATATGTTCTGGACATTAAATCTTCATCAGATATATGATTTGCAAATATTCTTTAGGTTGTCTTTTCATTTTCTTTATAATGTCCTCTGATGCATCACAATTTTTTTTTCTTATTTATTTTTTATTATTATACTTTAAGTTTTAGGGTACATGTGCACATTGTGCAGGTTAGTTACATATGTATACATGTGCCATGCTGGTGCGCTGCACCCATTAACTCGTCATCTAGCATTAGGTATATCTCCCAATGCTATCCCTCCCCCCTCCCCCCACCCCACAACAGTCCCCAGAGTGTGATGTTCCCCTTCCTGTGTCCATGTGATCTCATTGTTCAATTCCCACCTATGAGTGAGAATATGCGGTGTTTGGTTTTTTGTTCTTAAGATAGTTTACTGAGAATGATGGTTTCCAATTTCATCCATTTCCCTACAAAGGACATGAACTCATCATTTTTTATGGCTGCATAGTATTCCATGGTGTATATGTGCCACATTTTCTTAATCCAGTCTATCATTGTTGGACAATCACAATTTTTAATTTTGATGAAGTCCAGTTTCTCTTTTTATCTTTTTGTGGTGGTGCTTTTGATGTCAAATCCATTGCAAAATCTGAGAACAGGAAGATTTACCCTCTGTATCAAAGTTCTCTAGAGAAACAGAACAAGAGAGCAATATTTATTTTAAGGAATTGTTTCATGCAATTGTGGGGGCTGGAAAGTCCAAATTCTGCTGGGAACCCGGAGAAGAGTTGACACGGCAGCTCCAATCCAAGGAGTCTGGAAGCCGGATTCCCCCTTACTTGCGGATCTCAGTCTATTTCTCTCAGGGCCTTCCATTAATTGGATGAGGCCCACCCACATCACGGAGGGTCGTCAGCTGTACTCAGAGTCTACTGATTTAAATGCTAATCTCATCTTTAAAATACCTCACAGCAGGGTGGTGCTGACGTGCGTTTCAGAGGACAGGGAAGGTTATATCCACATCGTACAGCGGATGCTACACTGGACACGGATGGGTAGAATCATCCATTCAGTGAAGCATGACTTGTGTTGAACAAGACAAGCTGGCTGAAGCATTTGAAGGCGCTTTTGAGGTACTGAGGTAACATTCAACTGATCTTCACTCCTCCCCAGATGACAAAAATTACCTGGCTTTCGTCAGCCACTGTCCTCATGTCAGAGGAAATTCCATCTGCTAAGAAGTGTTGCCCACAGAGGAACCTGTGTATAGCTGGAGAACCATCATAGCAGGAAGAAGCTCTGACCGTTTTAATACCTTCACGAATCCCCACATAATGCTAAGATGGTGTCTTGTATCCAGGAGTAGATAAAACCAAAGATGTCTTTCTGTTTGTATTGAAAAATAAAGAAAAACTTTAGGGAAAAAGAAAAGTCAGCCAGAACCCCATGGCTTACTCAGAAAATTGTCAGGGCCCTGAGGAATTATGGAAGAACTGGAGAAATCACCAAAATCCAGAGGAAGCTGACTTACCAACTTACCAAGGCCATCCTCCAAAGACTCTATCTTATTTATTAGGGAAAGCAATCTTCTACTCACAGTATGTTCAGCCTGATCAAGAATATCTTAGTTTAAATAACTAGAATGCAAATTGTAACTATACATGTGCCAATTACCATGAGTTAAGTCACCCTGATTGCTAAATATACTCTCACGTTTCATGGTTTCCTGGCATCAGAAATCCCTACAAGCTTCAGGATTTTTCTCTTAAAGCAAATGCTGAAGAGAAAAAAAAAATTAACTTTATTATTGTTATCTTTTATCAAATAGCATAGAATCTATACTAACTTGGTGGGAAATCCTGCCAATGAACAAATTTATTGTTGCAAATGACCAAGCCCTATGTGAATGTACAGACTAAATGGCCTTGCTCTTACTATTCTCTATTCAACCACTTTCTTCCAGATTCATACTGCCAGTACAGGCAACTAATAATGATTCAAACATTTTTCTGTCATATACTCAGGTGAAAAATCACTCTAACCTATATCTGCTGGCATTACAAAAAATCATTTACAAAAAACGACTGCATATGATAAAAGCGTTTGTGCAAAAATACATTCATGGCTTCAAAAACTTCAGTGGAAATGTATATTCAGTTCCCTTCTCACATTTTTTTCCTTTTCCCCTTGTCTTTAAATCTTACTTTTTTTTTTTTTTTTTTTGCTTTTAAGAGACAGAGTCTCTTTCCATTGCCCAGACTGTAATTCAATGGCGTGATCATAGCTTACTGCAAACTCGAACTCCTGGGCTCAACTAATCCTCTCGTCTTAGCCTCCGAAGTGGCTGGGACTACAGGCACACACCACCACATCTGGCTTTTTGCTGTTGGGATGAGGTTTCACTATGTTGCTTAAGCTGGACTCAAACTCCTGGCCTCAAGCAATCCTCTTGCCTCGGCATCCCAAAGTGTTAGCATTACAGGTATGAGCCACCATGCCCAGTCTCTTACCCATATTTTTTTTAATGTTTTCTTGCTGTTGAATTTTTTGAGTTCTTTATATATGTTGGATATTAACCCATCAGATGTATGAATTGTAAATATTTTCTCCCAATCCATAGGTTGTCTTTGCACCCTGTTGTTTCTTTTGCTATGCAGAAGCTTTTCAGTTTGATGTAATCCAATTTATCTATATTTGCTTCTCTTACCTGCACTTTGGGGCCAAATCCAAAAAGTCACTACCCAGACTAATGTTGTGTAGTCTTTCCCCTATGTTTTCTTCTAGTAGTTTTAGAGTTTCTGGTCTTATATTTAGCTCTTTAATCCATTTTGAGTTGATTTTTTATATGGTGTGAGATAAGGTTCTAGCTTCATTCTTTGACATGTGAAAATTCAGATTTCCCAACACCATTTATTGAAGAGGCTGTCCTTGTCTTCTTGGCACCTTTGCTGAAAATTAGTTGGGTTCATTTCTGGGCTCTTTATTCTGTTCCACTGGTATTTGTGTCCTGTTGTTTTGTTTTTGCCAACTCTAAGCTGTTTTAAAATTACTATAGCTTTGTAGTACAGTTTAAAATCAGGTAGTGTGGTATCTCCAGCTTTGTCCTTTTTGCTCATGATTGCCTTGGCTATTCGTGGGTTTTTATGGTTCTATATGAATTATAGGATTTTTTTCTCTTTCCATAAAAAAAATGATGTTGGGCTTTTGAAAGGGATTACATTAAACATGTAGATTTACTTGGGTAGTATGGACATTTTAACAATATTAATTCTTCCAATCCATGAACATGGAATATCTTTGTCTTCTTGAATTGATTTCATTGATGTTTTATAGTTTTCTGTGTACAGGTTTTTCACCTCTGTGATAAAAATTATTCCTTAGTATCTTATTTCTTTGTAGCTATTGTAAATGAGATTATTCTCTTGATTTCTTTTTTCGGATAGTGTATTGTTAGTGTATAAAAATGCTACTAATTTTTGTGTCTTGATTTTGTGTCCTGGAACTTTACTATATTCATTATTAGTCCTAACAGTTTTTTTGGTGGAGTCTGTAGGGTTTTCCACAGATAAGATAAGGTTGCCGGCCAGGTGCAGTGACTCACGCCTATAATCCCAGCACTTTGGGAGGCCGAGGCAGGTGGATCACCAGATCTGGAGTTCAAGACCAGCCTGGCCAATATGGTGAAACCCTGTCTCTACTAAAAATACAAAAATTAGCTGGGCATGGTGGCTCATGCCTGTAGTCCCAGCTGCTCAGGAGGCTGAGGCAGGAGAATCGCTTGAACCCAGTAGGTGGAGGTTGTAGTGAGCTGAGATCGCACCACTGCACTCCAGCCTGGGTGACGGAGCAAGACTCCATCTCAAATATATATATATATATATATATATATATATATATATATATATATATATATATATATATCGAATAAAGTTGCCATCAAACAGTAACAATTACACTTCTTTTCCTATTTGGATGCCTTTTCTTTCTTTCTCTTGCCTAATTGCTTTGGCAAGGACTTTCAATACTATATTTAATAGAAGTGGGAAGAGTAGGCATCCTTGCCTTGTTCCATATCTTACAGGAAAGGCTTTCAATTTTTTACCATTGAGTATAACGTTAGCTGTGGGCTTCTTGTTATATATGGCCTTTATTGCGTTAAGGCACATTCTTTCTTTTTTTCTGTTTTACATTTTCACTCAGTGGTACCCTTGAAGGGATATATTCCTTCTACATCTAATTTGCTGAGTTTTTCATCATAAAATGATGTTGAATTTTATCAAATGCTTTTTCTGCATCTAATGAGATGATCATATGGTTTTTTTATTCTATTAATGTGATGTATCACAATTATTGATTTGTGTATATTGAACCATCCTTGCATTTCAGGGATAAAAACATTTCTCAAAAGAAGACATACAAATGACCAACATCACTAGTCATTAGAGAAAAGCAAACTAAAGCCACAGTGAGATATCATTTCTCATTTGTCTGAATATCTTTTATCAAGAAGATGAAAGATAAGTGTTACCAAGGATGTGGAGAAAAGGGAACCCTTGCACACCATTGGTAGGAATGTAAATTGGTACAGCCATTATGGAAAACAGTATAGAGGTTCCTCAAAAAAACTACAAATATAATTGCCATATGATCCAGCAATCCCACTTCTGGGTATTTACCCCAAACATCTGAAATCAGTTTGTTGAAGGGATGTCTGTAGTCTCATGTTCATTGCAGCATTATTCACAATAGCTAAGTTATGAAATCAACCTAAGCGTTTAACAGATGAATAAAGAAAATGTGGTATATATACACAATAGAATACTATTCAGCCTTAAAAACAAAAGAGATTCTGACATTTGTGAAAAATTGGATGGAATTTTAGAACATTATGCTAAGTGAAATAAGTAAGGACCAGAAAGACAAATACCATATGTTCTCACTTACTTGTGGAATCTCAAACAATTGAACTTATAGAATCAGAGAGCACAACAGTGGTTATAGAGGCTGGGGGTGTGGGGAATGGCCAAAGAGTATAAAATCTCAGACTAGAAGAATTTTTTTTCTTTTTTTGAGTTCTTTGCACATCATGGTGAATACAGTTAATAATAGAGTGCTGTACATTTCCAAATTGTAAGAGAGTAAATTTAAAATGATCTCATTCAAAAGATGTTAAATATTTGAGGTGATGGATATGTTAACCAGCTTGATTTAATTATTCCACACTGCATTCATAGATTATAACACAACTTTGCATGCTATAAATCTGCGCAATTATAAATTGCCAGTTTATCATTATAAAAAGAAAAAAAAATACCTTCACAGCAACATTCAGACTGGTATTTTACCAAATATCTGGGTAATGTGGCCTACCCAAGATGACACATGAAGTTAACCATCGCAGGGTCCAACTTTGTTCTTTTTTTTTTTTTTTTCCAACTTTGTTCTTTTGCATGTGGTTATCCAGTTGCTCCAGGAACATTCACTGAAGAGACTGTTCTTTCCTTATTGAATGATCTTGGCCCCCTTGTCAATAATCAGTTCACCATAGATGTTTGGGTTTATTTATGGCTTCTCAATTTTATTCCATTGGTCTATACATCTATCTTTATGCCAGTACCATAAGGTTTTGACTTGTAGTAAGTTTTGAAATCAGGACGTATGAATCTTCCAATTTTGTTTTTGTTTTTCAATATTGTTTTGGCTATTTAGGGCCCATTGCAGTTCCACATGAATTTTAGAACACCTTTTCCATTTCTGCAAAACAAAAAGGCCAATGGAGTTTCGACAGCAATTGCACAGAATCTGTAGATCACTTTATGGAGTATTGCCATTCTAACTATATTAAGTCTTCCCATCCATGAACATGGAATGTCTTTCTCTTTAATTATGTCTTTAATTTTTTCAGCAACGTTTTTTAGTTTTCAGCATCCATGCCTTTCACCTTCTTGATTAAATTTATTCCTAGGCATTTTACTCTTTTGAATGTTATCACACATTTCTTATTTAAAATAACAGCTAATTACATCCAATGGAATATTATTCAGCCTTAAAAAGGTAGGAAATTCTGACACATGCTACAACATGGGGGAAACTTGAAAACATTATGTGAAGTGAAATAAGACAGTCACAAAAGGGTAAATCCTATATATTAGGTTGGTGCAAAAGTAATTGCAATTTTTGCCATTAAAACCCTAAGAAAGGGTCAAAATGGCCAATTTTGTTATGTATATTTTACCACAATAAAGAAGAATGTTTATTGCTTTAATTTCTGTTTACAAAAGTTTTACCTATCAATGTTAAGAAACTCTGTAAAATAGAGACATACTATTTGATAACAGTTTTTGTGCTTAATACACTGGGGATGTTTTTGCATAGCATTAGGAGATTTTTCTCCATCATTATTTAAATGGCTACAGTATTGTTTTTAACCAATCCCTTAATTCTGGATATCCATCCCTTCTCAAATTTTTATGATTACAAGTAATACTTCGGGGATAATCTTTGTGGATATATATTTGTGCCCCCTCAGATCAATGCAACAAAATTCTGCAAAAGTCCACCACACTATGACATGACAGGCACTCAGGATGCATCCGTGAATAAGAGTTATAGTCTAGTGGGGGAGACACAAAAATAACAGAAATCCCATTTATATGAATAACCCAATAGCCAAATCTATAGAAACAGAAAATAGATTTGTGGTTCCCTAGGGTTAAGGGGCAGGATGAAGGATAATAGGGGGTGGAGGTGACCGCTCAGGAGTAAGAGACATCTTTGTGAGTAATGAAAATGTTATGAAATTTGTGGTGATGGCTGCACAATTCTGAATGTACCAAAAACGACTGTGCACTGTAGATGGGTGAGTCATAGGGTAATGAATTTTATCTCAGTAACATGGAAAAATAAATAACAGAGTAAGTCACGCAACCTGCTGGTGGGAGAGGGCTTGGGTGAGCGGTGCAGTGGTGGGG
The DNA here is from genome assembly GCF_000001405.40 of Homo sapiens. Classification (NCBI taxonomy): domain Eukaryota; kingdom Metazoa; phylum Chordata; class Mammalia; order Primates; family Hominidae; genus Homo; species Homo sapiens. The sequence continues at coordinate 2,330,360 of NC_000004.12, forward strand.
ACATCGCAGAGGGAGGTACAGCAGGGAGTAGGGGACAGTGCAGAGGAGAGGACAGCACGGAAGAGGGGACATCATGGAGGGGACAGCACGGAGGAGGGAACATCATAAAGGAGGGGACAGCATGGAGGAGGGGACAGTGCAGAGGAGCACAGGGGAGAGGACATTGCAGAGGAAGGGACAGCATGGAGGAGGGGACAGCATGGAGAATGGGATAGCATGGAGAATGGGATAGCATAGAGGAGGGAACAGCATAGACAAGGGGACAGCATAGAGGAGGGGACAGTGTAGTGGAGGGGCCAGCACCATGGAGAGGACAGCATGGCCAAGAGGACACTGGAGCAGAGGGGACAGCGTGGAGGAGGAAACATCATGGAAAAGGGGACAGTGCGGGGGAGGGGACAGTGTGGCAGTAGGGATAGGACAGTCAAGGGGACCCTGAGCGAAGGGGACAGCATGGTGGAGACCCAGGGCAGCGGGTGCGTGGGGACTGGGGAGAGAGGACTGGTGTGGGCACGGTGCAGGCAGATCACGGTGGGAGCTCCGGCAAGGGTCTGAGCAGGGCAGAGATGACACCTTGTTTTGACACAGGTGGATGGGTGAGGGCCCCTGAAGAGGATCCGGCAACCATCCTGCAGGCCACGTGGGCGGTGGCTCCTGCACGTGTTCTGGGATGGGCTGGAAGGAGGGGGCTGGGGAGGAAGGCAGGGGTAGACGCTGGGATGGGCTGGAAGGAGGGGGCTGGGGAGGGAGGGAGGGGTAGATTCTGGGATGGGCTGGAAGGAGGGGCTGGGGAGGAAGGGAGGGAGGGGTAGAGGAGAGGGGCCTGGGTTCTGCACAGGTCCGGTCTGGGAAGCGTCGCACACACACAGCTGTGAGTGCAGACGGGCGAAGCCGCAGCGAGGCGGGCAGGCAGGTCTGTGCTGATGGGGACTGGGAAGTGACCACTGGGTCTAGAGGTTTTATTTCATTTCTTCCTTTAAAGGAACTGTTTTAAGGCCGGGGCTGGGCACGGTACCTCATGCCTGTAATCCTAGCACTTTAGGAGACCAAGGCAGGCAGATTGCTAGAGCCCGGGAACTCGAGACCAGCCTGGACAACACAGCAAGACCCTGTCTCTATTTTTTTTTTAATTAAAAAATAAAAATAAAAAGTTAAAAACAAAAAAAAGAAACTGTTTTAAGATAAATCCCCAAAAGTAAAACCAGTTTGTCAAAGAGTCTGAGCCTCGTGGAGACACTCTCCCCAGGACGCGTGTCTCAATCAGCAGGAGGGACTGACTGGATGCAGGTCTTAGGGAGGGGACAGGCTGAGGGGTGCAGGGCAAGTGGGGCCCCTCCCCTACGGCTCAGAGCAAGTCCCCACAGGGGTGACCCCCAGTTTTTGTCCTCACTGCCTGGTAAGGCCAGACCCCACCAGGCTGGGGACACCCTAAACAGGGGGAAGGGTGCCACCCAGCACTCCCTTCCACCTCCCCCTGCCAATCTGAAGGCCTCAGTTTACCACTGCCTCTGCCCCAGGCAGGCCTCCTCTGCCAGCCACAGAACTAGAGTTTTCTGCTTTCTTGTGTCACAGGTGAATAGCAGGCTCTGACCCTCGGGTGGGCTTGGTTCTGCCGCCTCCAGCTGTTGACCCCCAGCGGTGCCTTCGCCACTGGGAGCCCCTCAGAAGGGGACGGGAGCCTGGCCCGCAGCTCATGCTTGGTAAATGTGGCATCACTGTTCTGACACTGTGTGCTGGAGAAGGGACTGGGGCTCTCGGGCAGCAGCACAGTCACGGGCAGGAGCCACAGAGGAGCTCCACCCTCAGCTCCTGCCCCGCTCAGCACCCCTGCCTCCCCTCTGCTCTCAGTGTTCCCTGGGGGTCACCTGGGGGGTCCCAGGATGCCCACTTCACAGAGGCAGGATCCTGCGAGGGTGTGGGCCCAGGAATGCAGGCTAGAGGGGTCTTCATTTCTGCAGAAGTTCCTGCGGCCCCCTGGTCCTTGCTCGAGCCCTGGACTTGCCCCTGAGCATACACCACCTGCACCAACGTGCCCCTGCCTGCCACCTGCACAGCTCCCACCTCTGGGCCGGCTGCCCTGGGGAGCCTCTCCCTCACGCCTTCAGCTCCTGTCCACCCCATGGGGTCCCTGCACTGAGTCCCCCTTCCAGCATCCAGAACATTCCACAGCACTGTGGGTCAGCCCATCTGTCCATCTCCCTGGTACAAGCACAGGGCGAGGTATGCAGTAGGCACTCAATACTTGCTCACTGAATGAACACAGGAAGGAGCAGGTTCTGGGCCCCACCACGGGCAGCTGTGGCCTCTGCCTGTCCGGCTCAAAGCGGTCGCTGTGGATGACGAGGAACAAGACGGGATCCGCTGGTGGTGCAGGGCTGCAGGGCCCCAGTGAGCATCCCAGAGGGGCGGCCTTAGGAACAGCTGCCCACTCAGCACTCACCCGCTCAGCACTCACCCGCCCTGCTCGAGGCTCGCTGCACAGAGGGTTGCAGTGGCAGCCTGGTGCACCCCACGGTTCCTCGTATCCACAGCCTGGCTCTGTGGCTAGATGCCTGCCTCTGTGGGGGCTCACAGCTGGCCACCCCCCTGGACAGGCCTGCTCCCTGGACTCTGGCTTTGGGCTCTTATGCCCTCTCGCCCTTCCTCCCTCCTTCAATCCAAGCCCCCTTCACCTCCTGGGGGTCCCTCACTCCCTTTCCAGGCTCTCCCACTGTCCTGAGCCCGAGGGGACCCCACGCCAGTGCCTCCAGGAGGGGACCCGCGGGACAAAGCCTCTGCCAACAGAAGCTCCAGCCTCCCTCCCCAACCTCCCTCCCTTGGCCTCCCCCGCAGCACTGGCCTCCCCTGCTGCCCTTCCCTGACCCCCCCTGCTGCCCTTCCCTGACCCCCCACACTCCCCCACCTCCCTCCCCAAGCTGCCCCCCCACCTCCCTCCTCTGGCCTCCCCTACCCTGATCCCCCAGCCCCCGCCTCCCCTTGCCTCCCAGGATGAAAGCCTAGGACAGAAGGAGGAGCAGAGGTTTGGCCACCAGCAGGTGGACTGAGGTCGGCAAGCAGGACACAGATGATACTGGTTGGGGGAAGTGGCTGCTGTTCTGCGGTCGCCTGTACTCGGGCAAACACGGGCAGCAGACTCAGTGTGAAAGTCCCGAAACACAGTATGCCTGGGGTGCGGCCTGCGGGGAGGGTCACCTGGGGTCACCTGCACACTCCAGGCCCGACCTTTAAGAGGAAGTCCAGCCAGGGCTCACCGGCTCATTGACACGGGCATGAGTGGGCGGGTGGCTTGGTGCCACACCTCAAAGCACTCGCGGAGAACTTTTTACAAGGACAGCAGAGCTGTTCATTTGCTGTGAGTGCCCTTGGGACAAGGAGACACCTGTACCTGAGGCAAAGGCTCACAGCGCCCTGCGCCCTGGTGGAAACAAGGCCGGCTCGCAGGATCTTTGCTGTTCTGTTTTTTAAACAAAGAGAAGAATAAGGACCAAAACTGCCTGTCATTTTCTTCAAGTGAGTTTGGCCACAGAGAGACACTTGTCTAGAAAAGAAAAACAATGTCACCAAATCCTGTGGCCCATGGGAAGGGGCGCTCTGTGCTCTGGGGTGGCCTCTCCCCGCCAGGACACTTCCCTCCAAGCCACCTTGTCGCTGGCCACTGGGGACACCCTGCCCTCCAGCCCTGAGGTCTTCAGGTGAAAGGAAGTTCCCTGAGTCTAACGGCAGGAGGATTTCCGAGCCTCCCTCTGGCGCGATGTGAGGCTCACTCTCTCTGGTTTGCTAACTTTGTGAAAGACGCAACCTCTGCGAGGACACGGGAAGGACGGCGCAGGAAACAGGCCAGGCCCTGAGCTATTGGAGGGGACTCTGGGGAGCCAGGGCCCAGCAGATAGAGACCACGCTGGAGCCCTCCCGGAGGAGGTGGCACCAGGACCTAGGGGAGTGAGCGGCCTGGCCCAGGGGTGTCCAGACTGGCCCCGGCAGCAGCCCCCATTGCTCCCCACTCCAACAAGGGGTGTTCGGCGCATCCTGGGGTTAAGCACTTCTGTCCCCTGCAGGCCCCGCCGCTGGCCCTAGCCCACTGCACTGCCACCGCCCCGCGTGCTCCCACCTCTGCACCCCCATTTCCCACGGGAGGGGTATCCATGCTCAACCCCAGTGCACTGCCACGTGTGCCTGTGCCCCGGGGTCCCCTGGGGCTCCTCAGCATGGCCTCAGTGAGGTCTCTCCAGCCTGAGCCTGGACCAGTCGTGGCCTCTGTGCCCACCCCCCACTCCCCGACCACTTCACTGACATCCACATCTCCACGGGCATCTCTCTCAAGGGCTCCCCATCCCCTACTCTGCCCAGTCCCACACCTGCTGGCCGCTGCCCACTGGACCCTCCCCCTTCCCCCTCCCCTTCCCCCTCCCCACTTCCGCCTCCCCTCTTCCCCCTCCCCTCTTCCCCCTCCCCTCTTCCCCCTCCCCTCTTCCCCCTCCCCTCTTCCCCCTCCCCACTTCCGCCTCCCCCCCAGCTGCAAGCTCCACTAAGCTCTCTGTGGTCCACTCACTCCTCCGCCCCCGTGACCATCCGCCTGGCAGGGGCATGGGGAATCCCCGTCTGGAGTCAGGGTGTGGATGAGCAGCCTGACCCCTGGGCTCTAACCTTGGCCCCAGACAGCTCAGAGACGCTAAGCAGGTGACCCCGCGCATCCTGCCTCGGTGGATTTCAGGCCTGAGCTTCCATGTGCTGTGTTCACGTCCTTGAGCCCCACAGGACCCTACAGGCTGCCTTGAGTTCCCTGCTCTCCCAGACGGCCCCGCTGGCAGGAAAGGTTCCACACAGGTATTCCATCAGCCAGACCAACTGCCCCCACCTGCCCTTCAACCCAATGTGCTTCACCTCCCTGCCAGCCCCCAAATTATTCAAACAAGCCAATCACAGCCTCCTGAGGGACCCGGGGGGCAGCTCGTCCTCTTGTTACCACCAAGTCTGCCTCCCACAGCCCCTGCGTGGCCACTCTGTTCCGAGCATGACCCCTGTGTGACCCTCATGGTCTCCTGTGACTAATGAGCTCACCTGTGGATCTCACCTGTCCAGTGGCAGGTGGCAGGTGTTAGGCCACCTTGCCCTATCTAGGGTGACAGAGCCTCCCTCACCAGCAAGGTGAACAGGGGGCACTCAGGACACGTGGTCCCCTGGTCTGCTGAGGGCTGACAGCAGGCCTGCCTGTCACTGATCGGGACAGCTGAGCGGCCACCGTGAGGTGGAGACGCCATGGACCGGCACCCGCACGGGACCTGGCACCATCAGCCCTGCCCGTCCCGCAGGTTTCTGCAGAGGTCCTGGGCACAGGAGGCACTCACCACACGATGGCCAGCCTGGGGATGCTGAACATGAGGGCCGGCTCGTAGTCATCAATCATGTCCTGAGTCAGGTACCCGAAGTCCAGGGCCCTGTCCGGGGAGACGGACAGTGAGCAGCATGAGGGCTGGCCCACCACAGCCACAGGTTGGACCCCAGCAGGGACAGGCAGTGCGCTCAATCTGTACCTGCAGCCACGCGTGGTGGCCACGTCAAGAGGTGACACATGCCACCCCCAGTCCTCATATGTGCAAGGGGCTGGGACTGCAGGAAAAGGCCACACACTTCCCTAAATGCCCTGGCAGGTGGCTCCAGCTTGACCTTCCCATCTGCCAGTCCCCACCTCTGCCCCAGGAGGCAGGGGCAGGGAGGATGTGTGAGGACAGCTATGATGCCCAGCAAAGACAGTAAGGCAACCCAGAGGACGGCTCTGCTCAGCCAGGAGACCGAAACAACTCCGGTGTCAAGAATGAACACGGAACAAAAATACTGCCCCAAACAATTCAACACTTCCCTGAGAAACCAGCTTCCTTTCTCCTCCCCGGGGCTTGTGGAGGGCTTTTCCTGCACCTCGTGAGCAGGCCTGCTGGCATCGTGACTTTTCAAAATAAAAGGAATTTCCCGTCATCTTATTTTCTGATAATTTGAAATATCTCTCAAAGCACAAAGAGTAAAAATTTGCTTTTTAAAAATAACAAACATACAATGTGATAATAGTCAATTTCAAATCTTCCAAACACCATAGTACCACTTGAACAAGAGAAACATCAAGGTTACATCTTAACCCCAAAGTCCATTGAGAAAACCAGACTCCAAATTACTGTACAAAGCCTGATAAGAATATTGATGGCTTCCCCCTGCCCCCCCCACTCCCTAAAAAAGAAACACTTGTTCAACAGACTTAAAACTCAGCAAAAACTCATTCCTGGACTGGGGAGGTGGGGAGTGAGGATTGAGGAGTGAGGATGTGAGGATTGAGGAGGTGAGGAGTGAGAATGTGAGAAATAAGGAGCTAAGGAGTAAGGAGGTGAGGAGTAAGGAGGTGAGGAATGATGAGGTGAGGAGTGAGGAGGTGAGGAGGTGAGGAGTGAGGAGATGAGGAGGTGAGGAGGTGTGGATTGAGGAGGTGAGGAGTGAGGAGGTGAGGAGTGAGAAGGTGAGGAGGGAGGAGGTGAAGAGTGAGGAGGTGAGGTGAGGAGTTAGGAGGTGGGGAAGTGAGGAGGTGAGTGAGGAGGTGAGGAGTGAGGGGGTGAGGAGTTAGGTGGTGAGGAGTGAGGAGGTGAGGAGTTAGGAGGTGGGGAAGTGAGGAGGTGAGGAGTGAGGACATGAGGAGTGAGTAGGTGAGGAGTGAGGGGGTGAGGAAGGTGACAAGGTTTGGACGTCCAATCCATCATGCCAGAGCCTTCCAGCTTTTGTCCTCTGACAGTGACTTCACCTGCAGGATCTGACCTTCTGGCAGACAGAAAAGCGACCGTGGGGCGGTGGAAGGGGGCCGGGCAGAGGTAAAGGCAGGGGTGGCCTCTACCCTCTGCCCACCTGTGAGGAGAAGCCGGATGTAGTGTGGGAAGACACGTCTGGTGCCTTCCATCTGGGGCACTCCCGAGACACAGCAGGTTCCCCCAGAGCTGCCCTCTGCCCCGGGCCTGGAGTGAGGCAGGGACTCCCCAGATGCTGCCCCCAGCCCCTAAGCATCCCTGTGCTCACCTCTCCACCGTCTCGCAGAAGAGCACGATGACCTCCTGCTGCACGTAGTACTCCCTGGGGGACTTCACAGGCACCATGGCCGAGACGTAGCTGCAAACACATGGAGACCTGTGAGGCCGCACCTGGGCTGTGGCGGGGCCCCTCCAAAACAGAGTGGGGGGCATCTTCAATTAAAGCTGCAATGCTGGGCAAGGTGGGGGCGGGGGGCCTCACGCCTGTAATCCCAGCACGTTGGGAGTCTGAGGTGGGAGGATGGCTTGAGCCCAGGAGTTCGAGGCACCACAGCAAGACCTCATCTCTACAAAAAATAAAAAAGTCGGGTGTGGTGGTGGCAGGCACCTACAGTCTCTGCTACTTGGGAGGCTGAGGTGGGAGGATCACTTGTGCCCAGGAGTTGGAGGCTGCAGTGAATGGTGATGGTGCCACTGCATTCCAGGCTGGGTGACAAAGCAAGACCTTTTCTCTTAAAATACACACACACACCCTACACCACCATCCCATTTCGGCAGTTTCATAGTACACAGCTCCTGCCAGCCAGGCCTACCCCAGGCCTTCCCTTGAAACCCCAGCCCTGCCCATGCGGGACAGTTGTGCCAGCTCCCAGGGCTCACCCTGGAGCCTGACCACCCTGGACCCAGTGCTGCCCATGTGCGGGACCATCCCCCACCTTGGCACCAGCCTTAAGGGGCGAGAGAGAAACGAATGAACACGTGCACGGGTGGGTGAACAACCCGCAGCCCCACATGAACCTCCGCACGTGGACCTCCACAGCCACGGAAGCCAGCCCAGGCTGGGCACAGCGGCTTGCAGGAGGCCTGCCAGTGGCTCTGAGACGTGAAGGCTTGTCCAACCCTTCCCCAGATGAGAGCACTTTCTTTCCTTCTAAACCACCAACTCTAGGCCAGGTGCAGTAGCTCACGCCTGTAATCCCAGCACTTTGGGAGGCCAAGGCCAGCAGCAGATCACTTGAGGTCAGGCATTTGAGACCAGGCTGGCCAACATGGTAAAACCCTGTATCTACTGAAAACACAAAAAAATGAGCCAGGCGTGGTGGTGGTCACCTGTAATCCCAGCTACTTGGGAGGCCGAGGCAGGAGAATGGCTTGAACTCAGGAGGTGGAGGTCGCGGTGAGCTGAGATCGTGCCACTGCACTCCAGCCTGGGCAACAGAGTGAGACTCCGTCTCAGAAAATAAATAAATAAATAAATAAATCACTAACTCTAATTTTTTCTTATGGAAGCTGATTTAGAAAATTTGGGGAAGACAAGAAAATAAAACTCGACTGTCCGTGCTCTTGCTTCCTGCAGAGGACTGCCCTTAATGCATTGGTTGATCTCCTAGGGGCCAGTAGATTACAAGATGAAAAACTTATTAACTGAACCTCTGCGGACACCATCTGCCTCCGTGTTTTGTTTGTTGTGGTTGTTGTTGTTTTGAGATGCAGTCTCGCTCTCTCGCCCAGGCTGGAATGCAGTGGCTGGATCGCAGCTCACTGTAGCCTCTGCCTCCCGGGTTCAAGCGGTTCTCTTGCCTCAGCTTCCTGAGTGGCGCGCCACCAGGCCCGGCTAATTTTTTGTATTTTTTTTAGTAGAGATGGGGTGTCACCGTGTTAGCCAGGATGGTCTCGATCTTCTGACCTCATGATCCGCCTGCCTCGGCCTCTCAACGTGCTGGGATTACAGGCGTGAGCCACCGCACCCGCCTGGCTGCCTCTGTTTTCTTCTCACCTGTGACGTCTCTTCATCTTCCGAGGCATCATGCATGTCTGGCCCCTCGGGCCTCTCCAAAGCCCTTCCCCTGGAGGCCCACGGCGGCCAGATCCACACCTGTGTCCTCTGTGCTCACCCCACTCCCTGGAAAGATGCCCCACCTCACCTCCACGCTATGCTCTCCAGGGCTTAACCCCACCCACAGGCGGCCCTGAACCTGCCTGGCTCCTCCCTCTGTGGAATTTTCCAGCTTGAAGTATCAGGGTGAGCCCCGGAAGCTGGCACAACCGTCCCCCAGCTCATACAGCCAGGGCTGTGGACCCACAGCTGCAGTACCTGAGCTCAAACTCTGCGAACAGGACGTCGAAGTGCCTCAGCGCTTCCCTCATCTTCTCTGTGTAGGTGTTCAGGTCCCGCAGCGCCTGGTCACGGAGGGCGCCCCGCACGTCCTCCAGGCTGCGCGTCAGCTCCTTGGCCAGCGGGCGCATGGCCATGCTCTCCAGCTCCCGGTTCATGATGATGGAGCCGGCGGCCAGGCACTGCGGGAGGGGACACACTCAGGGAGGGGCCCGGGTGAGGGCCAGGCTCTCAGGGGTCGCCGACCCGGGGAACCTGACTGCGCACCTCGGGGCCCCTCTTCTCACCCCACAGCACAGGCCAGCTCGTGTTCCCGGTCCCCGCAGGAGGTTTTTCTTACATTCAGAGCAATCGTGAGGGCGATAACCGATGTCCCCCAATGTGACCCACGGGGTCCTCACAGGGCCCCAGGAGCAGGGAGGGCAGGGCATGGCAGGGCAGGTAAGGGCAGGGGAGGGGAGGGCAGGGGAGGGGAGGGGAGGGGAAGGTGGACTGAGGCCCTTGGGTCTGGGGGCTCCCTGCAGGAGGAACCCTGGTCATGTGACTCTTTTCCGCTCCCCGTCCAGGCCACAGGGATGAAGTTCAAGGAGCTTGGAGCTTCCAGGCTCCACAATCAGGTCTGTGCTCCCAGGGATGAAGCAGCCGGGCTGATCCGGGCCCGAGGTCCCCAGCCTATCTAGGGAGCCACAGACACCACCTGTCAAGTTGCTCACTGCCAGAGAAACGCAACCTTCCCCGGAACGCAGACTCATCAGTGTGAGAGTCCCTGGGCTCCTGGGCAGGTAAGGAGGGCTCCTCCGCACCCACAAATCCACCCATGTCTGCCCTGGGTGCTGCGAGGCAGCTCCCCAGCGTGCGCTCAGCAACTGGGAATTTCACCAAGCTGCCCTCTGGCACAGGGGCTGAGTCCAGGCCCTGGTAGACCTGTTGTCACAGGGAGGCTTGTCTAGAGGCCGGGGCCTCGCCAGGTTTAGGATAGAACCAATCCACCTGCTGTCCCCTCAGGGATGATCAAGTGATGCAGGACAAGAAGCCATTTCCCAGGTGACAGAATGAGACGGCGCTGATCGCCCAGGCCCAAGCTGCAGGTGGGCACAGAGCTTGGGGCACCAGGACCACACAAGGAGCTGTGCCCACCCCTGTGCATGCATGCCCCTGCCAGGCCAGCCGGGCACAGAACACGCTCCATCTCATGACTGCCCCAGGACCCACTCCACGGAGGTGGAAACTGAGGCTGGGGAGGAGGGAGAACCTGCCCGCGGGCCCCTGTAACTAACCCAAGCCTCGGCAGAGGACACCCCAACCAGGTGGCTCAGAAGGTGGGGTGGGCAGGGTGGACACAGGGACGGGGCAGCGTGGGATGAAGACTCCGCACCCCAGGGATTCCTAGAAAGGGGAGGCGGGCAGGATGGGGACGGCACAATAGAGAGGGTGGCGGTGTCGGGGCTGAGGTCAGGCTCGGGAGCACGGCAAGGGGAGGAGGCTGGGGAGTCCGCATGGTGGGGGCCTGGGGGAGACTGTTCCCGCCACCTTGAAGGGCACCTTCCTCTCGGTGCCTCAGTTTCCTGATTGGGAGATGAAGATGAAGATGACAGGCTATTGCCACATGTGGCCTGCGTGGGGCTGCAGCACGGCTCCCCAGCCCCTGCTGCTGCCCATGCTGCAGGGCCGGAGGGGAACACTTGTTCCTGATGTGGGCATTACTGCCATTAAAAACCACTTTTAGGTCCTGGCTGTCTGGGGGCCTGTGAACCTCATAAAAACCACATGGGAAATTTCATTTGTATGTATAGTTTTGGGGGCACCAGTTCATGGCTTTCCCAGATCCTCCAGGGGTGCACGGCCTACCAGGCTCAGACCACACCACGTAACCCAGAGTGGACGGAGCTCTTGGAGGAGACACCAGGTCCCGGCACCTGCAGGCGCCCATGCACAAGGTTCGCAGGGACTTGGCTAGACGCCACCCCACATCAGGACCTCCGAACCCGGGTGGCCACCCGCTACCTCGGCACCGAACCACAGCTGGCCGGCCAGGTTGTCGTGCCGGATCTCCTCAGGGAACTTGACGCAGAAATCTCTGGGGGCGCGGTCCTGGGGGATGCACTCATCCATGATCTGGTTAATGATGTTCAACACATTGTCCTGAAACAGAAGACAGGAGAAAGTGCGCCAATCGCTGTGTCCAGCTGGCGGCCGCCATGTACTGCTGGAAAACACGCACGGTGCATGTGACTGTTTTTTAGGATTATTAAAGTGATAGAGGAGGCTAGGCACGGTGGCTCATGCCTATAATGCCAGCACTTTGGGAGGCCGAGGCGGGTGGTTTACCTGAGGTTAGGAGTTTGAGACCAGCCTGGCCAACATGGCGAAACCCCATCTCTACTAAAAATACAAAAATTAGCCGGGCGTGGTAGCGCACACCTGTAATCCCAGCTATTAGGGAGGCTGAGGCAGGAGAATCACTTGAACCAGGGAGGCAGAGGTTGCAGTGAGCCGAGATGGTGCCATCGCACTCCAGCCAGGGCAATAAAGAGCAGCAACCGCAGGAGCCATGGGCTCAGACGGACTCTCAGTCGGCTGGGGACCTGCAAAGCCCTCGTCTTCCCTGAAGCTCAGTGCATTCCTCTGTAGAGTCAGGGACACAGACCACGTCTTAGGGTCAGAAGAGTGCAGTTACGTCAAGGCCAGGCACAGCTGGGGCCTGCTCCTCCATCCAGGGTGGCGTCCCCTCCCACCTCCTCTGGAACCAGCAGATCAATTACAGCAACGCATAAGTCAGTCTGCACTGGAAGGGGGTGCTGCTTTCACAACATGGAGACCCTGACTCCATCCCTCATGGCTGTTCAACGAGGGACAGGTCACTTCGCCTCTCTGATCAGCCAGGTCCCCTTCTGTAAGCCTCAATACACAGCAACTTCTGGCTTTTTGTTTATTTTTAGAGGCAGGGTCTGGCTTTGTCACTCAGGCTGGAGTGAAGTGGCGCAATCATAGCTTACGACAGCCTCAAACTCCAGGGCTCCAGCCATCCTCCAGCCTCAGCCTCCCGAGCGGCTGGGATTACCAGAGTGAGCCAGCATCCCTGGAAGCAGCTTCTACTTTAAAGACTCTTTAAAATTATTTTACTTTATTTCCTTATGTTCAAAATATAAAGTATAACAGAGTGTTTTGAACACTTTGTGTATATGAGGGAGAAGAAGCCCATTTTTTTACATCTTAAATTGCATTCCATCCTTTTCTGTAAATTTGTCCTATTCTTTAAACATTGACTATTCATTCTGTAGGTTACAAAAACACTGGAAGTTTAACTTTTGCTTTAATTTGTTAAATATGAAATCAATACACGTTCATCCTAGGAAAACTGGAACCAATGGGAAAGGAGAGAAGTGGGGAAAATGTCCTTGGGGAAATATGACCGCAGGTGGGACACAGTTCCTTCTAATTCTCATCTTCCGAGGGCCTGTTTTCAGCCAACGTTGAGACGATCCATGTACGTAATACTGCCTTCTGCTGTTGTAGCTGCTGCAACATGTTATTACATCTGTCACATATACAATTTTTGATGGATAGTGACATGCAATTCCAGCATATGGACCGTCCTGTTAACTCACTCCTTTGTCTTCTGCTGGACACTGACGATGTGCCTAATCCTCCACCTCCACGCAATGCTGCCCTCACTACTGTGGTGCACGATGCTCCGAGTGTGGATTACTTCCTTAGGACCCACTGATTGCTAGAAATGGAATTACAATGTCAAAAGTGCAAACTGCGTTTCCAGGCTCTAATGAGATACTGCCAAATGGCTTTCCAGAAAGAGCACACTAATTGACACTCTCACCTTGGCAATTTTTAATCTCGACCATCCCTCCTGAGGCTTGACTTTCATTTTTCTTAGGAAGAGATACGAAAACTCACTATGAGTGGGGAAGCATGACCCTTCTCAGGCAAGAAATCATGCACTAAACTCTGAAGGAAATTCTGCACTGTAAGAAAAATGTTAAGCCTTTATAATACAAAAAATAAAAATAAAATTCAACCAATAAGTGGGACTACTGTCACTTCTTTTTAAAAGGTTTTCTGGGTAGGAAGGTCCCTTGCTCATGATTCAACAAACAAATGAGCAAACAATGGCAATCACAGCAACAGGCGGTGCACAGTAAGCCCCAGCTGTGATGAAGAAGAGTCCAGGATCTGAGGCTCAGCCAGGTGGCACAGCTTGTCTAAGGCTGTAGTGCTCAGCCCAGGTGGCACAGCTTGCCCAAGGCTGAGGAGCTTTTAGTGCTCAGCCCAGGTGGCACAGCTTGCCCAAGGCTGAGGAGCCTTTCATGGCCGTGCTTGGATTCATTGCCCAGCCTTCCTGGTCTGCTAGAACATAGCTGCCTGAGGGAAGGGTCTTCTGTTATTCACGATGAGTCTCCAGTGCCTAGAACAGTGCCTCACACACAGTATGCTGCAAGAAACACTTGCTAGGACTTCTAACGCCAGCCAAGATGGAGTAATAGGAACCCAGTTTACCCCACTCCCAAGAACAACAGTGATTTCCATGACACTGGACATCAGGCCACAAAGGACAGTGATCCCCAAGAGACAGGAAACAAACAAGGTGAGCCCCATGACTACCCCAGCTCACTGCCTTGAGGAAAGTTTCAAGTCATGGAACAGGAGAGGGAACTCGGATGGAACCAAGGCAGTTAGGATTCAGAGAGCAGGAGGCAGAGAAGAGAGAGCTGGACAGAGAGAACTCTGGAGATCTGGGGAAGGTTTCAAGGGTTCAGCCGAGAACTGATCAACACATGCCTGTGGGGAGATGACCTAAGTTCAGGAAAGACGCACCTGAATGATTTGAGGGAGCAGTGACAGGAGCTCTCCAGGAGGCTAGAGTAGCAGGAGCACTCACAATTCACAAAGTATTGAGTAGAGTACCCAAAAGTGTTCTGCCTCCATGTGAACAGCAGTTAACTCTAGACTAAACACAGCTCTGGTCCTGCCTAACACCTTAAAAATAAGACCCAAAGGAATAAACTGTTTCTAAGTAACTAAACTACATCACGGAACAACCAAAAATATTTACAGTAATACAAAAATAGCCCCCAGCAGGGTGAAATTCACTATGTCAGGTACCCAATTAAAAAATTACCAAGTTTGGCTGGGTGCAGTGGCTCACGCCTGTAATCCCAGCACTTTGTGAGGCCAAGGTGGGTGGATCACCTGAGGTCGGGAGTTCGAGACCAGCCAGGCCAACATGGAGAAACCCCGTCTCTACTAAAAATACACAATTAGCCGGGTGTGGTGGCGAATGCCTATAATCCCAACTACTCAGGAGGCTGAGGCAGGAGAATCGCTTGAACCTGGGAGGTGGAGATTGCGGTGAGCTGAGATCATGCCATTGCACTCCAGCCTGGGCAATATGAGCAAAAAAAACTCTGTCTCAAAAACAAAAAACAAAAACAAAACAAAACGGCCAGGCGCGGTGGCTCACGCCTGTAATCCCAGCACTTGGGGAAGCCGAGGTGGGTAGATCACGAGGTCAGGAGATTGAGACCATCCTGGCTAACACAGTGAAACCCCGTCTCTACTAAAAATACAAAAAAAATAGCCGGGCACCTGTAGTCCCAGCTACTTGGGAGGCTGAGGCAGGAGAATGGCATGAACCCAGGAGACAGAGCTTGCAGTGAGCTGAGATCACACCACTGCACTCCAGACTGGGCAACAGAGTGAGACTCCATCTCAAAAAAAAGAAAAAAAAATTACCAAGCTTGCAAAGAATGAAGAAAATATGACCCATGACTAAAAGGAAAAGCAATCAATCAAAATCAAGCCAGACTTGACAAAGATGATCAGGGACATTAAGACGGTTGTTATAACTGATTCCCATGTGTTCAAAAAGTTAACTAGAGACAACGAAGAAACTAAAAGTCCCTAACTGATTTAGAGATGAAAATTACAGTGTCTGAGATGAAAAAATATACTGCATGAGATTAACCTCAGATTCAATATTTCAGAAAAAAAGAAGAGTAAACTTGAAGACAGCAACTGAAACTATCCCAACAATTCAGAAATAATAATAGATCATCAATGAACTGCTGGACAACTTCAAAGATCAAATATGGATGTAATTCAAGTCCCAAAACGAGGAGGAATGAGATAGAAAAAAATATTTGGAGGAATAATGGCCAAAATTTTTCCAAATTTAATAAATATAAACTCATAGAACCAAGTAAATGAACCCCAAGCAGAAGACACGTTTTTAAAAACTATACCAAATTACAGCATAATCAAATTGGTCAAAACCAATAAAAAGAGAAAATCTTTAAAGTAGCACGAGAAAAAAGATGTGTTACATACAAGGAACAAAGACAAAAATGGCATTAGATTTTTCATCCGAAATAATACAAGTGAGAAGAGAATGAAACAACATCTTTAAAGTATTAAGGGGGAAAAAATATCAACCTAGAATTCTGTACCCAGCAAAAATATCTTTCAAAATCAAAGGTAGAATAATTTTTCATTCAAACAAATGCTGAAAGAATTCATGACCAGTAGATTTGCACTATAAGAAATGCTAAAGAAATTCTTGGCCAGGGGCGGTGGCTCACGCCTGTAATCCCAGCACTTTGGGAGGCCAGGGCGGGTGGATCACAAGGTCAGGAGATCGAGACCATCCTGGCTAATACGGTGAAACCCCGTCTCTACTAAAAAAAAAAAAAAAAAAATACAAAAAATTAGCCGGGCGTGGTGGTGGGCGCCTATAGTCCCAGCTACGTGGGGGGCTGAGGCAGGAGAATGCTGTGAACCCGGGAGGCAGAGCTAGCAGTGAGCCGAGATCGCGCCACTGCACTCCAGCCTGGGTGACTGAGCGAGACTCCATCTCAAAAAAAAAAAAAGAAAGAAAGAAAGAAAGAAATTCTTTCAAGCAAAAAGAAAATGACACCAGATGGAAATAGAGATCTATACAAGGGAAAAGAGACCACTGGAAATGGTGACTACATGGTAAATATACAAGATCCTTTTTTACTATTTAATTTTCTAAATTTTTAATTTAAAAAATTGACCGTTTAAATGAAAAAAATACCCTAACAACATAGTGTGAGTCTGTAACATACAAAAGTAAAATGTATGGCAACAATAGCACAAGGTCCAGTAGGAGAAATGGAAGTGAATTATTGGAAGGTCTTTATACTCTATGTGAAATTGTACAATGTCATTTGAAGGTATCTGTAATTAAAGACAATTATTATAAACCCTAAAGCAACCACTAAAATAACAAAACAAAGATTTCTGGCTAATGAGCCAACAAAGGAGACAAAGCAGAAGCATAAAAAATAAATAGAATACATAAAAATTAAGAGAGGAAATTACTGAAGCCAATTAATAAAAAAGAAGGAAAAAAAGAGGAATGGGAATAAAGAAAAGATGGGACAAACAGAAAACAAATAGCAAAATGATACTTAAATCTAACTATATCAAAGACATATTAAACAAAAATGATCTAAAAACCCCAAATAAAAGACAGATTTTCAGATTGCATAATAAAATGAGACCCAACTATATGCTGCCTACAAGATACCCACTTTACACATAAAGACACAAATAAGCTAAAAGTAAAAGGATTTTTTTAAAGGTTGTATCATGTTCACACCAATCAAAAGAAAGCTGGAGTGGCTACATGAATACTGAAGTAGGTTTCAGAGCAAAGAGTACTGCCAAGGACCAAAAAAAGTCATTTTATAATAATAAAGGGTTCAATTTATTAGGAGCACATAACAATTGTTAACATTTATCAACCTAACAATAGACCTTCAAGCGGCATGAAGTAAGACGACATAAACAAATCCACAATTATGGTCAGAAACTTCAGTACCTTTCTCCACTGATAAGACATAGAAAGTAAACAGAAAATCAGCAAGGATATAGTAAATCTTAGCAATGCTGCTAAAACAACCTGATATGGTTGACATTTACAGAACATTCCACCCAACCACAGCCAGATGCACATGATTCCCGATTGTATATGGAACATATACCAAGAAAGACCAAATTCTGGGCCATGAAACAAGCCTCAATACGTGTAAAAATAATCCAAGTCACACAAAGTATATCCTCTGACCACAATGGAATTAAATTAGAAATCA
This sequence comes from Homo sapiens, assembly GCF_000001405.40. NCBI lineage: Eukaryota > Metazoa > Chordata > Mammalia > Primates > Hominidae > Homo > Homo sapiens. Next base: position 2,347,603 of record NC_000004.12, read on the forward strand.
TTAAGAGAAAGATCTCTAGAAAAATCCATAAATATTTGAAAACTAAATAACACACTTTTAAATACTCACGAATCAAACATGAAATCAAAGAGGAAATCAAAAGTATTGTGAATGAAATGAAAGTAAAAATACAACATATCAAAATTTATGGAATGCCACTAAAGCAGCAATTACAGAGAAATTTAAACCACTAAATACCTAAATTAGAAAAGAAGAAAGGCATTCATTCTCTAACCTCAGTTGCCACATTAAGAAACTATAAAGGTTCTGTTTTTAAGTCTACTACATAAAAATAAAAAAAGAAACTAGAGAGAGAAGAGTAAATGAAACCCAAAGCAAACAGAAGAAAGGAATAGCAACAATCAGAGCAGAAATTTAATGAAAGAGAAAAGATTAAAGCAATAGAGAAAATCAATGAAGCTAAAATAGTTCCTTTGAGAATATCAGTAAAATTGATAAAACTCTATCAACACAGTTCAGAATGAAAACAGAAGATACAACTTAATAACAGGAACGAGAGAGGTGACATCGCGGTGGATCCTACATATATTAAAAGGATTATAAGGAAATATTACAAACAACTTATGCCAATAAATTCAACAACTTAGATGAAATTTCTTAAAAGGCATAAACTACCAAATCTCTCTCAAGAAGAAATTTCTGAAATAATGTGAAAACCCTATATTTATTCAAGAAATTAAATTTGTAGTTAAAAATCTTCCTACAAAGAAAACTCCAGTTCCAGATAGATTAATAGTGAATTCTACCAAACATTTAAGAAGAACTAACACTACACAAACTCTTCCATAAAACTGAAGAGGACAGAATCCTTCACAACTCATCTATGACACTGTCTTGACACCAAAATCAGACAAAGACTGTGGGCCCATATCCCTAATGAATATTGATCCAAAAATTCCTAACAAAATTTTAGGAAACTGAATTCAATAATGCGTAAAAGGATAATGTACCATGAACGAGTGGGATTTATCCCAGGAATGCAGGAGTAATTTTTTTTAACATTCAAAAATCAATCAATGTATGCTTATGCTCTTCCTGGACCAAATAAGGCAGAATCTCTGGGATTGGGTCCTGGCATCTATATTTTTTAAGCTTTCACAAGGACTGTGAACCATGGATATGGTCTAACATCTGCATTTTCTTAGCAACATATCTGATCTCTTCTCTATTTTTAAGAATCTATTTTTATTTAGGGCCAAATTCTGTCTTTTATCTTTGTAGCATATTTGTGATTCCCAGCTGGTTCTCTGATCCTCTTTCTACCAGAGAACTAAAATGATGCGTCTTCCATCATTTTGTAAGACAAGAAGACACCAAGAGTTCCAGCTACCCTGACCTTTGGATGCTATGGCATCAGGCAAACAACCCCTTGTTTTCTGTTTATTGCATGTTCTGACAGACGAGTCACCCAGTCTGAGTGGATTTAGTGTTCTAATTCATGAAATAAGAGAATCGGACCAGATGAGCCCAAAGTCTCTTTCAGTGCTATAGATAATTATAACTCTCAAATAGCTATGGTGAGAAGGCTGAATGTATATACTGGCATGAGATTCAAACTTTTGGCAGCTCGACACAGTTTACAATTGTTTATGTGATACCATAGCTATCATATGCCAAAAAGAGTAAGTCACACTATTCAAAAAGAAAATATGCAAACACCGCATATTCTCACTCATAGGTGGGAATTGAACAATGAGAACATATGGACACAGGAAGGGGAACATCACACTCTGGGGACTGTTGTGGGGTGGGGGGAGGGGGGAGGGATAGAATTGGGAGATATACCTAATGCTAGATGATGAGTTAGTGGGTGCAGCGCACCAGCATGGGACATGTATACATATGTAACTAACCTGCACATTGTGCACATGTACCCTAAAACTTAAAGTATAATAATAAAAAAAATAAAATAAATTAAAATGTAAATGAATCAGCCAAGCGTTCCCTGTTTCAATGATATAACTGAGTGCCTACTGTGTACTAGGCACTGGGATGTACTGGTGAGTGTTGTGTGTACACACAGCCCTGCCCTCATGGCATCTGCATGCTGCTATTGCTGTTGAGTGATGGAGTGGATACTAATAAAAAGTCAGTATTTATCGAGTAAAAAAAACCATCAATGTAATTTACCATAATAAAAATAACATGATAATCTCCGTTGACACACAAAAAAAGCATCTGAAAAAAAAAATCTAACATCTATTCCTAATAAGAACTCTCAGCAAGCTATGAGTAGGTGGCAACTGCCTTGGCCTGACAAAGGGTAGCTACGAAAATCCTACAGCTAACATCACGCTTATCTTTGGGGAGAAAGCATTCAGAGTTCCATCATTAACAAAAGATGTCTGCTCTCACCACTTCTATTCAACTTTGTACTGGAATTCTAGCTAGTTCAATAGGGTGACACACAGACACACACACACACACACACACACACACACACTCGGCATCCAGAGAGAAAAGGAAGAAGTGAAGATTATCTTTATTGGCAAAAAATTTAACAGAATCTACAAAAAGCTGCCAGAAATAATAAGTGTATTTAGAAAGTATGATATTGTAGGCCGGGCGCAGTGGCTCACGCCTGTAATCCCAGCACTTTGGGAGGCCGAGGCAGGTGGATCACGAGGTCAGGAGATCGAGACCATCCTGGCTAACATGGTGAAACCCCATCTCTACTAAAAATACAAAAAATTAGCCGGGCGAGGTGGCGGGCGCCTGTAGTCCCAGCTACTCGGGAGGCTGAGGCAGGAGAATGGTGTGAACCTGGGAGGCGGAACTTGGACTGAGCCGAGATCGCGCCACTGCACTCCAGCCTGGGCGACAGAGCGAGACTCCGTCTCAAAAAAAAAAAAAGAAAGAAAGAAAGTATGATATTGTAAAATATACGTTTGGTCATCTTCCCATTTCCTGACATACAGCTCCTAAAAAGCCTTGGACTCTCCAGAGTGATAGGAGTTCACTGGTGGCTGGGGGGCCCTAGACAGCTTCAGGATGGGGGGCTGGTCCCTGGGAAGATCAACGCATGTTAGAGGGTTGGGACTTTCAGCCCCCACCCCCAACCTCCGGGGAGGGGAGAGGCACTGAAGAATTGGGAAGTGTTCTCACCAACAGCCAATGATATATAATCAATCATGGCTCTATAATGAAGCTTCCAAAAACACCCAAAAGGACTGGTTCAGAAAGCTTCCTTTGGGCTGGCGAACACATCCGCCTGCCAGGAGAAGGGCACACCCCAACTCCACGGGACAGAAGCTCCTGCCCTTGGGACCCTTCCCGACCTTAGCCTGTGCACCTCTTCATCAGGCTGTTCATCTGTACCTGTTACTACATTCTTTATTCATAAGCCAGAACCATAAACGAAGTGTTTCCCTGAGTTCTGTGAGCCACTCTACAAATTTATCCAACCCAGAAGGGGGTCATGGGAGCCCCGATTTATAGCCAGCTGGACAGAAGCACAGACCACACCTGGACTTGGGATTGGCATCTGAATGGGGGGCCGTCTTGTGGGACTGAGCCCTCACCCTGTGGGTTCTGAGGTCACTCCGGGTGGACAGTGTCAAGATGAGGTTGAATAGAGGACCCCCACTGCTGTCCCCTGCAGAACCTGCTGGGGAATGACTCGGTGTGTGGGGAATACCCTACTCATCTGGTCATGGAGTGTTGAGTGACTGTGTGAGAGTAGAGAGTAGAAAGTAGGAAAAACCATTACCTAGATTCCCACAGAAAGGTATTAGGATACAAGATCTATATACAAAAGTCAATAGTATTTCCATATAGGAGCACCAAACAATCAAAAATTGACATTTAGGGCCAGGCACGGTGACTCATGCCCGTAATCCCAGAACTTTGGGAGGCCAGGGCAGGTGGATCACTTGAGTTCAGGAGTTTGAGACCAGCCTGGCCAACATGGTGAAACCCCGTCTCTACTAAAAATACAAAAATTAGCAGGGCATGGTGGCGCATGCCTGTAATCCCAGCTACTCAGGAGGCTAAGGCAGGAGAATCGCTTGAACCTGGGAGGTGGAGGTTGCAGTGAGCCGAGATCGTATGACTGCACTCCAGCCTGGGCGAGAGAGTGAGACCCCACAGGGTGAGGGCTCAGTCCCACAAGACGGCGCCCCTTCAGATGCTGATCCCAAGTCCAGGCATGGTCTGTGCTTCTGTCCAGCTGGCTGTAAACTGGGGCTCCCATGGCCCCCTTCTGGGGTTGGATTAATTTGTAGAGTGGCTCGCAGAACTCAGGGAAACACTTCGTTTATGGTTCTGGCTTATTTTTAAAAATTGACATGTAATAGCAATACCACTTATAATGTCATAAAAAGACATGAAATACAATTATCCCTCAGTACACGCAGGGGACAGGTTCCAGGACCCCCAGCGTATATCATATCTGCACATACTCAAGTCCCACGGCTGGACCAGCGGAACTTGCACAGCCCTCCATATATGTGGGTTTTGTGTCCTGAGAATACTGTATTTTAGATCCAAGTTAGGTTGAAACAATGCATGTATAAATGGACCTGTGCAGTTCAAACCATGTTGTTCAATGTCCAGCTGTGCTGGGCGTAAGGTGGGCCCTGTGAGATGCCCTCAGGGAGCTGGGAGGAACACCGGGGAGCACACCTGGATCTGCGGGGAGGAGAAGCTGAGAGCCTCCCCTGGGGGTGCTCAGCACAGACATGGAGCAGGATGAGGCCGCCATGTCGGGGGGTGGACAGGAAGAGGCCAAGGACTGGGCGTGGGACCCACATGGAGGAGGCTGGGGGAGGAAGGGGAGATAGGAGGAGGGAGGAAGAGGGGGAGGCGTGGAAGAGGGAAGAAGGGTCACAAAGGAGCCAGTGGGATACGAGATGAGCCAGAGGCAGGGCCCTGGAGCGGAGTGGACAGAAGTGAGCCCGAATCAGATGATGCTGAGGGACCTGGACAGTGTCCACACCCTCTCAGTTCCTTCAAAGACCCCAGCAGCAAGGAGAAGAACCTGAGTGTTTAAGGCCTTCACTATGCTGGGAGCATCCCCCTCCAGATCCTTCTCACAGGGCAGTTCTCACGGTGATACATCCCAATTAAAGCCTGTGGCAGCGGGAAGCCTGAGAAGGGGCCACCTAGCTTGGCAGCCCCCACCTCTCAAACTCACTTAAAACCAGGCTTTATCATCAACTCTGTCAGTCAACAAAAAAGCACACAGGTCACAGAGCATGTAAAGGGAACAGAGCCCCTCCCCAAAGGTTGCCATGAGGAATAGCATCTGATCCCCCTTCCTCATCGGTGGGGCCACGGGGCAGGTCTAGCACCTCTCCTCCGTGGCACTTTCCTCCTCCAGGCTCCAGGGCCCCCAGCACCTGTCCCCTGGGCAGAAGGTCTTTCTAACCTGAGCTCCTGGGGGCAGGGACTCTCCCCACCCACAGAGGCTGTCCCTGGAGGGGCCAGAACATCTGTGGGAACATCTGAACACATGGAAGGTGGAGGCTGCCACTGAACAGCCCAAAAAAGAGCCCAGAGCCTGATCCGGCCAGAAAAGTTGTCCTGGCCACACACAGGGCCCTAATGCTGCTGAGTTCCCACCGCAGCAGGGCCAGGCCCAGAGCCAGGGCTGGGGTGCAGCCAGCTTGGCCACTTTGCAGGAGCCCCACAGGGTGGGACCCTCAGGACCACGGTGACACAGTGATAGACTCCCCCCTGTTGGAGGAGCATGTGTCAGGCCCCACCTCCCATGGCCGCAAGGATTCAGCAAGACCCTGTGGGAAGAGTACACCAAGAACATTCCGGAACTTTGTGAAAACCCCTCGTCATCACTTGATAAAACTTTGCAGCATGCCGTTTGCCGTTGTGTTGGAAATGCCTCTGAGTGCTTGGTGTACTGGGAAGAAAACCTCGGCCAGGGTATTTTTAGCGGCAGCTTCCAGGGCCATCTGTCAATTATGCAGCAGATGCTGGCAGCACCATTAGTCAGTGGCAGAGTGTGACCACTGCATGGTACCCAAGCTCTGCACCAGCACCTGGGCAGGCCCACCCCTCCCACACTGGCTGCCCCTTGGCTCAGAAGCCTGCTCACTCCGCACCCCCTGCCCCCGCTCTCCCAGCCTCTGCTCCCCCAAGTGTCCCGTGCGGTTTCTCACTTCCAGCCCGGCTACCCACCCCACGCATCCTGCCCGGGATGGTCCCTCTTCCTGGGCCTGGCTTCTCTAGCACCCGACCCTGACAACGCCACCACAGGGGGCCAGCAGGTGACAAAGCCTTGGTCTACTGAGGACAGGCCACTCTGTCCAATGCCCAGCGGGGCCAGCCAGCTTCTGCTGCCCCGTGGCTCACCTGACAGGAGCGGAACTGGCTGACCAGCAGCGTGCACCGCTGGGGGTCCTTCCGCCCATCCAGGCTGTCCAGCTCCGCGGCCACCTGGTTCAGCTCCTCGTCGGCATAGTAGAACCGGGCAAGCAGCTGCGGATCCGACCTCTGCAGGAGAGAGGGGCCAGGGCCATGAGTGGGTGGGGAACTGGAGGGGATGCCTCGGTTGGTTGCCTTGTCCCCAGGCCATGTGTGGGCTCAGCCTGGGACCTTCCACCCTGAGCAGCAGCCGGCTCTTTTATCAGCTTTCCACACCAGGATCTAGAGGGAAACAACTAAAGCTGAGGCTCAGGCTGCCAGCTCAACCCCTGATTCAAGGGTCCCCAGGGCCCCTGCATTTCACCCCAGGACTGTGGGGAATCCAGATCCTTTGCTGCACCCCAGACACAAGGTCCTCACGCTCCCTCTGGTGGAGAGCCCACAGAAAAGGGGCTCTGGGAAGAGTGGGGTCCCCGGCGCTCCAGGCGACAAAAGCAGCTCTCAGGAAATTTTTTTTTTTTTTTTTTTTTTGAGATGGAGTTTCACTCTTGTTGCACAGGCTGGAGTGCAATGGCACGATCCCAACTCACTGCAACCTCCGCCTCCTGGGTTCAAGCGATTCTACTGTCTCAGCCTCCCCAGTAACTGGGATTATAGGTGCCCGCTGTCATGCCTGGATAATTTTTGTATTTTTAGTAGAGACGGGGTTTCGCCATATTGGCCAGGCTAGTCTCGAACTCCTGACCTCAGGTGATCCACGCGCCTCAGCCTCCCAAAGTGCTGGGATTACAAACATGAGCCACTGTGCCCGGCCAGGAAATATTTTTTTATTCACAAAACCAAAATATGAAGTGGCCCAGAATAACAATAAAATTTACTACACTTAAGTGAAGAATGATTGACAGTGCATCATAAACCATTTCCCATGATTCAGAAACAATTTGCCACACACCCCCCACTTCTCTAGGAACTTCACAGCATCTCAGTTTCCACACCAGTGCACTGTGGCAGGAAACTCTACGCTCAGAGGTTCCCCTCCCACCAAACACGCAGGGGCTCAGAAGCTGGTCTTCAACTGCAACCACCACACGCCCCAACCCCGCCTGGCCTCCTTGGTGCTCTACGCACACAGCACGGCCACCGTCCCTTGGCACGTGAGGTTCCCACTGCCCCAGGATGCAAACAGCTTGTTCCCCTGGATCAGAGTTTCGAGGATTCAAAGAAGCCCCTTACAAAAGTGATGAAGTCCTTGAAAATATATATATATATATATATATATATATATATATATATATATATATATATATATATATATATATATATATATAATGATTCTTCTTTTTTTTTTTTTTTTTGAGACAGAGTCTCACTCTGTCGCCCAGGCTGGAGTGCAGTGGCGTGATCTTAGTTGACTGCAACCTCTGCCTCCTGGGTTCAAGCGATTCTCCTGCCTCAGCCTCCCGAATAGCTGGGATTATAGGCATCCATCACCACGCCCGGCCAATTTTTGTATTTTCTGTAGAGATGGGGTTTTACTATGTTGGCCAGGCTGCTCTCAAACTCCTGACCTCGTGATCCACCCGCCTCAGCCTTCCAAAGTGCTGGGATTACAGGCCTGAGCCACTGTGCCCAGCCTATATACGTATTTTTTGAGACAGGGTCTCACTCTGTTGCCCAGGCTGGAGTACAGTGGCATGAGCATGGCTCACTGCAACCTCCGCCTCCTGGGCTCAAGAGATCCTCCTGCCTCAGCCTCCCAAGTAGCTGAGACTATAGGCACACATCACTATATTCAGCTAATTTTAAATTTTTTCTAGAGATGGGGTCTCCCTGTGTTGCCCAGCCTGGTCTTGAACTCCTGGCCTGAAGCCATCCTCCCACCTTGGCCTCCCAAAGTTGCGGAGATTATAGAAGTGAGTCACTGTGCCTGGCCTGAACCTATTTTTATAAAAAGGACTCTTTATAATCACAGAGAGAAAGACAGAGGAGAGGAGAATATACCAAATCGCGCACAGTTCGAATGCGCTGGCCGTGTTCCCCACAGACTCCCATCTCCGTCGGGGCCGTTTCCTCCGTGTGCTCTGGCCTGCCACCCCTCCCCTCTGTGTGGCCTTGGCCAGGGTCACTTTGTCCTGACTCTTTCCTGGCCCTCCAGTCCTCACTCTCTGGATCAGCTCAAGACACTGGCCCAGACCCCTGGGGTGGGGAGAGCAAACCCCAGTGAGGCTGAGCAGACCCACACGAGGCCATCCACTGCCCCCCTGCCTGGGCTCCAGCGACGGCTGCATGCACCTGAGACCTGGGCAGCCAATGGGAAGCCTTCCCTGGGACTGTTCACAGGAGGCTGACGGAGCCTCTGCACCCACTCGCTCTCCGGCAGATGCTGCCTGAGCAACCACTCTGCTAGGAGCCGATCTGGACCTGGGACACAGCCCAGAGCAAGACAGACCCAGACCCCGCCCCCCCGGCAGTTGGTGTGCCCGCCCCCTCCCCGGCCGTTGATGTGCCTGCCCCCCCGGCCGTTGGTGTGCTCACAGATGCCAGAGACACAGAGATGGACGGTGGGCACTGGCTGCCATCTGCTCCCACCCTCTCAGCACCACTGCTGTGTCCCTGCACTTTGTGCCTTTCTGGAAGTAAACACATTCCCTCCATGGGCCCAGGCAACCCCGGAGAGCCACAAGGTCGCAGTCGCCCAGCGACCCCTCCGTGATGAAATGGGAAGAAGAGTGGGGTTGGGAGGCAGGAGACACTCTTAACCTTGTTCCTGCTCTACTGCGTGGAAGGAGAGGAGGGGAGGCGGGGAAAGTGAGGCCCAAAAGGCCCCTCCTGGCCCTTCCCCAAGGCCCGAGCCCCAGGGAGTGCTGCACTTTCGAAGCCTTGTAGCTGTCAACTTACAGATGAGCAACTGGGCCCTTGACCTTTGCTTCAGATGCAAAGGTCATTTTTTTTGAGACGGAGTCTCACTCTGCTGTCCAGGCTGGAGTACACTCTGCTGCCCAGGCTGGTGTGATCTCAGCTCACTGCAACCTCCACCTCCCAGGCTCAAGCAATCATCCCATCTCAGCCTCCCAAGTAGCTGGGATTACAGGTGTAATCCCACCACCACATCCAGCTAATTTTTGTATTTTTAGTAGAGACAGGGTTTCACTGTGTTGCCTGGGCTGGTCTCGAGCTCCTGACCTCAAATGATCCATCCGCCTCGGCCTCCCAAAGTGCTGGGATTACAGGCGTGAGCCACCGCACCCAGCGCAGTCCCCAGAATTCTGACCTTGCTTATGGGGTGACCGCCAGCTTCCCCTCCCCTAGAATTCTGACCCAGCTTCTGGGGTGGCCACCAGCTTGCTCACCTGGGCCCGGGACCTGCCAATGCCCCTCCTCGCTCCCAAGGAAGAGGGGAAGAGCCAAGAACAGCACCTTCCTACCAGAGGGCAGAGGAGCCTTCCTGCCACTTCCTGAACCAGGAGGGAGCATGGCCCCTTTTCGGGGTGGGGCTGAGCTCGCAGCCTGCCCAAGGCCTGCATGAGACCCGCTGGGCCTGACACCCACCTCAGGCATTAGTCCAGGTCAGCAGAGCCACCAGCTCCCTTATGGCCCCAAACCTGCCCGCTCCCCTTCAGAGCAGTAGGTATGGGAGGGTGGGAGAAGCAGGGGCCTGGTGTGGATGGTCCCACAGCAGACACCTGGCTGTGACTGAGGTGGCCCGGAGCCCTCACAGTCCCTCTCCACGTGTGTCCCGCAGCCCTGACTGCAGCTCGCTGACGAGACACCATCTGGCCCAGCAAACAGGCCAGGTACTGAATTTAGGGCACTGGATGACAACACCTCCTGGAAGCTAAATCTCGGCTCTGAGAAAGAGGACACGAGCAGGGGCCACGCAGAGACCCCCAGAAAGGAACCCAGAATCATTCTCTGCCCTGGCACCAAAAACCTCACAACACTAGTGCAAGGAGTTCCCAGCAACGCCAGGTCAACACGGGCCCCTCGCTGCTTGGTAAGCGGAGGAGACGGCTCAGCCACAACGCAGGTGCATGAAAGGCTGATGGCAGCGTGGTGCTGGCACACAAAGCCCCAGTCATCACACAAAGCCCCGGACCAAAGAGGGGACTGAGCCTCTGAGCAAAGAATGGGGTACTTGCATGTCCCCTCGGCTCACTCACACACTTCCTCTCCTGTGCTCTGGAGAGGCCAAGAACCACCGCCGTGTGTGTGCAAGTATGTACATGTACACACATGCACCTGTCCATGGCTGTGTGCGTGTGAATCTGTGCGTTGTGCATAAGTGTGTACATGCATGTGCGTCCATGTATCTGTGTGCATGTGAATATATGTGCAGGCATGGATGTGCATGCGTGTGTGCATGTGAGACCAGTGCAGCAAGTGTCAAGATGAGCTCCCACAGGGGTGACATGCCTGTCTACTTGGCAGGGAAAATGCTAGAAACGGGCGCTCATCACCAAAATAAAAGGCATGGGAGGTAGGGAACCCTTCAGGGACGGGCCTGATACTTGACCCCTCCTGGCCCTGCCTCCAGTTAGCGGGGATGCTTGGTGCCCTGCAGGGAAGCCGACTCCCACCTGCAGAAGGCAGCCTGTGTGCCTCAGGGCTCCCTGCCTTCCTCTTGGGGCAGCTGAAGCCTCTGAATGGTCTCCCATGGAGCTGAGGTGTTACTGAGCACAGACTGCCCTGCCAGGCCTGCTCACTGGTGGGGTGGGCCTGGTGGGGTTGGATGAGGCAGATTTGCTGTGTGACCTTATCATGGGCTAAACTGTGACCACACCCCCCAAATTCAAACATTGAAGTCCTAACCCCCAGGACTCAGAATGTCAGAATGTGACTGTGTTTGGAAACAGTATCTCCCCCACTTTTTTTTTTGAGACAGGGTCTTGCTCTATCCCCCAGGCTAGAGTGCAGCGGTGTGATCACAGCTCACTGCAACCTCCGCCTCCTGGGTTCAAGTGATCCTCCCACCTCAGCCTCCTGAGTAGCTAGGAAGACAGGTGGGTGCCACTATGGCCAGCCAATTTTTTCTTTTTTTTTTTTTTTTTGAGACAGAGTCTCGCTCTGTCGCCCAGGCTGGAGTGCAGTGGTGCAATCTCAGCTCACTGCAAGCTCAGCCTCCCGGGTTCACACCATTCTCCTGCCTCAGCCTCCCAAGTAGCTGGGACTACAGGCGCCCACCACCAGGCCCGGCTAATTTTTTTTTTTTTGTATTTTTAGTAGAGATGGGGTTTCATCGTGTCAGCCAGGATGGTCTCGATCACCTGACTTCATGATCTGCCTGACTTAGCCTCCCAAAGTTCTGGGATTACAGGGGTGAGCCACCGTGCCCAGCCAAGGCCAGCCAATTTTTGTATTTTTTGTAGAGACGGGGTCTTGCCATGTTGCCCGGGCTGGTCTGGAACTCCTGGGCTCAAGCGATTCATCTGCCTCTGCCTCCTAAAGTACTGGGATTACAGGCATAAGCCATCTAGCCCAGCCCAGAGATAGGATATTTAAAGAGGTCATTAAGGTTAAATGAGGTCATCAGGGCGGGCCCTAATCCAATATACCTGGTGTCCTTATAAGAAGAGGAAATATGGACACAGGCAGGTAGAGGGCCGACTTTGTGGGGACAATGGCCAAAGGCGGTGTCTGCAAGCCAAGGAGAGACCCAGCCTCAGAGGGACCCAGCCCTGCCACGCAGTAGTCTGGGACTTTTGGCCTCCAGGACTGAGAGAAAATACATTCCTACCGTTCCGGCTACCGAGTCTGGAGTCCTTTGTTGCGGCCGCCTGACCTGTGTGGAAGGCCCAGAAGCAGGCTGGGGAGCCAACCCTTGGCCAGACCCCTCCATGCTGCAGTGCCATGCAGGAGGGCCTGGGAGCCCTGACATCCACTTAGCAAACCCTGCCAGGTAACCCTCCTCCAAGGTAAAACCTCAAATCTGTGGGCCTGTACAACTCTGAGGAAGCTGCTCTTGGGGTGGGCTCAAGCTTCCCTGAAAGACCCTGGGGACCCCCATCCACCTGGAAGGACAGCCCCCTCGGGCCCTGGACCTGAGCCTCGGAGCCTTTACCCACCCCGGACAAGCGCACGGCGTCTACAACAACCTGCGAGGCCATTTGTGGTTCTCTGTGATTTGAGGAGGCCTCCATGATGTCTAGGGGCCATGGGCTCTGACGGTATAATTGCCTGCGCGTGGGAAAGGGGCATCCTGAACAGCGTGTCCAAAGCCATTGCCCCCGAGAACAGGGAAGCTCCGAGTGTCTTCACGACCACGAGGAACAACACTCACCACACCCCGCCCCACACCATGCCATGACGGGCACCACAGTCACACTGCTGACTTGGCATCAGTGCCCACAAGCAAATACCCTGCCGCTGTACCTTGATTTCAGTAAATTAAAGACCTTAAAACCAGACCTACAAAGGTGTTGACCATCTGCAAAAAGAGAGCTGTAATCACACACACACACACACACACACACACACACACACACAGGCACGCACGCACACACAGAAACCCCGTGCTATTTGAAAAGCTGAGTTAGCCCCTGAGCTAGCGTCCCGGCCATTCAGGACCAGTATTTCAGAGGAAGAGGCCAAGTTTCCCACATGGTCCCAGCAGTGCCTGGGGCGGGAGCAGGAGGGGTCTTTATTCATTGTGTCAGTCATCCCACCCAGACCCCTCACTGTGAGCAGACACCTTCAGGCAGGGGTCCCAGGAAATGAATGAACACAGCTTACAAAATTCAGTCTATCCTGATTAACAGAATCCAGAAGAAAATTTGGGGTACTAAATTTCCATTTCTAAGTATGCAGAGTATAAAGCAAACAATTATAATCTCAACCTACTCATCACTTAGTGTTAAATCTGTCCAGCACGACGGGGCTCACCCTCAAGTGAGCCTGCGGGCCCGACAGATAAATGGGGAGGGGCGGTTAATGTTCCATCACTGACAAAGCATCTCCCTTTGATTTGAATCCACCAGCTTTATTCAATGACATTTTACAATTTCATTTTAAATTCAGTTTTTAAATGTCCTTAAATACAATGTCCACAATAAAGGGAATCAATTGATATAAATAGGAAGTACTCACTTGTTAAAATTTTTG